>NC_000011.10:60000-363030 GCF_000001405.40 Homo sapiens | reverse complement strand
TGGTGGACCCTGGGACACCTGTCTCCAGATGGTGGCAATGCTTTGCTGAAAGTCAGTGCAGAGGCCAACCAGAGGTCCAGCCAGAAGCTCGACACAGTTCAAGCAGCACTGGATGTGCTTGGCCATGTGGCCCAAGTGGCCGAGCAGCCCATGTGGCACGTGGCCCCTAGCAGGCCTCCTCTGGTCTTGGGTTAAGGGGTTGGAGCAGCACTTCCAAATAGGGCAAAAGTTGCTTCCCAAATAACATGGGACCTACAGCACTAGGCATCGTGCCTCTTTCTTCGTGGAGGAAGGGACTGAGGTAGCCACTTGCCTTGTGCTTGGGAAGGGATGGACCACTGGGTCCCTAGACGTGCCGGAGGTGTGGGCCCCAGGTGTTCGGCTCGCAGATGCTCTAGGGAGGTGTTGAGGGCAGCGGCTACTTTCTGCTCAGCAAGTCCAGACCACACGATGCCCCCCACAGAGCGGGTAGTGTGACGTCCCTGTAAGCGAGGCCGATGACTCTGAGCTGGGAGCTGATGTTCCTGGAGGGAGGGAAGTGAAGGTGAATTGTTGGCCTTGCCTGTTGAAGGCAAAGCATCCCGATGGTCTTCACCCACAGGTGTGGAGACAAAGGCCTTCCCTGATGAATAAGCTGCCCATTGTGGGCGGCAAGCCACCCAGGTGCCGAGGCAAGAGACTGAGGACACGAGCTGTTCCAGTATAATAAAATATAAAATAAAAATAGTTACACCAGATATAGATCTTAGATATGATTATATATGAATATCATTAATCATTAGTTTGTAGCAATTACTCTTTATTCCAATATTATAACAATCCTCGCTCTATAATCATAAACTAGGAAAAACCAGGCCATACAGAGATAGGAGCTGAGGGGACATAGTGAGGAGTGACCAGAAGACAAGAGTGCGAGCCTTCTGTTATGCCCGGACAAGGCCACTAGAGGGCTCCTTGGTCTAGCGGTGATGCCAGCGTCTGGGAAGACGCCCGTTGCCAAGCGGACCGTGGTCTAGCGGTAGCGTAAGTGTCAAGGAAAAACACCCGCTACTTAGCAGACCGGGAAAGGAGGGGCTCCCTTTCCCCGGGGGAGTTTAGAGAAGACTCTGCTCCTCCACCTCTTGTGGAGGGCCTGACTTCAGTCAGACCTGCCCGCAGTTATCCGGAGGCCTAACCGTCTCCCTGTGATGCTGTGCTTCAGCAGTCATGCTCCTAGTCCTCCTTCATGTTCCATCCTGTGCACCTGGCTCTGCCTTCTAGATAGCAGTAGCAAATTAGTGAAAGTACTAAACGTCTCTAATATACAAAAATAATGGCGTAAGCTATCTTTCTCTCTGTCTCCTCTCCCTCTCTGCCTCGGCTGCCAGGCAGGGAAGGGCCCCCTGTCCAGTGGACACGTGACCCACGTGACCTTATCTATCATTGGAGATGACTCACACTCTTTACCCTGCCCCTTCTGCCTTGTATCCAATAAATAACAACGCAGCCAGACATTCGGGGCCACTACCGGTCTCCGCGCATTGGTGGTAGTGGTCCTCCGGGCCCAGCTGTCTTTTTTTTAATCTCTTTGTCTTGTGTCTTTATTTCTACACTCTCTCGTCTCTGCACATGGGGAGAAAAACCCACCGACCCTGTGGGGCTGGACCCTACACCCATGAGGCCGCAAGGAGCGTGTGGATTTGCTGCTCAGTGAAAGCCTGTCAGGAGCAGACGTTACGCTAACCACCGTCTGATTATTTTTTACAGCAATTCCCTGTCCTTCTTCCAGATCCTCCTGCCTTCCACACAGGCCAAAGAAGGCAGGCAAACGGGGCTGTGGTGGAGTCTCCAGCCCCTGCATCGTCAGGTCCACGATGTGGCACTGATCTCTGCTGTCCCTCCAGGGAGGCGGGTCAGGTCCGCGATGGTGGCACCGATCTCTGCTGTCCCTCCAGGGAGGCAGGTCAGGTCCTGGATGGTGGCACCGATCTCTGCTGTACCTCCAGGGAGGCGGGACTTATTTCGATTGACTGTTTTCCTGGGTAGAGGCAGCTCTATGGCCTCCATCTGGCCTTTTCCAACATGAGACCCCTCACCCCATGGGTCAGGGACCAATGTAGGATTCTGAGGATGTCTGTGCCACTGATGCATTCCAAAACCAGAGAGCAGGTCACTGGCCTCGCCGAGAGACAGATCTGAGCTAGAACTCACGGATCACCTGACGGCCACAAGCCCCTGCTTTGCCAGGCAGATACCACCGTGGAATTAACGTCCGTGCACAGCCAGGTCCCTGAAAAGTCTGTATCTCTCGTTCCCTTCATAGCCATCTGGTGCGTGGTTCTTAGGGGCCCATGGGAAGTCCAGGAAGGAGATTTACAGTAAAATCCTCGGCAATGTCATTGGGTCCTTCCTCAGGGCCTGGCTCCGTGGACTGGCTCAGAATGGAAACTGGCAGAGGGGCCACAGCTCTGTTGTGAGGAACCCAGGCTTCTTGCTGTGGACTGAACAAATCTGTATGTTGAAGCCCTAAGCCTGTGTGACGGCATTTGGAGGGGGCCCTTGGGAGGTGATTAGGGTCAGATGAAGTCCTGAGGCTGGGCCCCCAGGATGGGGTTGATGCCCTGATAACAGGGGAGTCCAGAGCTCATGCACTGTCTCCCCACAAATTCTCTCTCTCTCCCCATGTCTCTCTCTCCCTCTGTCCTCCATCTATCTCCCTGTCTCTGTCTCTCCTCATCTCCCTCTCCCTCTCTGTCTCTCCCCATCTCTCTCTGTCTCTCTCTCCCTCATGTCTCTCTCCCTGTCTGTCTCTCCCCTATCTCTCTCCCTCTATCTCTCTCTCCCTATCTCTCCCCCATCTCTCTCTCCTGTCTCTGTCTCTCCCCCATCTCTTTCTCTCCTCTCTGTCTCTCCCCCATCTCTCTCTCCCTCTGTCTCTCTCTCTCCGTTTCTCTCTCTCTCCCTCTCTGTCTCTATCTCTCCCCCATCTCTCTCCCTCTGTCTCTCTCCCTCTCTGTCTCTATCTCTCCCCCATCTCTCTCTCCCTCTCTCTGTCTCTCCCCCATCTCTCTCTCCCTCTGTCTCTCTCTCTCCGTTTCTCTCTCTTTCCCTCTCTGTCTCTATCTCTCCCCCATCTCTCTCCCTCTGTCTCTCTCCCTCTCTGTCTCTATCTCTCCCCCATCTCTCTCCCTCTATCTCTCTCCCTCTCTGTCTCTATCTCTCCCCCATCTCTCTCTCCCTCTCTCTGTCTCTCCCCCATCTCTCTCTCCGTTTCTCTCGCTCTCCCTCTCTGTCTCTATCTCTCCCCCATCTCTCTGTCCTGTCTCTGTCTCTCCCCCATCTCTCTCTCCCTCTGTCTCTTTCTCTCTCTCTTTCTGTCTGTCTCTCCCCTGACATGCACGTGCTGAGGAAAGGCCCTGGGAGGACACAGTGAGTTGGAGCTTCTGAACCTGACCACGCTGGCACCCTGATCTCAGGCTTCCAGCAGCCAGAAAGGTGAGAAAATACATTTCTGTTCTGTGGTGTTTTGTAATGGCAGACTGAGCTGACTGACTCACTTCTATCCACCACACCTAGAGTTTTTCTGATGACACAGATCAAGTGAGGCTTCAGCAGGCAGCCCCCATGCCTAGGGGTGCCTTGATGGCTCAGCCAGCTCCAAGGGCTTCTGCAGGTGGAGCCATGCTGATCCCGCCTGGGCCACACCTCCTGTCTGTAGACATGAGGTGCCACCCCAGTCCTGCCATGCTGGGGCCGGCAGAGACCCCATTTCCAGGGCCCACTGCAACACCTAATTGTGCCTTTCACAATTAGGGAGGAGGGGGCATGACAACACAGTCAGTTTCGCTTTTTTTTTTTTTTTTTTTGAGAGGGAGTCTCGCTCTGTCGCCCAGGCCGGAGTGCGGTAGAGTGATCTCGGCTCACTGCAAGCTCCGCCTCCTGGGTTCAAGCGATTCTCCTGCCTCAGCCTCCTGAGCAGCTGGGAGTACAGGTGCCCGCCACCACACCCGGCTAATTTTTGTGTTTTTGGTAGAGATGGGATTTCACCAGGTTGGCCAGGATGGTCTCAAACTCTTGACTTCAGATGATCCACCTGCCTTGGCCTCCCAAAGTGCTGGGATTACAGGCATGAGCCACTGTGCCCGGCCCCAGTTTAGCATTTTTAAAAAACGAATGGACTTTATTTTTCGGAAGGGTTTGAGATTTACAGAAATAACACAGAGAGCTTCCCCGCCCCCCAGCTCCACCAACAGTTCCCCTCGTTTTTACCGTCTGGCTTAGTTCGGTGTATTTGTTATAATGAATGAACCAGTATTAATGCGTTATTGACCAAATAAAGTCACAGTTGGTCCAGAGTCCCTCATTTGTTTTCCCTGACATCCTTTCTGTGTTCCAGGACCGCGTTCCTCAGCGTCTGTCTCCCGGGGCCTCTGGGCTGGGCCGTTTTGCTTTTGACGACCTGGACAGCTCAGAAGAGGCCGGGTGTGTTGGCGGGGTGCCCCTGCTGAGATTCGCCTGCTCTTTTTGTCATGAGGAGGCTGGGGTTATAGGTTTCTTGGAAGAAGATTCCAGAGGTAAAGCAGCATCTGCATCCATCCTAACATCGCCGGTGCGACTCATAACTCGACGCCTGCCTCGTCTTCTGCAGAGACAGAGCCCGTCAGGCTCCTCTGTGCAAACCACGATGGATCAGCTCCATCGGTTTCTGCAGGTGGAGCCGCGCGGAAGGAGCCCAGCCCTTCCCACCCCGCGCTCTCTGGAAGGACGGCCCTGCGCCAGCCCACGTCGAGGGGCTGGGAGGGGCTCTGCTCCTCCTTAGGGGCAGTGTCTACGCCATTGGTTTAGAATTCTTCTGCACGGGAGATTTGTCTCTTCTCCCCCATTTATAAATTTATATCGCCATGCACTTGTAGGTATTTACAGCACACTTTGGGTTAGGATGTAGAATGAGGTGTTGCTCAAATTGTGGGAGTTCACTCAGTTGGACCCTGGGTCCACGGGCATATTTACATTGTGTGTGTATGCGTGTGCATGTGTATGTGTATACGTGTGTATGTGTACGTGTGTGTGCATGTGTATGTGTTTAGTGTGTGTATGTGTATGTGGTGTATATGTGGGTATATGTGTGTATGCATGGTGTGTGTGTATGTGCGTGGTGCCTGTGTGTACGTTGTATGTGTGGTGTGTATGTGCATTTGTGAGCATGGTGCATATCTGTGATGTGTATGTGTATGTTGTCTGTATGTGTGTGCATGGTGCATGTGTGTGTGGTATATGTGTATATGTGTGGTGTATATGTGTGGTGTGCGTGTGTGTATGTGTTTGTGGTGTGTGTATGTTGTGTGTGGTGTGGGTGTATGTATGGTGTGTGTGTGTAAAAGTGTGTATGTATGCGTGTTTGTGGTGTGTGCATTGTGTGTGTTTATGGTGTGTATGTGTGTGTTGTGTGCATGTTGTGTGTTTGTGGTATGTGTGTGTTGTGTGTATGTGTATGGTGTGTGTGTGTATGTATGTTTGTGGTGTGTATGTACATGGTGCCTTTGTGTGTGGTGTGTGTATATGTATGTGCATGGTGCACATATGTGTGTTTGTGGTGTGTGTACATGCATGGTGCCTCTGTGTGTGGTGTGTGTAGTCTGTGTGTATATGTGTGTGCATGGTGCATGTGTGTGTGTATGTATGTGTGCTGTGTATGTGTGTGATGTATGTATGTGTGTGGTGTGTTTGTGGTGTGTGTATGTGTGTGGTATGTATAGTGTGTGTGTAAAAGTGTATCTATGTATGCATGTTTGTGGTGTGTATGTATGTGTTGTGTGTGTATGTGCATGGTGCTTGTGTGTGAGTGTATGTGTGTATGTATGTGGTGTGTATGTGCATGGTGCCTGTGTGTGAGTGTATATGTGTATGTATGTTTGTGGTGTGTGTGTACATTCATGGTGCCCGTGTGTGTGGTATGTGTGTATATGTGTGTGCATGGTATGTGTGTGTATGTGTGTATGTATGTGTGCTGTGTATGTGTGTGATGTGTGTGGTGTGTTTGTGGTGTGTGTGTTGTGATGTGTATGTGTGTATGTGCATGGTGCATGTGTGTATGTGTGTGTGCTGTGTGTATGTGTGTGGTGTGTATGTATGTGCACTGTGCCTGTGTATGTGTGTGTGACATATGTATGTATGTGGTGGCTGTATATGTGTGTGCATGGTGCGTGTGTGTGTGGTGTGTATGTGCATGGTGCATGTGTATATGTGTGGGGTGTGTCCGTGCATGATGCATGTATGTGCGTGGTGTGTATATGTGTGTGCATGGTGCATGCGTGTGTATGTATGTTTGTGGTGTGTATGTGTGTGCATGGTGCATGTGTTTGTGGTGTGTGTGCATGTTGCATGTGTGTATGTGTGTCACGTGTGTATGTGGTTTGTGTATATTTGTGTGCACGGTGCTTGTGTGGTGTGTGTGTATGTCCATGGTGTGTGTGTGATGTGTGTATGTGTGTGGTGTGTGTATGTATGTGCATGGTATGTGTGTGACATGTATATATGTGGTGTGTGTATATGTGTGTGCATGGTACGTGTGTGTGGGGTGTGTATGTGCATGGTGTGTGTGCCCCGCCCCCCAGGCGCTTTCTCCGTTTCCCCGAAGTGACGACCGCACCTCGGCCGGAAGCGGGGAGGGGCCGCCTCGTGGGAGCGCGGACGGGCAGAGCCCTTTGTGTTCGGGACGGGGCGGGACGCGCTGGGTGCGGGGAGACCCCCTGCGCCCCGGCCCTGCTGTGGAGGAAGGGGCTCTAGACGGGGCGGGGCGCTCCTCCGCGTGCTGCGTGTCTGGGGGCCCGAAACGCAGACCCGCCCCCCCACCGTTGGAACGAGCCCCCCCACCGTTGGAACGCGCCGCCCCCCCCTTCCCCCGCTCCAGGCGGCTCCCTGGAGAGCAGCTGGGAAACGCCCCACCCCCATCCATTCCTGGCCGCGCTTTCAGGGCTGTTTTCCTCGGGCTGGGAAACGCCCCGCCCCGTTCCATTCCCGGCCGTCGGTTCGGGAATGTTTTCCTGGCGCACAGCCCTGGGAGGCCTCCCGGGCGCCGAGGGCAGCGCTGGTCACCGTCCCGCGTGGCAGCCAGTGTCTGGGGGCAGAGTGTCCAGGAAGCTGCGCCCCCGGGCTCGTGTCCTGCCGCCACTCACTGCGTGGCACGGGTCCCCGGGCCCCTCCAGGCCTTCTGCGGGAGCTGGGGCTTGGGAAGCCGCCGCAGAAGCGGTTCCCTTGGCCACCTCCCTGCCTGAGAAGTCAACCGTCCTTGCCTCTGACCCAGGGGCTCTGTCTTCTGTTGGCCTCCGGGGATCTGTGGCCGGTTCACCCCCTAGCTGGCGAAGCTAGGCGTTTGAACCAGAGCAATTCCATCTTGATTGGGAGCTGGGTAAAATGAGGCTGAAATCCACTGGGCAGCATTTCCAGACGGTGGGAGCTCAGACCCTGCCCGTTTGTGCACAGGAAGCACCCACCGGGCTCCTGAAGTCCACGCGAGCTCCCTTCCCTGAGCTCCAGGCCAAGCTTGGAGTTCCCTCCGCCCCTTAGACCTCAGGCCGACTCGGCTTCCAGAATGCCATCCTCCCTGGACTGCAGTTAAATTAACTTCCTGTGTTCTGAGCCATCTGTTCCCTTCCTACCCTGTTTTCCACCCCAAATTGTTCTTAACCCCATTATTCAGGGCATGTGATAGTGTGGGCGGAGGATTACCCAGGTGCGGAGGCAAAAGACTGAAGGCACATGGCGGGCGCCTGTAGTCCCAGCTACTCGGGAAGCTGAGGCAGGAGAATGGGGTGAACCTGGGAGGCGGAGCTTGCAGTGAGCCCGGATGCGCCACTGCACTCCAGCCTGGGCGACAGAGCGAGACTCTGTCTCAAAAAAAAAAAAAAAAAAAAAAAAAAAAAAAAAGACAAGGCACAAACTTTCAGTATAATAAAGAGAATAAGAATAGTTATAATACAAATTAGAGATGATCATGGACATATCAATCATTAGTATAAACATTATTAATCATTAGCTTTTATCGTGGACATTATCAATCAGTATAAACATTATTAGTCATTAGCTTTTAATATTTCTCTTTGTGGCATTACTAATATAACCTAGGAATAACCGGCGGGTATAGGGTCAGGTGCTGAAGGGACGTTGTGAGAAGTGACCTAGAAGGCAAGAGGTGAGCCCTCTGTCACACCAACATAAGGGCCGCTTGAGGGCTCCTTGGTTAAGCGGTAACGCCAGTGCCTGGGAAGGCACCCGTTACTTAGCCGACCGTGAAAGGGAGTCTTCTTTCCTTGGAGGAGTCAGGGAACACTCTGCTCCACCAGCTTCTTGTGGGAGGCTGGATATTCTCCAGGCCTGGCCCGCAGTCATCCGGAGGCCTAACCCCCTCCCTGTGGTGCTTGAATGATCACACTCCTTGTCCACTTTCATGCTCCTCCCTTACTCCTGGTTCCTCTTTGAAGTTCTTAGAAGATAGCGGTAGAAGAAATAAAGTCTTTGATCTTTCTTTCTTTCTTTTTTTTTTTCTTTTTTTTTGAGACAGAGTCTTGCTCTGTCGCCCAGGCTGGAGTGCAGTGGTGCGATCTCGGCTCACTGCAAGCTCCGCCTCCTGGGTTCACACCATTCTCCTGCCTCAGCCTCCCAAATAGCTGGGACTACAGGCGCCTGCCACCATGCGTGGCTAATTTTTTGTATTTTTAGTAGAGACAGGGTTTCACCATGTTGGCCAGGCTGGTCTTGGCCACGTGACCTCAACTGATCTGCCTGCCTCGGCTTCCCAAAGTGCTGGGATTACAGGCGTGAGCCACTGCGCCCGGCCGTCTTTGATCTTTCTTAAAAGTGCATAGAAGAAAACGCTGACGTATGCTGCCTTCCCTCTCTGCTCCCGCTACCTGTAAGGGAAGGGCCCCTGTCCTATGGTCACATGACTTGCTTGACCTTATCAATCACTTGGACAACTCACCGTTCTTACCCTGCCCCCTTGTCTTGTATGCAATCAATATCAGCGTGCCCAGCCATTCGGGGCCACTACCGGTCTCCGCATCTTGGTGGTAGTGGTTCCCCGGGCACAGCTGTTTTCTCTCTATCTCTTTGTCTTGTGTATTTATTTCTTCCGGTCTCTCGTCTCCACACACGGGGAGAACACCCGCCAAGCCCCGTAGGGCTGGACCCTCCATGATAGAAGTCATGCTTTTAATCAAATGCAACCAATTCAGAATGGCAAATTAGGATATATACCCTTTCCCAAATCCAGTATCCCAGGAGAAATTACGGTACGGTAATTAATCCCCCTCCTCCCGCCAAGCTAAACCTCAGAGAAGTTGAAGTTCTAAAGTTCAAGTCCAAAAATACTGGGAAGGGAAAAACAAACAAAAAAACCGAGGAAACAAACATCAGGGAAAAACCCAGAACCTCGTCATGAAAATAGTGTCCTGTCGCTCTGTTTCTGATTTGCAGCTCACAGCTCGTGTTTCACCCCAGCCTCTGGGGCCGGCTCTGTGCCTGGCCTGAGGCCGATTCACTGGCTCAGTCCACAGAGTTGGGCCTGGCTTCCTGCCCTGGAAACCAGTCGAAGGTTCTCCATAGGAACCTGCCGGGCAGACACAGGGATTTGCTGGTTCTCCAGCAGTGAGTCTGAGATGAAACTGGTGTCTATTCGCAGTCTGATACTTTGCTTTAACAAAAAAACAAAAAGCCAGAAAAACAAAAACAAAACTGGGCTTTGATTTGTTTAGAAAGAGATCTTTCTGAGCGTCTTCTGCTCTCATGGCCTGGGTGCCGCCCACCAATAGCAGCTCGGGCTGGGCCTTCGTTTCCCAGCTGGGGGGACCTTTCAGCCCCTCTAGAGGTAAAGTAACACACCCAAAGTCTCTCTTCTTTAAAAAGGGCTCAGAGTCACTGGGTGAATATGAATTTCATATCATTACCTGTTGAGGTTGCCCAGGTTCTTGGTTTCTTGAACAAAGAACTGGACAAAACCCACAAAGGAAGGAAGGAATGAAGAGATTTACTGAAAAGGAAAGTACACGCCACAGCGTGGGAGCGGCCGGAGCATGGGGCTCAAGGGCCCCATTACAGAATTTTGGGGAGTTTAAATACCTTCTAGAGGATTCCGTTGGTTACTTGGTGTACGCCCTCTGTAAATGGAGAGGATGAAGTAAAGTTACAAAGTCATTTACTGGGTGCAGGCCCTATGGAGAGGATATTTCCTGTCATAGCTGAGGTGTGAATCGGTCTTATGTTCCCTGTCTCCAGGCCTTGTTTTCCTGCCTCACTAGCACCAGGCACACAGTCACACAAGGTGGAAAATGGACTCCGTGTGCCTCCAAGGTGAACACCCTGGCTCTCAGGAGCAGAGACCTAGTGGCATCCCAGGGAGAGTGGAGAGACAGGGAGAGAAATGTTCTGGCTGGTCCAGAGGGCGAAACAGCAGAGACTGTTCTGTCAGAGGCATGTGAACCAGAGCAACTCCATCTTGATTAGGAGCTGGGTAAGATGAGGCTGAGACTTGCTGGGCTGCATCCCCGGACGGTTAAGGCATTCTAAGTCACAGGATGACATAGGAGGTCGGCAATAGCTACAGGTCATAAAGACCTTGCTGATAAAACAGTTTGGAGTAAAGAAGCCGGACAAAGCCCTCCAAAACCAAGATGGTGTCGAGAGTGACCTCTGGTCGTCCTCAGCGCTACACTCCCACCAAGGTCCTGACAGTTTACAGATCCATGGCAAGGTCAGGAAGTTTCTCTACATGGTCTAAAAGGGGAGGCATGAATTATCCACCCCTCGTTTAGCATATCATCAAGAAATAACCGTAAAAATGGGCAGCCCGCAGCTCTCGGGGCCGCTCTGTCTATGGAGTAGCCATTCTTGATTCCTTTACTTTCCTAATAAACTAACTTGCTTTCTTTTTTTTTTTTTTGAGACGGAGTCTCGCTGTCGCCCAGGCTGGAGTGCAGTGTCGCGATCTCGGCTCACTGCAGGCTCCGCCCCCCGGGGTTCATGCCATTCTCCTGCCTCAGCCTCCCGCGTAGCTGGGACTACAGGCGCCCGCCACCACGCCCAGCTAATTTTTTTTTTTTTGTATTTTTAGTAGAGACGGGGTTTCACCGTGTTAGCCAGGATGGTCTCGATCTCCTGACCTCGTGATCCGCCCGCCTTGGCCTCCCAAAGTGGTGGGATTACAGGCGTGAGCCACTGCGCCCGGCCAACTTGCTTTCACTTTATGGACTCCCCCTGATTTCTTTCTTGCATGAGATCCAGGAACCCTCTCTCGGGGTCTGGATCGGGACCCCTTTCCGGTAACATCTTTCTGGCGACCACAGAAGAAAAACTGCAGACTCAAAACCTAGCGTTGGGTAGGTGACATATCTCTGGTGACCTCAGGAGGGGCTCCAGTGCGGAAACCCCCGACCTAAAGGCTAACTTTGGGTAAGTAGTGGGGTCCGGTAACATCTTTCTGGCAAACCCTGAAGGGACAATACTGAGGAGGAGCCCCCGACCCAAAGGAAATAGACT
This sequence comes from Homo sapiens, assembly GCF_000001405.40. Classification (NCBI taxonomy): domain Eukaryota; kingdom Metazoa; phylum Chordata; class Mammalia; order Primates; family Hominidae; genus Homo; species Homo sapiens. The sequence goes on along the minus strand of NC_000011.10, from coordinate 351,519 downwards.
CGGCCCTGACTGGACGACGCTGGGTAAGTGGTGGGGTAGCCGGCGAAGGATGGGATTGGGTGAGAGGCCCACTTAGGGGAGTTAGGGTCTGTCCTAAGACAGAGAGGGTGAAAGCCCACTCTTAATACAAGGCAAGGATGCTTGACCCACCTTGGGTTAGAGACCCACCTTAGGAGGGTTGGTTAGGGTCCCTTTTAAGATTTAGGGGCTTAGAGAGCCCCCTCAGTAAAGTCCCTCTCAGAAAAGTCCCTCTCGGCTGAGAACGGGTTCGGCACGAGGGGACGTTAACGGCTATTCTCTTTGGGTTAATCTGCCTTGCACTCTCTGCTGACGGCTGTGGGTGACAGGATTAGGCACGTACAGGATCGTGGAACATGGGGAGCTTTCTCCTCTCGCAAAAGGGGAACCTGAGAGCTGATGGGACTGCCGGAAAAAGTCCCTTCCCAACAGCAGCCGCCTGAAGTCCTCAGGGTTCCTGCAATGGGCGGGTCTTTCTCTGGCCTCCCTGAGCATTTTGCCTTCCCCACCCTGCCTCAGGCGATGCTTTTCTCTCTCTCCTTTCTCTTTTTTATCTTTTCTATCACTTGGGGCAACCGACTTGCCCAGAGAACACGTGTTGAAACTTGTGGTTGGAGGTTGGATTAACGATGACCGGAGCAAGTTTGAGCCTTGCCAGTGTGATGTTAGGTGCTAAGCAGAGTGGCTGATGTCTCTGTTTTCTCACACGTATTTTGCCCTGGCCAGAACGGAAAGAGGTAACTTCCTTTGTGCTGCAGCTTGGCCCCCAGGGCTGTGGTACAGCCAGTCGTAAGGGAGGAGACCACCCCTCACATTGTCTTATGCCCAATTTCTGCCTCCAGAGAAAGAAGTTAAAAGGCAGAAATGAAATCCACAAGCAGACAGCCCAACGCCACACCCTGGGCCTGGTAGTTAAAGATCGACCGCTGGCTGATCTAATCGGTTATATTACCTATAGATTCCAGACATTGTATAGAAAAGCACTGTGAAAACCCCGTCCCGTCCTGTTCTGATTACCGGTGCATGCAGCCCCCAGTCACATACCCCCTGCTTGCTCAATCGATCACGACCCTCTCACGTGGACCCTCTTAGAGTTGTGAGCCCTGAAGAGGGACAGGAATTGCTCACTCGGGGAGCTCGGCTGTTGAAGATTTGACTCTTGCCAAAGCTCCCGGCCGAATAAAGCCCTTCTTTAACTCGGTGTCTGAGGGGTTTTGTCTGCAGCTAGTCCTGCTACAGTTGGGTCACTAGGGCCCCCCAGGAAAAGAAACCCAGAAATCTGTCATGCTGGCACAAGTGCAAGAACTGCTCACCAGTCAGACTTCTGTCTCTGTGTGTGTGTGTGTGTGTGTGTGTTGTGTGTGTGGGTGTGTGTATGGTGTGTGTGTGTGGGGTGTGTGTGGGTGTGTATGTGGTGTGTGTTTGTGGTGTGTGTGTATGGTGTGTGTGTGGTGTGTGTGTGTGGGGTGTGTGTGGGTGTGTATGTGGTGTGTGTTTGTGTGTGGTGTGTGTGTGTGGTGTTTGTGTGTGGTGTGTGTGTGGTGTTTGTGTGTGGGGGGTGTGTGTTGTGTGTGTGGTGTGTGTGTGGGTGTGTGTGGGTGTGTGTGTGTGGGGTGTGTGTGGGTGTGTATGTGGTGTGTGTGTGTGGTGTGTGTGTATGGTGTGTGTGTGGTGTTTGTGTGGTGTTTGTGTGGGGGGTGTGTGTTGTGTGTGTGGGGTGTGTGTGGTATGTGTGGTGTGTGTGTGTGAGGTGTGTGTGTGCGTGTGGTGTGTGTGTGGTGTGTGTGTATGGTGTGTGTGTGGTGTGTGTGTGGTGTTTGTGTGTGGTGTGTGTGTGGTGTGTGTGTGTGGGGGGTGTGTGTTGTGTGTGTGGGGTGTGTGTGGTATGTGTGGTGTGTGTGTGTGAGGTGTGTGTGTGCGTGTGGTGTGTGTGTGGTGTGTGTGTGGTGTGTGTGGGGGTGTGTGTGTTGTGTGTGTGTGTGTGTGTGTGTGTGTGTAAACTGGACGAGGCTTCCCTCTGGTCCGTCATGTCCTTGGGACCTTGGCCTTGTAACCACGTGGCCGTACTTTCTCTTGGTTTCTGCCATCATAATGGCGGCCCGGGTTCAGGGTTCAATTCCCAGCTTAGGGGATGGGTCTTTAACTTCTGTTTGTCTGTGTTTTTGTACATGTTGTGTGTGGAATATAAAAGAGCTTTAATTAATTGGTTTAATAATAAGAGCTTAAATAAAAAATTTTGTCAGAAAAGTTAAAAGTGCAATGCTTTTTAGTTCATGTGACTTAAATAATCTTTGGGAAATAAAGACAGTTTTAAAGATTATTGGTAAAATAGAAATAGCTTCAAAAATTTAAAAATTTGGTCCAAATAATGCATGTCAGATATTAAGTTCACTAAATGCAAACAACACAACTGATGAGACTAGAATTTAATAACACATGTACCATAGTTCTTGAAATATAACTTTTTTCTCTCTAGTTTCCTATTTTTACTAAAGACAAATCATGGTATGACCAATTTGCTTTATTACACTTGGCCTGATTATTTGTATAAAGGGCAGCAAGAATAATTATTTTTTAGATAAGCTTTTTTTTTAAATTGGCTTTGATGGAACTCTGTTCCATAGAAGGAATCTTAGATAAGACTTTTTTAGAGCTGAGCCCTGCCATGGATTTCTGCCCTCAAATATCTGTGAGTTGAGTAAATTCCTCTCCTCTTGGGGTCCCAAGATAACCTGGGGCTCCTAGACCTTTTAGAAAGTGACATTCTTAGCCAGGCACTGTGGCTCACACCTGTAATCCAAGCACTTTGGGAGGCCGAGGTGGGCGGATCACTTGAGGTCAGGAGTTTGAGACCAGCCCGGCCAACGTGGTGAAACCCCGTCTCTACTAAAAATACAAAAATTAGCCAAGCGTGATGGTGCATGCCTATAATCGCAGCTACTTGGGAGGCTGAGGCAAGAGAATCGCTTGAACAAGGGAGGCGGAGGTTGTGGTGAGCCGAGATTGCGCCACTGCACTCCAGCCTGGGCAACAGAGACTCCATCTCCAAAAAAAAAAGAAAGAAAGTGACATTTCTTACTTATTACAGATCAGAAACCTTGTCCGGGGACTGAGCAGGCAAGGTGTGAGGCTAGTTTCCCAAGGGCTTTTATTGACTTTACAAGTCAAATTTCATTCCTTAAAAGAAAGCACACCATTCCAGTCAAAGCCTTGGTAAAATAACCAATTTCTCCAATTGTGTCCTGTTGCAAAAGAAAATAGATTCTTATTGCACTTATGCAAATAACTATATTGCCATAAATTAAGAATATAAATAGTTTCCAAATCAGGCAGATAGAAACAGATACGCTCCGAATTTTGTTTACAGAAGTATACTTTACTCATTTGCTAAAAGCTGTAAATAGCTCAACAGAAAAATTTTCTTGACTCTGAAAAACAAAAGATCAGCAACCTTTTCAACAAAGTTAAAAAGATTACTTCAGACTTCTTTTTTTTTTGAGACAGAATCTCATTCTGTCTAGGCTGGAGTGCAGTGGTGCGATCTTGGCTCACCGCAACCTCCATCTCCCGGGGTTCACGCCATTCTCTTGCCTCAGCCTCCTGAGTAGCTGGGACTACAGGTGAGCACCACCATGCCCGGCTAATTTTTGTATTTTTAGTAGAGACGGGGTTTCACCATGTTGGCCAGGATGGTCTCGAACTCCTGACCTCATGATCTGCCTGCCTCGGCCTCCCAAAGTGCTGGGATTACAGGTGTGAGCCACTGCGCCTGGCTAGCTTCAGACTTCTTTAGTCTATGCAGTTAACTCCTGTTTGATATTCATGAACATTTTAGCTCTCCAAGAGAGTCCTAAAGTTTTTCCCTCTTTTCTAATGTCACAATCTCCAAAGTTATTAGAAACCTGCATTTGAGGGCCGGGCACGGTGGCTCACGTCTGTAATCCCAACACTTTGGGAAGCTGAGGCAGGTGAATCACCTGAGGTCAGGTGTTCGAAAACAGCCTGGCCAACATGGTGACATCCTGTCTCTACTAGTAACACACAAAAATTAGCCAGGTGTGGTGGTGCATGCCTGTAATCCCAGCTACTGGGGAGGCTGAGGCAGGAGAATCAGTTGAACCTGGGAGGCAGAGGTTGCAGTGAGCCAAAATTGTGCCACTGCACTTCAGTTTGGGTGACAGAGCAAGACTCTGTCAAAAAAAAAAAAAAACCCACCAAAACAAAGAAACCTGCATTTGAGTGCACCTGGTAAAGTTTTGTTTTGTTTTGTTTTTGTTTTTTTTGAGATGGAGTCTTGCTCTGTCACCCAGGCTGGAGTGCAGTGGCTCACTGCAAGCTCCGCCTCCCGGGTTCACGCCATTCTCCTGCCTCAGCCTCCCGAGTAGCTGGGACCACGGGCACCTGCCACCATGCCCGGCTAATTTTTTGTATTTTTAGTAGAAATGGGGTTTCACCATGTTAGCCAGGATGGTCTCGATCTCCTGACCTCGTGATCTGCCCACCTTGGCCTCCCAAAGTGCTGGGATTACAGGTGTGAGCCACCGCGCCAAACATCATTTCTGTGTTATTATTATTTTTGAGACAGGGTCTCTTTCAGTCACCCAAGCTGGAGGGCAATGGCATGATCATGGCTAACTGCAGCCTCCACCTGTTGGGCTCAAGTGATCCTCCTGCCTCAGCCTACTGAGTCGCTTGGACTGCAGGCATGCACCACCACATTTGGCTATTTAAAAATTCTTTTGTAGAGATGGGGTCTTGCTATGTTGCCCAGGCTGGTCTTAAACTCCTGCGCTCAAGTGATTCTCTTGCCTCAGCCTCCCAAATTGTTGGGATTACAGGCATGAGCCACTGTGCCCAGCCCATTTCTGCAGTATTACTGCCAAAAAGGCATAACCTCGTTCCAAAATGGAAAAACATCAAACAAACACAAACTGAGTGATATTCTACAAGATAACTGGTGGATAGTCTATAAAAGTGTTCAGATCATGAAATACAAGGAAAAACTGAAGAACTGTCCCAGGCTGCAGGAGGCTGGGAGAAGTAACAATGAAATGCAAAATGGAACAGAACAGAAGAGGACATTAGTGAAAAAACCGTGAAATTTGAATAAGGTCTTTATTGAACAGCACTGTGCCAATGTTAATTTCCCACTTTTGGTAATTATATTACAGTCATGTAAGATGCTGTCAGTGGTGGGAGCTGGGTGAGGGAGGTACAGAAGCTCTCTGTACTGTTCTTGCAACTTTTCAGTAAGTCCTAAATTGTTTCAAAATAAAAAGTTAGAGAAAAAATCAATATTAAGTACCTGGAAAGAAATAATACAAAAGGTGGACTAACAAAGTGGCACATGACTGAGCGCAGGTCCTACAGCCGACCTTCCCGGCACAGATCGCTACCCTGTTGCTGTGTTTCAGCTGTGTGAGATTGGGCAGATTGCCTAACCTCTCTCTGTGTCTCCATTTTGCCTTCTGAAAAATTGGGCCAATAACAGCACCTATGTCAGCAGGTTGTTACGAGTGTTCAATATATATATGTAAAGCACTTAGTACCATGCTTGGTACAGGTTAAGCACTTAGAAAGTGATAGCTTTGGCCGGGCACGGTGGCTCACGCCTGTAATCCTAGCATTTTGGGAGGCGGAGGCAGGCAGATCACCTGAGATCAGGAGTTTGAGACCAGCCTGGCCAATATGGCGAAGCTCTGTCTCTAGTAAAAATACAAAAATTAGCCAGGCATGGTGGCGGGCACCTGTAGTCCCAGCTACTTGAGAGGTTGAGGCAGGAGAATCGTTTGAACCTGGGAGGCGGAGCTTGCAGTGGGCGGAGATCACGCCACTGCACTCCAGCATGGGTGACAGAGTGAGACTCCATCTCAAAAAAAAAAAAAAGAAAGAAAGAAAGTGACAGCCTTTCCCCCACCGAACAGATTGTGATAGAAGGAGTGCTGGCTTTTATAGTATTATGACGGCCAGAATTATAAAAAGGCAATGGACCCAACTGAAGAGTGGACATTGCGTCGCCAGCTCCGTTGAGAATGGTGCTAGGAATTATCGTGGAAGAATAAAGAAAGGGCACATGCAACACGGAGCTGAGAGGAGGGAAAGAGAGAGGGGTGCATACCTGTCACTATTCCATGTTCTAGAAGGGGGAGCCAAAAGCAGTGGGAGAAAGAAATACCCGAATAAATAATACAGCTAACATTCCCAGAATTGAGGAAAGATGAAGGGCTTCAGACCGAAAGGCTGCAAAGAGGTGAGATAAGAAATAACCTACATTTTCATGTACCACAGTGAAACTGAAGAGTATCAAAGAAAAAGTTCCAGAAAGAGAAAGTTCCAGAAAGAAAAAATAGGTCTCCTACAATGAAACAGGAATTAGATTGATACCCGATTTCTCAGAAAATTATGTTGAAATAATTAATTGGGAGGCCATTAGATTGAGGACGCTCCCAGTGCCCTGAGTTCTTAGATAAGGTAACTGAAACCCAACTCAGCATGAATGGCTGGATCCTAACATGACTTCAAACTAGACACAATCATTAGATACCATGAAAACGCAGCTTCAAACTAAGGACTTTGAAGCTACTGCTTTAATTTAACCAATCAATTTTTTGTTTATTTGTTTGTTTGTTTGTTTGAGACAGAGTCTTGCTCTGTCACCCAGGCTGGAGTGCAGTGGCACGATCTTGGCTCACTGCAACCTCTGCCTCCCGGGTTCACGCCATTCTCCTGCCTCAGCCTCCTGAGTAGCTGGGACTACAGGCGCCCACCACCACACCCGGCTATTTTTTTTGTGTGTGTGTTTTTTGTAGAGACGGGGTTTCACTGTGTTAGCCAGGATGGTCTCGATCTCCTGACCTCGTGATCCGCCCGCCTCGACCTCCCAAAGTGCTGGGATTACAGGCATGAGCCCCCGCGCCGGGCCCAATTTTTTTTTATAAATTTTGCTTCCATGTGTACCTTGTAAATGTTTTCCGGGAGCCCTGAATGACTTGCAGTTTGGAGCTGCCCAATTCATGAATTGCTGTTTGCTAAAATAGACCCTAAAATTTTTTAATGTGTCTGTTTATCTTTTTAGCAGTTCAGGTGTCAGAAGGGAGACCTGGAAGAGTCTCCTCCTGGCCATAAAGACACCTGGCAGCAATGAAGAATCTGGTGTGGACGCCTGTGGAGCCTCTGTACTCACTGCTTTCTTGCTGCTGATGTGGAATCCCCACCAGTAGATCCCTCCTGGATGCTGTTGCAGGAAATCGGGAAGCTGGAGAGATGGAACGGGGTGAAGGAGAGTTTATTTAAGGTGTACACCGGCTCAGCAGACATGCGTCCTGAAAGTCTGAGCACCAGACAAAGAAGGCAGTTGCCTTTTTTTTTTTTTTTGAGACGGAGTCTCACTCTGTTGCCCAGGCTGGAGTGCAGTGGTGCGATCTTGGCTCACTGCAAGCCCTGCCTCCCGGGTTCACGCCATTCTCGTGCCTCAGCCTCCCGAGTAGCTGGGACTACAGGCGCCTGCCACCACGCCCAGCTAATTTTTTTGTATTTTTAGTAGAGACAGGGTTTCACTGTGTTAGCCAGGATGTTCTCGATCTCCTGACCTGGTGATCTGCCCGTCTTGGCCTCCCAAAGTGCTGGGATTACAGGCGTCAGCCACCGTGCCTGGCCTAATTTTTCTACTTCATGCAAGTTCCACAACTTTCATCCTAAGATCTCCAACTTTATTTGAGCATTAAAGAAAAAAAAAAATTCCAGGGCCAAGCACAGTGGCTCATGCCTGTAATCCCAGCACTTTGGGAGGCTGAGGTGGGCAGATCACGAGGTCAGGAGTTCAAGACCAGCCTGGCCAAGATGGTGAAACCCTGTCTCTACTAAAACTACAAAAATTAGCCAGGTGTGGTGGCAGGTGCCTGTAATCCCAGCTGCTCGGGAGGCTGAAGCAGGAGAATCGCTTGAACTCGGGGGGCGGAGGTTGCAGTGAGCCGAGATCGTGCCATTGCACTCCAGCCTGGGCGACAGAGTGATACTCAGTCTCAAAAAAAAAAAAAAAAATCCAGACTAGATCTAGCGTCAAACTGGATCTATCAGAAACTGAACTGGGCCTAGTAGGCATCTTCACATAGGTAAGGGTTTGGGAAGACAGAATAATGAGTTTATCTGAATCCACAGAGTCTGAGATTCCTCCACCTGAGAACCAGTACTTGTCTAGAGAAACTGGTGAACTTTACCAAAGACACCTTAGAATTAAGTGGTGGCCGCAGTGGGTAAGTGATGACCTAGACAAAGCTGTTCATCTGTGGTATCCACTGCAAAAGATGGGATCCAAAGCAACTAAGAGAAAATGGAATGCATTTTTTAATTCACATGTTGTTTTTGACACAGAGTCTCACTCTGTCACCCAGGCTGGAGTGCAGTAGTGTGATCTCGGCTCACTGCAACCTCCACCTCCTGGGTTCAAGTGATTCTCCTGCCTCAGCCTCCTGAGTAGCTGGGACTACAGGCATGCACCACCAAGCCCAGCTAATTTTTTGTATTTTTAGTAGAGATGGGTTTTCGCCATGTTGCCGGGCTGGTCTCGAACTCCTGAGCTCAAGTGATCCATCTGCCTCAGCCTCCCAAAGTGCTGGGATTACAGGCGAGAACCTCCATGCCCAGATGATTTTTTGATTGGCATGCACAGGCTGCTAAAAGACTAAATGAATCCCAAGTTGTCTCTCTAAAAGACTCCATAGAAAAAGGCAAATAGAAAACCAAAGCAGTTAATTGACAATGAAAAAGGGCATGTCTACTGACTCAGCACAGATGAGCCCTTCTCTCTTTCTCTCCATCTTGCTCTGCCAGATTGCTCTGAACTACTCACTTTTTTGCTCAGTAACTTTTATACCCCAGAGGCAAAAAGAAAGTTAGCCAAACTTTCATCGTGTTAGGCCTTTAGATCAACCAGGCCTTCCTTCTTTAACCACATTGACATCTTGATTAAAATCTGAGCTCAGAACAATAGTGAAAGGTTTCCCTGTCCCAGAAATTTGCTGATGATGTAGAATTATATCCTGGCCTATTCATGCTAACTCCAGGCATGGAAAATGCTTGCCAGTTCATCAGTAGGCGCCACCCTGAACTCAGTGATGGAGTTAAAAAGCATAAACTGGGCTGAGAAGCCTCTGATCTAGCCAACGTAGGCCCCAAATGTGCTACTCTGGCATAAAGATTATTTTGATCCAATTCTTTTGAGACCCTTTGTAAGAAAAATTTAATTCTATAAAGGAGATAGAAGTGGTGGCTCATGCCTATAATGCCAGCACTTTGGGAGGCTGAGGGAGGAGGGTTGCTTGAGCCCAGGAGTTCAAGACCAGCCTGGGTGACATAGTAAGAGTCGGTGTATTAGTCCCTTCTCTCATTGCTGTAAAGAACTATCTGAGTCTGGGTAATTTATACAGAAAAGAGGTTTAGGCTGGGTGTGGTGGCTCATGCCTTAATCACAGCACTTTGGGAGGCTGAGGCAGGTTGAGGTCAGGAGTTTGAGACCAGCCTGGCCAACATGGTGAAACCCCATCTCTACTAAAAATACAAAAATTAGCCAGGTATGGTGGCGTGCACCTGTAATCCCAGCTACTCAGCTGGCTAAGGCAGGACAATTGCTTCAGTCTGGGAGGTGGACGTTGTAGTGAGCTGAGATCGCGCCACTGCACTCCAGCCTGGGTGACACAGCAAGACTGTGTCTCAAAAAAAAAAAAGGCAAAAGAAAAGAGGACACATGGCTGGGGAGGCCTCAGGAAAGTTACAATCATGGCAGAAGGTGAAGAGGAAGGGGGCACGTCTTGCATGGCTGGAGCAGGAGGAAGAGACAGAAGGGGGAGGTGCCACACACTTTTAAACAACCAGATCTCATGAGAACTCACTATCCTGAGAACAGCAAGGGGTAAGTCTGCCCCCATGATCCAATCACCTCCCACCAGGCTCCTCCTCCAACACTGAGGATTACAATTTGACATGAGATTTGGGTGGGGACACAAATCCAAACCCTCTCACCCCATCTTTACAAAGAAATTTAACCAACAGTTTGAGGTTGCAGTGAGCTATGATCGCACCACTGCACTCCAGCCGGGTTGTAAAATAAGACTCTGTCTCAAAACAAAACAAAACAAAACAAAGTAAACAACAAAAAAAAAGAATGGAGAAAGCATTGATTTAAATCTACATCACAAAACTTACCTTTACTTAGCGTGCATTTCTGACCCCCATCTTGGCTTAATTAGCGCTTTGCTTGCTTTCTCTCTCTTTTTTCTTTTCTTTTCTTTCCTTTCCTTTTCCTTCCTTCCTTTCTTTCTCATTCCTTCCTTCTTCCCTTCCCTTTCCTTCCTTTCTTCCTTCCCTCCTTCCTCCTCTTTCCTTTTCCTTCCTTCCTTTTCTTTTTCTTTCTTTCTTTTTTCTTTCTTTCCTTCCTTCCTTCTTTCCTTGTTCTTGCTTTTTTCTTTCTTCTTTCCTTCCCTTCCCTTCCCTTCCCTCCCTTCCTTCCTTCTTTCTTTCCTTGTTCTTGCTTGCTTGCTTTTTTCTTTCTTTCCTTTCCTTCCCTTCCCTTCCCATCCCTTCCCCTTCCTTCCTTCCTTCCTTCTTTCTCCTTCTCTTTTTTTCTCTTCCTTTCTTTCTTTTCTCTTTCTCTTTCTTTTTTTCATTTCTTTCTTTTTTTCTCTTCTTCAAATGAAGATATTTAAGGCTGAAGTCTAAGTTCTGTGCCTTTGAGATGTAAATTTTCTACTCTGCTCAAACACCTGAGGGTTATCTCTTTGATATGCAAATTTTGGGAAGCCATCTTATGAGAAAAGAAAAAAAAAGAGCTATATGGAAATTGGGCAAATGAAAAACCTTAAGTCTTTCCCGCAAATATTAATAAAAGCTTTAATCATCTGGCAAGTAATTTTGACTTGTTCCATGTGCCAGAAACAAGATTTGAAGCCTATTGTTCTTGTATTAAACAGTGTGTTTTGTATTACTGTGCTTGGCATGTGGCTAAGATTTTAGAATGAAGCTGTAACACTCTAGTGTCTGAAGAGTGTGAAAAAAAAAAAGAAAGCTATATGATCTGCTTCTGTCTGTATGTTTATGTATGTCTATGTATACATGTACACGTGACATTTTCCTACTCTAGATTGCGTTGCCAAAATTAATTTATAAAAAAGTGGTATTTAATTGGCTTAAAGAAAAATATGAGCTTATATAAGTTGAGTTATCCTTAAACTCTTAGAAATATAGAAACTAACCCAAATGTTTTTTAAATTTCATGTCATCTGAGATTATAGTTGGTAAATAAATGCTATTTAAACTTTTCTGGTTTAATGAAATATTTAGAGTTGTCAGCATTAAATAAAACGCAGACACACAACTTTGGTTTTACCTAGGTTTATTAGGCAAAAACTTATGTTATCTCTGTTACAAGAGTTGCCACCAAGAAAAGCAATTTGATGATGTCTAGCCTTGTCTGCTGTTATGAAACATCTACTTAAAAGCAGCTTGCCGATTCTCTTTGGTAGCTTGCACTGTTAGAGTCAAGTTAAATTAAATGATGGTTATTCATCGACTATCTAGAAAGATATTTTTTAAACCTTATTTTTTTTGAATAACATAAAATACTGAAACTTTGATTGCTAAACATAAGCTTGTCTACTTTTGGCTTCTTATTATAGAAGTACTAAACATACTTGTCTCTGCCAGCAAACACATCCTGTGCCATATTGAAAAATTGTATGATAAAGAAACACACACTTCTAGAAATTATGACATGGTATATTCACAGATTTGCCAATCTGCAGAATGTTGGTATGTATGCAAAAAGTTGACAAGTGTTTACTTGCTAGTTTTCACTAGAAACCAAGGTTAATAGCTGGTGTGGTGGCTCATGCTTGTAATCCCAACACTTTGGGAGGCTGAGGTGGGAGGATCACTTGAGCCAAGAGTTCCAGACCAGCCCATCTCTACCAAAAATAAAAATTAGCTGGGCTGGGTGTGGTAGCTCACGCCTGTAATCATAGCACTTTGGGAGGCTGAGGTGGGTGGATCACGAGGTCAAGAGATTGAGACCATCCTGGCCAACATGGTGAAACCCCATCTCTACTAAAAATACAAAAATTAGCTGAGCATGGTGGTGGACACCTGTAGTCCCAGCTACTCGGGAGGCTGAGGCAGGGGAATCACTTGAACCCGGGAGGCGGAGGTTGCAGTGAGCCAAGATCGCGCCACTGCACTCCAGCCTGGGTGACAGAGTGAGACTCCTCTCAAAAAAAAAAAAAAAAAAAAAAAGCTGGGCATGGTGGCACATGCCTGTGGTCCCAGCAACTTGGGAGACTAAGGTGGGAAGATCACTTGAGCTTGGGAGGTTGAGGCTGCAGTGAGCTGTGATAGCACCACTGCACTCCAGTCTGGGCAACAGAAGAAGGCCCTGACTCAAAAAAAAAAAAAAAAAAAAAAAAGATAAGAAAAGCTTTTAAAGTTACTAAGTGTTTAGAATTCTAATTATATGGTAATTAAAATTACGAGAAATAATAAGGGAAGCAGCTCTGTATGCAGAATATACAAACAAAGGAAGGCGAATTTTGGGTAAGGAAAGTTATAAGAGGCTGGTTGTGGTGGCTCAAGCCTGTCATCCCAGCACTTTGGGAGGCTGAGGGGGGCGGATCACCTGAGGTCAGGAGTTCGAGACCAGCCTGGCCAACATGGTGAAAGCCCATCCCTACTACAAATACAAAAATTAGCCGAATGTGGTGGTGCACGCCTGTAATCCCAGCTACTTGGGAGGCTGAGGGGGAAGAATTGCTTGAACCCGGGAGGTGGAAGTTGCAGTGAGCAGAGATTGCAAGACTCAGTCTCAAAAAACAAAAAAAAATTATAAGGTATGAAGGTGTGCTTTTTTTTTTTTTTTTGAGACAGAGTCTTGCTCTGTCGCCCAGGCTGGAGTGCAGTGGCACAATCTCTGCTCACTGCAAGCTCTAAGTCCAATTAAACTCTTTCTTTTGTAAATTGCTCAGTCTTTATTGGCAGCATGAAAATGGACTAATACAGTATTGCAGGAAAAGTCTGATGGAATGGCATGGCTTTCTAGGCTCAAGAGGTTTTCAAAGTCAAATCTGAAATTCTGTATTAAAAGTTCTAGTCGGGAGCAGTGGCTGACGCCTGTAATCCCAGCACTTTGGGAGGCCGAGACGGGCGGATCATCTGAGGTCAGGAGTTTGAGAACAGACTGGCCAACATGGCAAAACCCCGTCTCTACTAAAAATCCAAAAAAATTAGCCGGGCATGGTAGGTCATGCCTGTAGTCCCAGCTACTCGGGAGGCTGAGGCAGGAGAATCACTTGAACCCAGGAGGCAGAGATTGCAGTGAGCCAAGATCGCACCACTGCATTCCAGCCTGGGCGATAGAGCAAGACTCCATCTCGAAAAAGAAATTAAAAAGACTTCTAAGGCTGGGCAACATGGCCAGACTCTTTCTACCAAAAAAAAAAAAAAATATATATATATATATATATATTAGCTAGGTGTGGTGATGCATGTTTGTGGTCCCAGCCACTTGGGAGGCCGAGGTGGGAGGATTGCTTGAACCCAGGTCAAGGCTGCTGTGAGCCATGATCATGCCGCTGCACTCCAGCCTGGGCAGCCGAGTAACACCCTGTCCCCTCACCCCCACCCCTCAAAATAGTTCTAGTGCCAGGTGTGATGGCTCATGCCTGCAATCCCAGCACTTTGGGAGACCGAGGTGGGAGGATTGCTTGAGGCCTGGAGTTTGAAACTCACCTGGTCAACATAGCAAAAACCCCTCTCTAAAAAAGAAAAAATTAGCAGGGTATCCCTGTAGTACCAGCTACTCAAAAGGGTGAGGTGGGAGAATCGCCTGAGCCCAGGAGTTTGAGGCTGCAGTGAGCTATGATTATGCTACTGCACTCTAGCCTGGGTGACAGAGTGAAACCTTATCTCAAAAAGAGAAAGAGTTGTAGACTTTTAAAAACCCGACATGGCCGGGTACGGTGGCTCACGCCTGTAATCCCAGCACTTTGGGAGGCTGAGGCGGGTGGATCACGGGGTCAGGAGATCGAGACCATCCTGGCTAACACGGTGAAACCCCTTCTCTACTAAAAATACAAAAAATTAGCCGGGCACGGTGGCGGGCGCCTGTAGTCCCAGCCACTCAGGAGGCTGAGGCAGGAGAATGGTGGGAACTCGGGAGGCGGAGCTTGCAGTGAGCCAAGATCACGCCACTGCACTCCAGCTTGGGCGACAGAGCGAGACTCTGCCTCAAAAAAAAAATTTTTTTTTCATGATTTTATGTTTATATTTTAACACAAATAGGAAGATTATAGGGTGATACTTTACAGAATTGAAGGAAAAAATCTAGAATTTTATATGCAGCCAAATTGTTATTCAAATCTAAGAGCATAATAAAGATATTTCCAGAAAGCCTCAGAATGTGTCTCTCCCTCACATCTGCATTGAAAACATTCTTGAAGAAGGAAGTCAAAAAAGAAAAAAATACCAAAAACAAAAAACAGAAATCCAGGAAATGCTGCAGGCCACAGGAGAAGTCTGGGGACCAAATGTGTTTGTGAAATCTGTTATTAGGAACAAACCACTGCCAATAAAAAGGTAGATACAAAGGGCAAAGATGAAGGAAAATATGGTTGTACAAAGCCTGAAGATCTGGGTAATGCCATCAGGAAGGGAGTGAGAGATCAAAGGGATATGGGAAGGTTTGCCAAAGGGTGCGTGGTACCAGGAGCTCCAGGTATGCTAAGTCCAGGAAGTGAATGGGGCGAATGAACAGTGTGGGTCTTAAGACCCCCCATCACAAGAGCGCACTAGGCCACACCGTGTGCCCACCACTGTAGGGGAGAAGATACAACGTTGTTCTTTCCCTCCTAGGTTCTTAGTTGAGACAGTCTCCTGAAAATAAAAGTGAGATTAACATGAGAAAAGTCAACAGCAGTTTATTGATGCCTGCTGTACCTGTCTCACGGGAGAGGCCTCAGGTTAAAAGTATTTCTCTCTCTCTGCAATGGCTTAGGAGCCTTACTTAAATAGTATTTTAACATGAGCCATAAATCCTATGGGAACAAGACAAAGGCAGGAAAATGTGGGGAGGAACCTTTACGGGAAGAGCAACATCTCCTCCTGGAATCTCTCTGTCTCTGAGCTGATATACAAGTGTCTTCAGGTGCGAAAGGCAGAGAGGAGGCCAGGAAGCCCTTAGTCTTTGTAACTTGCTGTCCTGCCATCAGGCAAGCAGAGAGAGGGACAGAGCATCGCCCTGTGTTTTAACTTTCGTCCTCTCAACAACCCGCAGTATTTTAGGGTGTTTTGGTTTGTTTCATCACGTGCAACAAGTCTTGGCACTGTGGGAGCAGAAAGGCTGTGAGACCTTTCTTCACCCGTCACAGGGTCACAGCGACACTCTTCAACAACACACAGCTAACAAGAGGAAAGCAGAGCACATTTATTGCGTCCAAGTTGTGTGTGACACAGAAGACCCAGAGACCCAGGGAAGCTCTTTATGCTCAGATTAGATGAAGAATGTGCAGCTGTGCAGAAACGGGAACAAGCCAGCGGGAAGGCTGAGGGGGGAGCCTTCTCAGCCTCCCCTGCAAAGCCCCTTCCTCCCTCCCACGCATGGGGGCAGGACCTCTTGGAAGGAAGGCCTCCAAGGGAAAGGGACAGAGTGACCTTCCAGGTTTTCGGCCTGCTTTGGGGGAGAGGAGTTCTATTTTCTGTGGGGAAAAGGAATTCTGGTTTCTGTGATTCACACTGGGGAGAAAATGGGGCAGGAAATAGGAGGGAAGGAGAAGGTCAGAGAGGCTTTTGCTTCTGAGGGGCCCTTAGTGCCTCCATAGCCAAGTACTCAACATGCCAAAGGGCCGTATTTGAAGATCACATTTGGAGCCCTAACAACAAAAAGGAGGGACTCAACAAGTTTTGTGGTGCCAGGCATGGCGGGAGGAGAGCCTGAGGCCAGGAGTTTGAGACCAGCCTAGGCAACAGCAAAACTCCATCTTAAGAAAAAAATGTGTATATGTGTGTGTGTGTGTATTTGTTGAATGAATGAATAAATATAAATTTTTAGAAAAGTTATGCCGAGCGCGGTGTCTCACGCCTGTAATCCCAGCACTTTGGGAGGCCGAGGCGGGCGGATCACGAGGTCAGGAGATCGAGACCATCCTGGCTGACACGGTGAAACCCTGACTACTGAAAATACCGAAAATTAGCCGGGCGTGGTGGCGGGCGCCTGTAGTCCCAGCTACTCAGGAGGCTGAGGCAGGAGAATGGCGTGAACCCGGGAGGCGGAGGTTGCAGTGAGCCAAAATCGCGCCACTGCACTCCCGCCTGGGCCACAGAGCGAGACTCCATCTCAAAAAAAAAAAGAAAAGTTATAAAAGAAAAAATCTCTCATGATAATCACCAAAAGAAAAAAACCCCAAAAGTAGGGCAAATAGAAAATATAAAAACTATGGCAGAAATGTCCTTGTAGAAGAATTATTATAATAAATATGAATTAAAAGACAGATTTAATAAGAGATACATTTTAAGAAAAGACCCAGAAATATGGAAAAGTTCTCTGAAACTGAACTTGGGTGATTCCCGGTGCCTGACGGAATCAGCAGGCAATCCTCCCCTGATGGAGATAACACCCCAGGCCTGGAAGTCGCTCCGTGTCCAACAATGAAGCATAAACAGGCACCGTGGAGAGAGAAGACAGTGAGGGCGAGGGACAAGCGGAGCCACAGGCAGCAAAAACTCCGGGTGCTGGAATTCCCAGACAATAAAGCAGCGGTGCGCGCTATGCTTTTGGAAACAAAAGGTAAACTTGAAGATTTTTTCAAGGAATGGGAAATGGATACGGTGATACAGTAAGAAAAACCGGCTTGGCCTTCGTTCCCGGTTCTGCAGAGCCCCTAACATCCTTGTGATTCCGAGGCGATGAGGAGTAAAGATAGAGCTCCTCTCAACCACACCTGCGTTTACGCTGTGAGAGGCCTTTGGAAAGGGGCTCTGGTTGCCAGGCGATTTGAGGGCTGGAACTGCCGGCCCCACCCTCAGCCTGTGGGGAGGGGAGAGGGACTGGATTGAGTCAGTCCTTAGGGGAATGATTTAAGCAATCGTCCCTACATAATGAGGCCTCCATAGAAAACCCTAATCAGCAGACGTCCAAGAACTTAGATGTTGGAAGCTCTAACTCATCGTGTTTGGGTTTAGCCAACACTCGATTAGGTTTGGTTTAACCCACACGTGGGTGTTGAAATCCTGACAAAAAGCAAGAATGTGTTCACCACAGAAGTCCGGAGTGGTGGTCTTTGGGATGGGAGGGGTGGTTGTCAGGCCTCTGAGCCCAAGCTAAGCCACCGTATCCCCTGTGACCTGCACGTATATACGCCCAGATGGCCTGAAGCAAGTGAAGAATCACAAAAGAAGTGAAAATGGCCTGTTCCTGCCTTAACTGATGACATTATCTTGTGAAATTCCTTCTCTTGGCTCATGCTGGCTGGAAAAGCTCCCCCACTGAGCACCTTGTGACCCCCACCCCTGCCCGCCAGAGAACAACCCCCTTTGACTGTAATTTTCCTTTACCCACCCAAATCCTATAAAACGGCCCCACCCCTATCTCCCTTCGCTGGCTCTGTTTTTGGACTCAGCCCGCCTGCGCCCAGGTGATTAAAAAGCTTTATTGCTGACACAAAGCCTGTTTGGTGGTCTCTTCACATGGACGGACGCGAGTGAAAGTCGTGACTGGGCAGGGACAGGCAGGCATCTTCTCGGGGATGGGTAATGCACCATTTTTTGACTAGGGTGATAGTTTTTTACTTTCGTATTTTATACATTTTGCTGTAAATTTATTAAATTTCACAATAGGGAAACGTTAAAAATATATGCACCCATCAACACAGACTTTAAATACACCAGGCAACCACAAATAGAAATGCTGGGAGAAGTGGGTTCAGCAGTCATCATATTTCTGAAGTCACCAAAATTCTGCCAGGAAAAGGTCTGGAGCACCTGTGAGGCCAAGGCTAAGATCTCCAGTGAGGGTGAGACTAAGCTGAGGACCTGCAGATGACTGCTGCAATGGCCATCTGCATCAGCCAGGACAGGCTGTGTTAGGCTGCGTAACAAATGGCCCCACGTAATTACGTCCTGTGCACGCTCCACTCCCACTAAGGAGGACTCTGCTCCCCACCCTCATGCAGAGGCCCAGGCGAGGTCACACCTCGACATGCGTCTCCGTGGTCACTGAGGCGAAAGGAAGGAACTCCACAGGAAGACACAACCCTGCCATCTGCCCAGAGGACAGCTGAAGGTGTCTGATGAACAGCACTAATGCGCACCACATCCAGACACCTGCGAGGTACTCAGAAGACTGCCCTTCCTGCAGGCAAAATACACCTGCTTCCTCAAGGGCAACCCGGTGTCCTCCAGCTACATGAAGGTCAAAAGTACACAAGTTGCCGCATCCAGCCTAGCTGTGTCTCCTCCCAAGCTGGAGGGCCCTGAATTAAAAAGATGAAGAGTTTTCTGCCCACGCCCCCAGTATTCAACCAAGGAGCAGGGACAGGGGCTTCGACGGTTTGGAAGGGAAGAAGGCAGATCCCAGCAGTCATGCTCTGCAGCAACTCCAAAGTCCCAGGGGTGGCTGGGTGAGGACGCTGACGCCGGGGAGCAACTTCCGGGAAGAGATGAGGGCTGTGCTTGGTGGAGGGGACACTTCCCATCCCCACGGTCCTCCGTGGCCGCACAGGGTGGGTGCTGGAGAGTTGAGTGGCTTCCTCAGCTCCTTTCTTGCCTATAGAGACATGGGGGGCCCAAGGGCTACTTTGAGTCTCAAGTTGTCATGATCTCTTTGGATCCAGCCTGTGTTTTTAGGACAGTGCAACTCTTTCAAATCTTTGATCAACTTTTTTTTCTTTTTCTTTTTCTTTTTTTGAGGCAGGTGTCATGCGAGTCCATGTGAAGAGACCATCAAACAGGCTTTGTGTGAGCAATAAAGCTTTTTTTTGTTTTGGAGACGGAGTCTGGCTCAGTCACCCAGGCTGGAGTGCAGTGGCACGATCTCGGCTCACTGCAAGCTCTGCCTCCCGGGTTCACGCCATTCTCCTGCCTCAGCCTCCCGAGTAGCTGCGACTACAGGCGCCCGCCACCACACCCGGCTAATTTTTTGTATTTTTAGTAGAGACGGGGTTTCACCGTGTTAGTCAGGATGGTCTCCATCTCCTGACCTCGTGATCCGCCTGTCTCGGCCTCCCAATGTGCTGGGATTACAGGCGTGAGCCACCGCACCTGGCCAGCAATAAAGCTTTTTAATCACCTGGGTGCAGGTGGTCAGCAAAGGGAGATGGGGTGGAGCCATTTTATAGGATCTGGGTGGGTAGCAGAAAATTGCAGTCAAAGAGGTTTGTTCTCTGGCGGGCAGGGGCAGGGGTCACAGGGTGCTGGGTGGGGGAACTTCTGAGACTCACTGTCCAGGAGAAGGAATTTCATGAGGCAATGTCGTCAGTTAAGGCAGGAACTGGCCATTTTCACTTCTCTTGTGGTTCTTCAGTTGCCTCAGGCCATCTGGATGTACACGTCCAGGCTTGGGCTCGGAGGCCTGACAGCAGGGTCTGGCTCTGTCACCCAGGCTGGAGTGCAGCGACGTGACCAATCAACACTCAGTGCAGCCTCGACCTCCTGGGCTCGAGCGATCCTCCCACCTCGGTCTCCCGAGTGGGTGGGACCACAGGCATGCACCACCACCACTGGCTATTTTTTCATACTTTTTGTAGAGACAGGGTCTCACCATGTTGCCCAGGCTGGTCGTGAACTCCTGGGCTCAAGTGATCCGCCCGCCTCAACTTCCCAAAGTGCTGAGATTACAGGCGTGAGCCACAGCACCCGGCGTAAATCAGCTTTTTAAACTTCAGTCTGATTTAGTCAGGTCCCTGTTCCAGAGTCACACCTGCTCGTCCTCCCTGCTCTTGGCTTTGCTGCATTTCCTTCCTTGGCCGTCCTCAGCCCCCACTGCCCCCTCCCCCTAGAATCTCTCTGCACAAAACGTGGCATCAGGTCAGGCTTGAGACCATGAATCACTCCCTTAGTCTCTTTTTCTTGGAGCATTTGGTGCAATAAAAGGGCTTTCCTGGGCCATTCCCTTGGCCGGACCCTACCTGGAGATTTGTCAGCGGTGGGTGCGGTGGCCTGCTCTTGATTCCATCCTAGCCGCAACCGCTGAGATCGACATTCGAGGGTCTCTGCAGTCTTCCCTTCTGCTGGTCAGGATGGAAAGGCAGTTGCCTCTTTTAACCCACAAAGTACCCCCCGGGTTTTCTCGGTTTCCTTTCGCACCTGCTCACCCACCGGCCAGTTCTCTCCTGAGCTCATGATGCCAAAACCCACATCCGGCCGCAGACAGCACCCGCAGAACATTCGCTGCCCGGCCTCAGAGTCCAGGGCTCACATTTATTAGGTTCTTGCTCCGCCTTCCAAACACCCCACCACGTCCTCCCTGCTCCGCCTGGCCCGGGCAGCACTGCCCCGAGTCAGCCAGGATGAGCCAGGCTGTGCGGTGGTAACGAACGGCCCGACCCTCAGCCGCTGACTCCCTCCAGTGTGGGCCTGTGGCAGGTGTGGGGTCTGCGCCTCGTCCTCGCCCAGCCGCCCAGGTTGGGGAGCCCCCAGCGTGTGCTGCCAGGCCTCCGAGGTGGGAACGGGAGGTGGAGTCACGCCTGATCTCTTGGCACCACCTCTCATGCCCACAACATCTCACTGGCCACCTCAAGTGACAAGCTCATGCCAAGCTGCAAAGGGGTGGGAAAGAAAGATTCCAGCAAGAAAGCTGGAGGCTTGGGGAACAGCACTGATGGGCCTCCCCGTGCACCTCGGGCGCCTTGAGGCACTGCACGTGCTGTGGGGTGTGTGCCTGTGAAGAGGGCAGGGCCGCACTTGGGAGGGAGAGAAGGGGAGTCGCTGCCCCGGGGAACAGCAGCTGCATTAGAGCAAGAAGGTCAGGGCACCCCCATGGGGCTGTTCGACCGGAAGCTCGAGGAAGGGGCTTTTCACCCTCGTTCTGACCCAGAGCTTCTCTGAATCTGTCCTGACCGTCTGCAGGCATTGGTGAAGCTGGCCCAGCAGCTCCTGGAAGGCACCCTCTAGCTGCAACTCCAAAGGGGCTTTTCGGCTGCAGCTCCCACCACGGCTGCTGAAGAAAGGGCTTGGGAAGGAAGGCGCTGTGGCCATCCTGAGATGCAACCTCATTCTCCACTCTGAGCCTGCAGAAAGACAGGGCGCCCACTTACAGAGACAATTTCAGATTGCTTTTGTGGAAGATGAATGCTCAGATGCTCTTTATTTCTCTGTGAATTAAAACCCTAATTTAAACATTAGCTGGGCATGCTAATGTGTGTGTTACTTGGGAGTTCCAGCTACTCGGGAGGCTGAGACAGGAGGATTGCTTGAGCCCAGGAGGTGGAGTCTGCAGTGATCTGTGATGGTGCCACTGCACTTCAGCCTGGGTGACAGAGTGAGACCCTGTTTCAAACAAAGAAACAAAACCCACAAACCAAAACAAAACAAAACAAAACTCTATTTATTCCTCACTCTATTTTTTGGCCATTGAGAGACCCCACAGAGACTTGCTTTTTCCTTAAACTGCTAAGTCACAAAGTTCTAGAGCTTACTGTGAGAAACAAACTCACTCGCCCGAACCCAAAGAATGGATTTAGAAACGCAGAAGACAGCAAAAGTGAGACTTTTGATGACGGTCTTGCAAGATCAGGTATCTATCTGATGGGCAGGCACTCACAGCACAGTCACAACCAGCGATTTATCTCCCAGTGCACAGGCCCCTCCCCTGCATCCTCATAGGCTGAGTACTGTGGGGTCACAGTCTTCCCATTGGTTGTTGGGCAGCAGCTTTAGGTGTCTTCTTTTGGGTTGTCCTGCTGCATTTTGTTGCAGCCCACAATGCATTGCAATCCCAGTCAGCCCAGGGGCTCTGCGTATTTGACTTATGAGCTAAGTAGCTGGGCAGGCTGATAAGGACAGACAAACCGAGCTATTTTGCAGGCTAGTAAACTTTTATCTTAGACGAAACTTCCCTGGTTTGGGTAAGGGCAACTAAGTGGAGGGAGAAGGGGAGGGAGAAGGCTGACAAGAAGGCATCAGCTATCCAAGCAGGGGCCTAGTATATCCTGTTTCTTCTGTAGTTTGCTGACCTAAGCTGATTTAAGGCACTTTGTCTTGGAAATGGACCACTGTATACATTATTTCCTTCACTTACTTAGGAAGAAGAAGACAGGCCGGGCGCGGTGGCTCACACCTGTAATCCCAGCACTTTGGGAGGCCGAGGCGGCCAGATCACAAGGTCAGGAGATTGAGACCATCCTGGCTAACAGGGTGAAATTCTATCTGTACTAAAAATACAAAAAATTAGCCAGGCGTGGTGGCGGGTGCCTGTAGTCACAGCTACTCAGAAGGCTGAGGCAGGAGAATGGTGTGAACCTGGGAGGCATAGCTTGCAGTGAGCTGAGATTGCGCCACTGCACTCCAGTCTGGACGACAGAGCGAGACTCCGTCTCAGGAAAAAAAAAAAAAAAAAAAAGAAGAAGATATATTTTTTTACAATCTAGATAAATTTTTAAAAAATCAGTTTGTGGGTAGGCATGGTGGCACACACCTGTAATCCCAGCACTTTGGGAGGCTGAGACAGGCAGATCACCTGAGGTCGGGAGTTCGAGACCAGCCTGACCAACATGGAGAAATCCCGTCTCTACCAAAAGTACAAAATTAGCCGGGCGTGGTGGCTCATGCCTGTAATCTCATCTACTTGGGAGGCTGAGGCTGGGAATTGCTTGAACCCGGGAGGCAGAGGTTGCGGTGAGCCGAGATCACGCCATTGCACTCCAGCCTGGGTAACAAGGGTGAGATTCCATCTCAAAAAAAAAAATTGGTTTTGATTGGGTGTTAATTTGAGTAGGTTCACAGAAATATCAACCTTATTTTCCTGTGCAGTGAGAACATTTTGTTTTCCTAATGATGACCAGGTTGTTCTCATCTCTCTGATTATTAGCCTGTCCTTGGAAACCATTAGAAAAAGTCTTAAGATTCCCAAGATGTCAGGTACAAATGCCACCTTCTGAAGTTATCGTGTTTGAACGGCAGTGGGGAAGCCACTTGAAGCACTCACACCAAGGCGGGGGTCAGGGACTGGCAGCAGCGAGCCCCCGCTGCCCACTGCCCAGAGGCCTGCCCCGTGCCATACGAGGCATATTTGGGGAAGGCTCCAAGCCTCAAAGATACAGCTCCTTTGTGGCCAGGAGACCCAGCTCTAATTCAAGAAAGAAGTGAACCCCTGAGAGGAAGCCGGAGTCCTGGGGGACTTGCGGGAGCAGATCTCCAGGCCAGGACCCTCACTTCTGGATGCACGGCGGCTCCCCCTGCAATGCCGCCAGTGGAAGGGGCCAGTGACATGAGCGAAGAGGGTGGGCCCTGCACACCCAATGCTAAATCTTCCAGTACCAATGTTTCTAAAAAAGCAAAAGTAAATGGGTGATATTTGTTTTAATAATCTATTTTTTAAAATTTTAATTAAAAAAATTTTTTACTGATTTAATTTTAATTAATTAATTGTTTTTAGAGGTGGGGTCTCTGTCATCCATGCTGGAGGGCAGTGGCACCATTACAGCTCACGGCAGCCTCAACCACCCGGCCTCAAGCGATCCTCTTGCCTTGGCCTCCCAGTGCTGGGATTACAGGAGTGAGCCACCATGCCTGGCCAGCAATCTACTTAAACAAACATATCCAAAATAGTTTCTCAACATATCATCAACAAAATATACTATTGATGAAATACTGACATTTTACAAAGAAATTTTTTTTCTCACCAAATCTTCAAAATCCAGCATGAGCTTTGCACTCACAGCAGTTTGAGAATGGAACTGGCCACGTTCCAAGGGCTCGGTGGCCACAGGGAGCTCCTCAGAGCGCAGCCAGGCCAGAGGCTGCACCGAGGTGCAGAATCAGAGGAGGCACCGGAGACCCCAGAGTCCAGTCTGAGACGGCACAGGGAGCAGGTCTCTGGTGGCCTTGACAAGCTCCAGGATAGGGTGGGGAGGGGACTGGACCCTGGGGACCTCAGAGCAGAGCAGGGGAAACAGGAGCCCCCACCTGGGGAGAGGGGGCCTCCTCTCCAGGAACCCCAATCAAGACGAGCCTCACGTGACTCCCACTTCCTCTTGGAGGGTGCAGGGGCCTCTCCTGAGGTGAGTTTTGTTTCTGATTTTTTCAGGGGAAACTTCTCAGCACATTGTCCTTGGCCAGATGCCACAGGAGCCGCTGACCCAGTGACGTCACCTCATTCTGCTCAGATCGCACCCCCTGTCCGTGGGGCACTGAGGCAGGAAGAGGAAACTGCTGTAATCTCAGGAAGCTTTTGGCCAGTGGGGCCCTAGAGCCCTGCCCAAGCCCTACTGGGTGTGGCCCCGAGTCCAGGAACCCCCCTCCCCCCTGACCCTCATGTCCCCTCGACCTCTGTGGCATTTTATAAAACAAAGGGGCCCCGGAAAGCGGAAGGAGGGGGTCACACGTGTGAGCCCTGAGCACCGAAGCTGCCCCCACAGGCCCTGGAATCCTCCCCGTGTCCAAAGACAGCCTCCTCTTCAGTCAGTGCTCCCTGTCGTCCCCGGTCCTGGGCCTGGAGGGCTGCTGTGGGGCAGGAGCAGTGGCCACTGGGTCTCTGACCTGCACCAGGAGACACGGGGAGGCTTAGGCCTCTGAACCCACATAGAGCAGGACCGCAGCCCCAGAAAAGGGAAGATTTCAGCAGAGGAGGCCTGTGACGAGAGAGGCGAAGGCTTGAGGGGCTCCCTGTGGGGCCTGGAGTGTGGAAGCCCCATTGGGGCCTGGCAGGGACCTGTACCAAGACAGTGAGGTCCTGCAGCAGCTGGGGTGAGGAGAGGAGACTCCCAGGCCTGGTAAAGCGCACAGGGGCCTCTGGCACCCCTACAAGAGGAGGTTGGAGTCACCTGACGCTGTCCTGATGCGGCTCCTGCAGAGAAGACTCCTTACTTAGCCCACAGTGCTTCTACCCGCCCTGACACCGTCCTGATGGGGTCCTGCAGAGAAGCCTCCTTACTTAGCCTACAGTTTTTCCACACGCCCTGACACCGTCCTGATGGGGTCCTGCAGAGAAGCCTGCTTACTTAGCCTACAGTGTTTCCACACGCCCTGACACCGTCCTGATGGGGTCCTGCAGAGAAGCCTCCTTAGCCCACAGTGCTTCTACCCACCCTCAATGTATAACTTCACGTTCAGAAATGTGTTACCCCCCTCCTCAGACCTCACACAATTCACGAATTTCCAAACAGCAGGAAACAGAAACTTCTAAGAAAGCAGAACCCTTGAGTCCAGGTGGGAGAAGGTGCCTGAGAAAACAGCCCTGCCAGAGACAGTACCCCAGCATCCGGACGTTACTCCACAGACGGCCACGTAAGAGACCAGGAACCACCCTTCCCACGGTACCCCAGCGTCCGGACGCTACTCCACAGACGGCCACGTAAGAGACCGGGAACCACCCTTCCCACGGTACCCCAGCGTCCGGACGCTACTCCACAGACGGCCACGTAAGAGACCAGGAACCACACTTCCCAAGCCTTCTGCACTCCCAAAAACATCAGCTTCCCGGAAACCTGAGACATGCTCAAGGAAGAGCACGGTGTGAAGTCAGCTGTGGGTGGAGGATGACCCAGGTGCCCAGGCAAGAGACTGAAGGCACAAACTGTTTCAGTATAATAAAGAAAATGGAATAAGAACAGTCATAGAGTCATAACACAAATTAGATATAGAGATGATCACGGACAATTATCAATCGTTATTATAAACATTATTAATCATTAGCTTTTAATATTACTCTTTGTTCCATTACTATATAACCTGGGAATAACCGGCGGGTATAGGGTCAGGTGCTGAAGGGACGTTGTGAGAAGTGACCTAGAAGGCAAGAGGTGAGCCCTCTGTCACGCCAACATAAGGGCCGCTTGAGGGCTCCTTGGTCAAGCGGTAACGCCAGTGCCTGGGAAGGCACCCGTTACTTAGCCGACCGTGAAAGGGAGTCTCCTTTCCTTGGAGGAGTCAGGGAACACTCTGCTCCGCCAGCTTCTTGTGGGAGGCTGGATATTCTCCAGGCCTGGCCTGCAGTCATCCGGAGGCCTAACCCCCTCCCTGTGGTGCTTGAATGATCACACTCCTTGTCCACTTTCATGCTCTTCCCGTACTCCTGGTTCCTCTTTGAAGTTCGTAGTAGATAGCGGTAGAAGAAATAGTGAAAGTCTTAAAGTCTTTGATTGTTCTTATAAGTGCATAGAAGAAAACGCTGACGTATGCTGCCTTCTCTCTCTGCTCGGCTACCTAAGAGGGAAAGGCCCCCTGTCCTATGATCACGTGACTTGCTTCACCTTATCAATTACTTGGACGACTCACCGTCCGTACCCTGCCCCCTTGTCTTGTATTCAATAAATATCAGCGCAGCCAGCCGTTCGGAGCCACTAGCGGTCTCCATGTCTTGGTGGTAGTGGTCCCCTGGGCCCAGCTGTTTTCTCTTTATCTGTTTGTCTTGTGTCTTTATTTCTTACGATCTCTTGTCTCTGCACACGGGGAGAACACCCGCTAAGCCCCCGTAGGGCTGGACCCTACACAGGAAGTCCCCTTCATTGCTGTGTGGACGTGGTAGATAAAGTGTTCTCAAGCTGGAAAGATTTAACAGATTGGCCCCTCGGGGACCTGGACATTGAATATTTTACTGATGGAAGCAGTTTCGTACTAAGGGGAGTCTGCCGAGCTGGGTATGCCGCGGTGACTTTGGACTCAGCAGTAGAGGTACCGTCTCTGTCTGCAGAAACTTCTGCTTAGAAAGCAGAGCTAATAGCTCTGACAAGAGCTCTCTGGCTAGGAAAAGAGCAGAAGGCAAGTATTTACACAGATTCCAAATATGCTTCTGCCACTTTGCATGTTCATGAGGCTGTTTACAAAGAATAAAAGACTTTTAACGGCTGGAAGTGAAAAAACAAAGTATAAGGAGGAAATTCCACCTCTGTTAAACGCTGTGTGGGCCCTGGAAGAGGTGGCAGTGATGCGCTGCAGGAGGCCCCGAAAAGCAGCAAAGCAGAAAGGCAGACGAAGAGGCAAACGGGCTGCAACGACAACTCCACCTTCTAGAGAGGAAGCCTTAGCTATGCCTCCCGCTCCCGGAGATTCCCCTCCTGGGGATCCCAAGGTCCCCTCCAAACGAAAAGTCTTGGTTTGCCCACAAGAATAAGAACTACATTGAAGAAAGATGGTAAAAATTTTCCAACGGGAGGCTAGCCATACCTGGAATGGTGGCCCTCAGATTTGTAAAACAGTTCCACTGGAAAAAAAACCCAAAAAACCAGCACTAAAGACGTTATTAAGGCATCATTTCTTTTTTTTTTTTTTTTGAGACAGAGTCTCGCTCTATCCCCCAGGCTGGAGTGCTGTGGCGTGATCTCGGCTCACTGCAAGCTCCGCCTCCCAGGTTCACGCCATTCTCCTGCCTCAGCCTCCCATGTAGCTGGGACCACAGGTGCCCGCCACCACACCCGGCTAATTTTTTTTGTATTTTTAGTAGAGACGGGGTTTCACGTGTTAGTCTCGATCTCCCGACCTTGTGATCCGCCCACCTCGGCCTCCCAAAGTGCTGGGATTACAGGCGTGAGCCACCGCGCCTGGCCCTGTTAAGGCATCATTTCTATGTGCCATGGCTCACTGCTATTACTCGAGCCATTTGTAAACAAATGGTGTTAAATTCGTGCTCAGAACAATGCATGACAAGGGCCTACTCGGCCCCCAGGAGTTCAGGAAACAGGAGCCAGGCAGCCATACCCTGTGAAAAACTGTGGTACGGACTTCGAGGAAGTACCCTGAGAGGGGGGTTATCAGTGCACGTGGGTGTTCATTTGCACCTTTTCAGGAGGTTGAGGCCTTCCCCACCCGGACAGAGAAGGCACTAGAAGTAACCAAGGTGTTGTTAAGAGACATTATTCCCAGATTTGGACTGCCTCTAACTCTAAGATCAGACAATAGCCCAATATTTATGGCTGAAATAGTTCAGGACTTAACTTGATTATTAAAAATAAAGTGGAAATTACATACAGCTTACAGGCTGCAGAGCTCAGGTAAAGTGGAATGCATGAACTGGACACTCAAGCAGCTGCTAAAGAAATTTTGTCAAGAGCTGGGCGCGGTGGCTCACGCCTGTAATCCCAGCCCTTTGGGAGGCCGAGGCGGGCGGATCATGAGGTCAGGAGATCGAGACCATCCTGGCTAACACGTGAAACCCCGTCTCTACTACAAACACAAAAAGTCAGCCGGGTGTGGTGGCAGACGCCTGTAGTCCCAGCTACTCAGGAGGCTGAGGCAGGAGAATGGCGTGAACCTGGGAGGCGGAGCTTGCAGTGAGCCGAGATCGTGCCACTGCACTCCAGCCTGGGCGACAGAGCAAGACTCCGACTCAAAAAAATAAATAAATAAAATAAATAATAACAATAAAAGGCCTCAGAGGGGAAGGGAATGAGGCAGGAAATTAAATAAAATTAAAATTAAAAAGAAAGAGAAATAGGTTTTCCTGTATCAGGCTGACTCGTCCCGGAGGCAGCAGCAGACACAGCTGAGACCCAGGAAAAGTCCTGATAATATTATCTAATGTGCTCTGAGACTCTCCCAGCACTCCCTTAACACAGGGAGAAGAAAAAACAAATTTTCCTTTGTTTTTGGAATGAGTTTATAGATTCCTGTTCTCTGTAACTAGTGACTTCAAGTATTCTGTTTTATCTAAGAAGTACAGTGAAGGTCATGAGACGCCTGAGCAGGCCTGAACGCCAGCTGCCTGGGCACCATAGTGAAGGTAATGGGATAATCCAGCTGCCTGGGCACCATAGTGAAGGTAATGGGATAATCCAGCTGCCTGGGCACCACAGTGAGGGTTATGGGATAATCCAGCTGCCTGGGCACCACACTGAAGGTAATGGGATAATCCGGCTGCCTGGGCACCACAGTGAGGGTTATGGGATAATCCAGCTGCCTGGGCACCATAGTGAAGGTAATGGGATAATCCAGCTGCCTGGGCACCACAGTGAGGGTTATGGGATAATCCAGCTGCCTGGGCACCACACTGAAGGTAATGGGATAATCCGGCTGCCTGGGCACCACACTGAAGGTAATGGGATAATCCGGCTGCCTGGGCACCACAGTGAGGGTTATGGGATAATCCAGCTGCCTGGGCACCATAGTGAAGGTAATGGGATAATCCAGCTGCCTGGGCACCACAGTGAGGGTTATGGGATAATCCAGCTGCCTGGGCACCACACTGAAGGTAATGGGATAATCCGGCTGCCTGGGCACCACACTGAAGGTAATGGGATAATCCGGCTGCCTGGGCACCACAGTGAGGGTTATGGGATAATCCAGCTGCCTGGGCACCATAGTGAAGGTAATGGGATAATCCAGCTGCCTGGGCACCACACTGAAGGTAATGGGATAATCCGGCTGCCTGGGCACCACACTGAAGGTAATGGGATAATCCGGCTGCCTGGGCACCACAGTGAGGGTTATGGGATAATCCAGCTGCCTGGGCACCATAGTGAAGGTAATGGGATAATCCAGCTGCCTGGGCACCACAGTGAGGGTTATGGGATAATCCAGCTGCCTGGGCACCACACTGAAGGTAATGGGATAATCCGGCTGCCTGGGCACCACACTGAAGGTAATGGGATAATCCGGCTGCCTGGGCACCACAGTGAGGGTTATGGGATAATCCAGCTGCCTGGGCACCATAGTGAAGGTAATGGGATAATCCGGCTGCCTGGGCACCACAGTGAGGGTTATGGGATAATCCAGCTGCCTGGGCACCATAGTGAAGGTAATGGGATAATCCAGCTGCCTGGGCACCATAGTGAAGGTAATGGGATAATCCAGCTGCCTGGGCACCATAGTGAAGGTAATGGGATAATCCAGCTGCCTGGGCACCATAGTGAAGGTAATGGGATAATCCAGCTGCCTGGGCACCATAGTGAAGGTAATGGGATAATCCAGCTGCCTGGGCACCATAGTGAAGGTAATGGGATAATCCAGCTGCCTGGGCACCACAGTGAGGGTTATGGGAGACGGGGTTTCACCGTGTCAGCCAGGATGGTCTCGATCTCCTGACCTCATGATCCTCCCACCTCAGCCTCCCAAAGTGCTGGGATTACAGGCGTGAGCCGCGGCGCCCGGCAGAGGTGAGGGCTTTGGGGGAACGGTTGTGGGGCCTGGAGTGTGGAGGCGTCAGCGCAGGCCTGGCAGGAGCCCTGAACCGGGACAGTGGGGTCCTGCAGCTGCTGGCCTGGGGTGTGGAGACCCCCAACACAGGGGAAGTCTCCAGGACCCCACACCACTAACAAGATGAGCCTTGTGCTCCCTTGGGCTCTAGAGAGGAAGCCCCTCTTAGCCCTCAGCCCCTCTTTCCTCCCTCTCCTAAAGTAATTTGATCCTCAGGAATTTGTTCCGCCCTCATCTGGCCCCGGCCAAATCCCGATTTGACAAATGCCAGGAAAAGGAAACTGTTGAGAAACCGAAACTACTGGGGAAAGGGAGGGCTCACTGAGAACCATCCCAGTAACCCGACCGCCGCTGGTCTTCGCTGGACACCATGAATCACACTGTCCAAACCTTCTTCTCTCCTGTCAACAGTGGCCAGCCCCCCAACTATGAGATGCTCAAGGAGGAGCACGAGGTGGCTGTGCTGGGGGCGCCCCACAACCCTGCTCCCCCGACGTCCACCGTGATCCACATCCGCAGCGAGACCTCCGTGCCCGACCATGTCGTCTGGTCCCTGTTCAACACCCTCTTCATGAACCCCTGCTGCCTGGGCTTCATAGCATTCGCCTACTCCGTGAAGGTGCGTATGGCCCCAGGGAATGCTCAGAGGGTGCCGCTGAGCCTGGAGCTCCACCTGCCCACATGCTGCCTGGGGTGGGGACTTGTGTGTCCCTGTGACTGTGAGTTTGTGTGCACCTCTGTCCCGTGTGTGCCCACGTCAGTGGCTTTGTCTGTGTGATCTGTGTGTGTGTGTGGCTTGGGGAATCTGCCCAGTGCAGGTTTAGGAGGAGGCTCCAGGAGGCTGGCTGGCTGGCTCAGAGTCTGTCCCCGGCTATCCACTAGCCCAGAGCAGTTCTCCCTATAGCCCAGTAAGAAATTACACCTTCACCTTCCAGACTGGCACCCAGGCTCTCCCAGAAAGTGAGAAGGGAACTCACAGGTGACTTCACCCCATGGTGGGGAGAACAGCCTGTGCTGAGGTCAAGGCAGAAGGAGGATGAGCCCCGAGGCTCCTGGAGAGTCTGAGCCCGGGTGAGGAAGGGGAGGAGGTGGTCCCTGATCTCAGGGCGGGGAGAGCCAATGAGGAGACGGAGCCATAGCACGCGGCTCTCAGCTGGGGGATCCTGGTCCCCTCACCATCTCCTCTCCCCCAGTCTAGGGAC
Organism: Homo sapiens; assembly: GCF_000001405.40. Taxonomy (NCBI): domain Eukaryota; kingdom Metazoa; phylum Chordata; class Mammalia; order Primates; family Hominidae; genus Homo; species Homo sapiens. Next base: position 319,981 of record NC_000011.10, on the reverse strand, counting down.
AGGAAGATGGTTGGCGACGTGACCGGGGCCCAGGCCTATGCCTCCACCGCCAAGTGCCTGAACATCTGGGCCCTGATTCTGGGCATCCTCATGACCATTCTGCTCATCGTCATCCCAGTGCTGATCTTCCAGGCCTATGGATAGATCAGGAGGCATCACTGAGGCCAGGAGCTCTGCCCATGACCTGTATCCCACGTACTCCAACTTCCATTCCTCGCCCTGCCCCCGGAGCCGAGTCCTGTATCAGCCCTTTATCCTCACACGCTTTTCTACAATGGCATTCAATAAAGTGCACGTGTTTCTGGTGCTGCTGCGACTTCACCTGGGGAGGGGTCTGGCTGAGGGTTCGGAGCGTGGTTCTGAGACTGAGCAGGTTGGTCAGCCCCTGCACTGCCCCTTCCGGCCTCTGTGCATCTCTTGGGGACCGGGCAAGTGCTCAGGCCTTCTGGTTTCGGGCCTCCTGCCGTGAGCAGCAGCTGGATCCAGGACCCTGGGAGGAGTTCCTGTGTCCTGCAGGTCTCAGCTCCTACTCAACGTGGGCTCTTTCCGGGAACGTCAGTGCTGAGTCCGGGACACCCTGGGCCCAAGGCCACGCTCGCGGCCTGTCGGCAATCCAGGCTGTCGGCTCAGGACAGAGGGAAGGGTTAAGCCCCCAGCAGGGCCAGGGAGGGGCAAGGTGGCACCGGCTCCCCAGCTGCTCCCAGGCCCTGCTCTGTGGTGCTGGGGACCTGGCTTTAGTTCCTCGGGGTGGAGGGGGCACCGCGCTGCCTGCCTCCGAGCTGTCTGGAGCAGCCAGTCCTGCAGATGTGGGCAGCTCAGGGCCCGTGGGAGGGAGGGGGCTTTGTGCCCAGGGCAGCAGCTGAAGGAGCCCCGGGCCTCGCAGCCCCTCCTGGGTGACCAGGTGCTGCTTCGTGGCAGCTGCCCCCTCCCGTCCAGCGGGTATGGGCCCTGCTCCCCCGTGGTGGGGGCGGCGCAGGAGAGTGGAGCGACCCTCATCGAAGTTACCTCTACCCGGGTCTGAGCCCCCGGACAGACACCCCCGCCCCGACCTGGTTACAGCGCCCTTCCCCGGTTCGGTCTCCGGTGTGCGCATGTGGGGTGCCCCATGGGCGGCCGCGGTGGGAGCTGGGGTGGCCATGCGCGCCCCCGCCCCGCCGTCCACCCGCGACTCCAGGTCTGGATCTACTCGCCCTCCCCACCCTTTCCCGCCCCCAGCCCCGGAGCCGCGCTCTCACCCCAGGGGCGGCAAGGGCGATGGACGCGGAGGAAGCGCCCTCTCCCCCTCGGGGGTCTCCCGGAGGCGAGTCCCGAAGGGGGCGAACTCCGAAGTGGGTCCCGGGTGGGAGGCGCGCGGCCCCGCCCGGCGGGGAGGGGGAAGCGGCGGAGGCGGGTGCTCAGCGGCGCCCCTGGCGGCGGCCGGCGCAGGTGCAGGTCCCGGAGGAGGCTCCGCCCGCAGCCCAGACCCCCGCGGGGTGGGCGGGACGCGGACCCTGAGACCCGCAGCGCCGGACCCGGACGGGAGCCCCTCTCCTCCCCCTCGGGCACGTCCCCGGCCGAGCCTTCCCGCCCTCCTCTGGGGCTCCCACCTCCCCTTCACCCGCGGGGGACCCGATTTCCGCGTCTCCTGGGCCCCTCCCTGGGCAGGGGGTCCAGCCGGAATCCAGGAGTGACCTGCTGGAGGACTTGGTGGCCAGGGAGTCACCCTGGGAGCCCGGTCCTGTGACCCCTTAATGGTTTCTCTGCGCTCCTGGGCGGGCCCCTTGGTCGCATCGGGGCAGGGGAATCGCAATAAGGAAAGTGTAATTCACGCAGAGCCGGCTGCGGGGGAGACGGGAGTTTTATTATTACTCAAATCCTTCTCCCCAAAAACGTGGGGATCCGAGTTTCGAAGGATGATATGGTGGGTAGGCGGCCAGTGAGTCAGGAGCGCTGACCGGTCCGGTTGGAGATGAAGTCTTGGGGAGTCGAAGCTGTCTTCCCAACCCTAACCCAGCTCCTCGGTGGGGGCCACAGGACCACATGAGCAAGATTGTGGATAAACCTGACCACGTTTCAGGTTTTTTTCTATCTACTGGGAGACTGCCTTTCCTTGGCGCTGGTTGCTACCAATTATTATTTTAGAGAAACAGTGCAACAACCACCTGACCATCACCTGAGGGGTCGCCTGACATTCCTGGTTGTGGGTGGGAAGCGCTCTCCTGTCCTGCTCAAGCCGGAGGAGCTACCTGCTGTAACAGTATCAGTGAGAAGAATTATTATAACTGTGAGCTGAGCTAGCCCACCCACAATCTTGCCTTTCCTTTAATTATTCCTGGTTTTTGGGGCCAAGCTGACTTTGAGAGACATTTAGGCTATAGTTTAAATGACAACAGGCCTTGTGTGAAACTCAGCAGCTCATCATGATTGAGGACTAAACTCTGATTTTTTATCTTGCCCAAATTCCTACCTAAGGGGCTTGGGGAGTCATGCCCTACAAACCATAAATTCTCATCAGATGGGTTTTATTTAACCACGTATATCATGACTTACTTTCCAACCTGGCCCTGGCAGAACATTACGATATGAGGAAGAAAATAAAAATATTTTGCCCCAAAACAAGTTTCTTTGCCATATTTTGAAATGGCCCCGGCAAAGCTGTTCTTTGTAGGGGGAAATTTGCAGCTGTAAAGAATCTCTATTAACATAGCTAAATCTTTTTCTTCCAGACCCTCCCAATCCTGAAGAGATTAACAGTCTAGCACCTTTTAGGAATAGGAAACATTCGTCATCTATTGTCTCTAAGGGCAGCCACTATAAGACTTCAAAAGAACTTTGGTCTCCATAATCTTTATTTTAACCTGAACACCCCCTTTCTACCAATCCCAGGTCTTTAGACAAACTCAAGGACTCAATCGTCAACCAGAGGATTAAATTCACCTGTAGCCTGGGGCACTGCGCCGCCCCCCCACCCCCCAGCTTTGTGTTGTCCCGCCTTTCCCGACCAAACCAATGTATTTTTTTTTCAATGTATTTCTTAAATGTATTTCATTGATGCCTCATGTCTTCCTAAAATATATAAAACCAAGCTGGGCCCCGACCACCTTGGGCCCATGTTCTCAAGACCTCCTGAGGGCCGTGTCACGAGCCACGGTCACTCATATTTTGGCTTAGAATAAATCTCTTCAAATATTTTACAGAGTTCGACTCTTTTCGTCCACATAATTTAGAGCTTAAGATTGGCCTTTTGAGATTCCCCCCCTTTTTCTTGCGTGCCTGACTCCCATGGCTCCCCTTGGACCTGACAGCTCCTGCGGCCCCACCCGGGAGGGGCGACTCAGCTCGAGGACAGAAGGGGTTTATTAAACCCCTTTTTTTGAGACGCAGAGTTCTCTGTCGCACAGGACAGGGCGCGTGGCGGGATCTCGGCTCACTGCAGCCTCCGCCTCCCAAACCCTTTCTTTACCGCAATGTCCTCGCGGGCAGGAAGGCCCCTCCAGCGGTTGCAAAGGGATGCCCGCAGCACACACCCTCCCGGTGGGGAGGGACGCCCGCCGCACCCAGAGTCGGCCGGTCCCTTCGCCTCTCAGTCTCCGCCCTCTGGGAGGCAAACTTGTCCACGCCGGGGTCAGCCTGGCCGGTCCCCCGGCACCCCGCGTAGGGCACGTGTGTCCTCCGGCGCCTCCCGCCTTGGGCTCGGCGTCCTACCCGTCCCTCCCAGGAGGGTTTCTCCCGCTGTGAACGCACCGCGCGTGGCCGCATTCTCCCGACAGAGAGCACCTGCGCCGTGCCTGGTCTTGCCCTTTTCCAGAGCCCGCGGCCGGAGTCTCCCCTGCAGAGGAGGAGAGGCCCAAGGCCGCTGCGGGCCTGGCACGGGCTGCTGTCCACGGGCACCCGAGGAGTCCGCGGCGAGGAGCGGCCAGGCCGACCAGCTCTGCTCCCGCGGGTGCCGTCTGGGAAACTTCTCGGCTCCCGCCTCTCACCTCCCCGCGGCCCGCGCACCCCCGACGCCCGTGGGGACCGGGATCTGGCCGCGCTGCTGGGCCGTGGCGAGCTGGCGTTCGGCGCCCGGGACCCACGACGCGCCCTGCGTCTCCGACTTCGTGATGCCTCGGACTTCCCGTCACATTTCAAGACTGCGGGATCCCGGGGCCCTCGCTGGCTGCACCAGAGGGGTCTCCACCTGGCGGGACCCTCTTCCCGAGCTCCCGCGGGGCTCCCGGTCGGAAGCTGCCCTCCCAGGCCCTCGCGAGCGCCCCACCCTCGGGCCATTGGCTGCCCCCACCCCAGGGGAGCAGGGAAGATGCCGGCTGGACTGGAGGAGGCAGCTGCTAGGATCCAGCACACCTGGATCACCCAGGAGAGGCTGCAGCCCTGAGGTTCCTTCAGCTGCTACCCTAGGAACAAAGCCCCTGCCCCTCCCACAGGGCCTAAGGTGCACACATCTGCAAGACCAGCTGCCCAGCCAGCTCAGAGGCAGGTTGTCCTGGCCCAAAGGTATTCTGGACAGTGTGTCCTTACCTTGGTGTCAGAGAAATGCCCACCCCACGTTCCTGGTCCAGATGCTGCCCACAGCAGGAGGCGGAAACCAGCAGATTCTGAGCATATCCCTGCTCCCCTGAGAGCTTCACAGAGGAGGGATACGGCTGTGCAGGGGCTGAGCACTGGGCTGTCTCAGGACTAGGCCGGGACCCCTCAGCAGGGCCCCCACTCCAGATGAAGTCACAGCATCATCACAAGCACGTGCACTTTATTGAATGACACTGTAGACAGGTGTGTGGGTATAAACTGCTGTATCTAGGGGCAGGACCAAGGGGGCAGGGGCAACAGCCCCAGCGTGCAGGGCCAGCATTGCACAGTGGAGTGCAAAGGTTGCAGGCTATGGGCGGCTACTAGTAACCCCGTTTTTCCTGTATTATCTGTAACATAATATGGTAGACTGTCACAGAGCCGAATACCAGTAACAGGATGAATCCAATGGTCATGAGGATGCCCAGAATCAGGGCCCAGATGTTCAGGCACTTGGCGGTGGAGGCATAGGCCTGGGCCCCGGTCACGTCGCCAACCATCTTCCTGTCCCTAGACTGGGGGAGAGGAGATGGTGAGGGGACCAGGATCCCCCAGCTGAGAGCCGCGTGCTATGGCTCCGTCTCCTCCCCGCCCTGAGATCAGGGACCACCTCCTCCCCTTCCTCACCCGGGCTCAGACTCTCCAGGAGCCTCGGGGCTCATCCTCCTTCTGCCTTGGCCCCAGCACAGGCTGTTCTCCCCACCATGGGGTGAAGTCACCTGTGAGTTCCCTTCTCACTTTCTGGGAGAGCCTGGGTGCCAGTCTGGAAGGTGAGGGTGTAATTTCTTACTGGGCTATAGGGAGAATTGCTCTGGGCTAATGGATAGCCAGGGACAGACTCTGAGCCAGCCAGCCAGCCTCCTGGAGCCTCCTCCTAGACCTGCACTGGGCAGATTCCCCAAAGCCACACACACACACAGATCACACAGACAAAGCTACTGACGTGAGCACACACGGGGCAGAGGTGCACACAAACTCACAGTCACAGGGACACACAAGTCCCCACCCCAGGCAGCATGTGGGCAGGTGGAGCCCCAGGCTCACCGGCACCCCCTGGATTTCCGCCAGGGCCATACGCACCTTCACGGAGTAGGCGAATGCTATGAAGCCCAGACAGCACCAGTTCAAGAAGAGGGTGTTGAACAGGGACCAGACGACATGGTCGGGCACGGAGGTCTCGCTGTGGATGTTGATCACGGTGGACCTTGGAAGGATGGTGCTGGGGGGTGGCCCCAGCACAGCCACCTCATGTTCCTCCTTGTGCATCTTCTGGCTTTGGGGAAGGAAGTGTTGAGTGAAGGTTTGAGAAGTGTGGTTTTCTGCGTGGAGCGAAGGGCCGCTGTGGTGTCCGGATGCTGGGACGGTGCTCAGTGAGACCTCCTTTCCCCTGTCGTTTCAGTTTCTCAGAAGTGTGTATTTCTCTTAAGTTTCTATTTCCTGCTGTTTGTAAATTGGTGAATTAGCCAGGGACCAATGAGGTGTGGTTTAACTTCTTGAGGATCAAATTACTTTATGGCAGGGTGGGAGGAAAGGCTGAAGGCTAAGGAGAGAGGCTTCCTCATCAGAAACTCAAGTCAGGACTAGTGACTTCCTAAGTGTTGGGTTTAGGGGGCCCTGGGGATTTTACCCAGGCTTGGGTTCTGTCCACCCCAGGCCAGCAAGTACAGGACCTCACTGTCCCGGTTCAGGGCCCCTGCCAGGCCCCCACACTCCAGGCGCCAGGACAATCCCCCAAAAGCCCTCACCTCACTTGTCGCAGGCCTCTCTCCTGAAATCCTTGCTCTTTCCTCAGGCTGCAGTCCTGCTCTGTGCGGGTTTGGGGACTAAACCTCCCAGTGTCTCCTGGTGCAGGTCAGAGGCCTGGTGGCCAAAGTTTCCTGCCCCAAAGCAGCCCTCCAGGCCCAGGAACGGGGACTCTGGGGAGAACTGACTCCCCAGAGGGTAGTGTGTTGAGACACGGGGAGGATTCCAGGGCCTGTAGGGGCAGCTTCAGAGCACAGGGCACACATGTGCCACCCCCTACCTTCCGGGTCCCAGCAATTCCCATGGCTTTGGTTGGGGTGAGTGCTGGATGACCTAGGCGTTGGGTCCTAGCCATGCAGGAGAGACCTGGAGGGTTGGCAAAGCCAAGTCTGGGGCTGTCAGGCCTGGGTGCCCCTTCACAGGGACGGGGAATTGTAGACTGAGTAGCAGAAGGGAGCCCTCAGGCACAAGGATCATGAATTACAAATTGCAAATTACATAAAGGAAAAATCAGAGCCCAAAGGTGGGCCTGCAATTATTAATGTAATGTTCTTAAGTTCTCTTTCTGCTTTCGTTTCTGCCTGCTTTAAGTCTGCTGTTACTTTTCTACAGAGATAAAATCCACTGTTTGCATCCAACCATTTCTTTTTATTGTTTGTGTAAACCAATGAATTTGTATTACTATCTCATGGCTGGAGTTCTGAAGTAAAACCATACTTTTGCTTGAGTGTGTATGTGTGTATATGTGCACATACACATATTTCGTTATGTGTTTTTGGCCACAAGTTACCAAATTTAGCTTAAACTTAAAGAGTACTCATAAATTAAATAATAAGCCTAAATGCTTTTCACGTTCATGTGACTTAAGTAGAATCTTTAATAAGCTAGCTTTAAAATTACTGGTAACGTTAGAAATTGTAGCAGGACGAGCCACAGACAAAACCCTCAGACATCGAGTTGAGGAAAGAAAGGGCTTTATTTGGCCTTTATTCGGCCAGGAGCATCAGCAGACTTAACATCTCAAACACCGAGCTCCAAAACCATCAGCCCCTCCCTACCCATTGCAGCTAAAAAAAAAAAAAAAGAACTAGCCCTTGCCCTTGCTTGGAGTCCCTGCTGGGCCTCCCCAAATCGCACACCAACCCCCCCACCCTCCACCCACCCCTCAACAGGCCGCCTCCAGCCCCAGCCACATCCCAGGCCACTTAGACCAAACTATGTCTGGGTCCCGGCAAGCCAGGGGTGGATGTGGATGGAGCGTGCTCTGAGACATCGAGGACTGCCTACACAAACTCCTCACAAGGCTCTGTGACCTCCTATCAAAGGCCACACATCACTGCGGAGTGGGGTGGGGCTTGAATTTCCCGTGGAAGGTATTTTGGAAGCTTCTTTAAATCACGGGCAGTTTAGGAAGGAAGAAACTGCAGGGCACAAGAGGGAGACAGGATTCTGAGGGGCAGGCATGGAACTGAAACCACCTTTGCAAAAGTCATAACTGAGAATATGATGACAGTGAAGGAGGTCTGACCCTAACCCACTCCGCCTGGCTTCTAACCTCCAAGCTGCCCTTGCTCATCCCTGGGCTTAGCCTAAACTAATCTGGAGAGAAACAGTTTATAGATCAAGGCTGAACAAGCCCCCTTCCTACCTGAGGACCAGACTGCCTTTGCAGGACTAACAAATTAGCCACAAGATTAGAAATTATGGTTTAGGAGTCACGCGGCTGGAGGATGCAAGATTCTGACCCCGCCACCCCTAAATTGCTCCCGGGGATCACAGCACTACTGTAGAACCTAGGATCAGAGTTTGAGATACTTTACAGACCCTGTACTCAATGGATCAGCTGGCACCACCTAAATCCACAATCTTGCTCATGTGGTCCTGTGGCCCCCACCGAGGAGCTGGGTTAGGGTTGGGAAGACAGCTTCGACTCCCCAAGACTTCATCTCCAACCGGACCGGTCAGCGCTCCTGACTCACTGGCCGCCTACCCACCATATCATCCTTCGAAACTCGGATCCCCACGTTTTTGGGGAGAAGGATTTGAGTAATAATAAAACTCCCGTCTCCCCCGCAGCCGGCTCTGCGTGAATTACACTTTCCTTATTGCGATTCCCCTGCCCCGATGCGACCAAGGGGCCCGCCCAGGAGCGCAGAGAATCCATTAAGGGGTCACAGGACCGGGCTCCCAGGGTGACTCCCTGGCCACCAAGTCCTCCAGCAGGTCACTCCTGGATTCCGGCTGGACCCCCTGCCCAGGGAGGGGCCCAGGAGACGCGGAAATCGGGTCCCCCGCGGGTGAAGGGGAGGTGGGAGCCCCAGAGGAGGGCGGGAAGGCTCGGCCGGGGACGTGCCCGAGGGGGAGGAGAGGGGCTCCCGTCCGGGTCCGGCGCTGCGGGTCTCAGGGTCCGCGTCCCGCCCACCCCGCGGGGGTCTGGGCTGCGGGCGGAGCCTCCTCCGGGACCTGCACCTGCGCCGGCCGCCGCCAGGGGCGCCGCTGAGCACCCGCCTCCGCCGCTTCCCCCTCCCCGCCGGGCGGGGCCGCGCGCCTCCCACCCGGGACCCACTTCGGAGTTCGCCCCCTTCGGGACTCGCCTCCGGGAGACCCCCGAGGGGGAGAGGGCGCTTCCTCCGCGTCCATCGCCCTTGCCGCCCCTGGGGTGAGAGCGCGGCTCCGGGGCTGGGGGCGGGAAAGGGTGGGGAGGGCGAGTAGATCCAGACCTGGAGTCGCGGGTGGACGGCGGGGCGGGGGCGCGCATGGCCACCCCAGCTCCCACCGCGGCCGCCCATGGGGCACCCCACATGCGCACACCGGAGACCGAACCGGGGAAGGGCGCTGTAACCAGGTCGGGGCGGGGGTGTCTGTCCGGGGGCTCAGACCCGGGTAGAGGTAACTTAGATGAGGGTCGCTCCACTCTCCTGCGCCGCCCCCACCACGGGGGAGCAGGGCCCATACCCGCTGGACGGGAGGGGGCAGCTGCCACGAAGCAGCACCTGGTCACCCAGGAGGGGCTGCGAGGCCCGGGGCTCCTTCAGCTGCTGCCCTGGGCACAAAGCCCCCTCCCTCCCACGGGCCCTGAGCTGCCCACATCTGCAGGACTGGCTGCTCCAGACAGCTCGGAGGCAGGCAGCGCGGTGCCCCCTCCACCCCCGAGGAACTAAAGCCAGGTCCCCAGCACCACAGAGCAGGGCCTGGGAGCAGCTGGGGAGCCGGTGCCACCTTGCCCCTCCCTGGCCCTGCTGGGGGCTTAACCCTTCCCTCTGTCCTGAGCCGACAGCCTGGATTGCCGACAGGCCGCGAGCGTGGCCTTGGGCCCAGGGTGTCCCGGACTCAGCACTGACGTTCCCGGAAAGAGCCCACGTTGAGTAGGAGCTGAGACCTGCAGGACACAGGAACTCCTCCCAGGGTCCTGGATCCAGCTGCTGCTCACGGCAGGAGGCCCGAAACCAGAAGGCCTGAGCACTTGCCCCGTCCCCAAGAGATGCACAGAGGCTGGAAGGGGCAGTGCAGGGGCTGACCAACCTGCTCATGAAAGGAGGGTCCAGCTGGGCTTCCTGGGTCGAGTAGGGGTTCAGAAAGCTGTGAAACACTCATTTCCTGCATCAGGACTTACTTCGGTCCTGGATGAAGAGTACTGAAGATACATGCCTAAAATATTCCTAACACCAGGATTTGTGCATGTGTTTCCTTCCCCAAGAAAGCTATAAACAGCAAAAATTCTGCTGTAAGCTTCCCTGTGTCCTCTCTCCCTCTCTTCCTTCCCCCTCCCCTAAAACTAAAAGGAATGTTAAAAGACCCTTTTTCTGTGACCAGCGGACCTTATCTATGCTCCCAATTCCAATTCCTTGTGAACATACTTTGTAAAGTCCTGTAAAATCCTGTCTCTTTTGCCATGCTGCTGCAAGGTCATAAAGTAGATAAAATTAGATAAAACCTAAGTTGCAATTCTGTTTTTCCTCAAAATCTAAGACATGTCACAAAATAATTTACTGCCTTTGTTTCTCTCTCTGGTAACATCTTCCCACCACATGTATTTCCCGCCTTAAAGAGATTAAAAGGCAATCACCCAAAACCAACAGTGGCTACCCTCTCCGGACCCCTTCCATGCTGTGTAAGCTTTGTACTGTCACTCTGCTCAATAAAACCTACAGTTTTTTTCTTCTCTTGGTCTGTGTCTCCATCACTCGCCGCGGGCAGCCGCCACACCCAATTCTTTGGTGTGGCTAAGGCAAGAACGTTTGGCATTACATTTAATCTCAGAACCAGCAGGACCGCTCCCCAGGTGAAGTCACAGCAGCACCAGAAACATATACACTTTATTGAATGCCATTGTAGAAAAGCGTGTGAGGATAAAGGGCTGATGCAGGACTCGGCTGTGGGGACAGGGCGAGGAATGGAAGGTGGAGTAAGTGGAATACAGGTCAAGGGCAGAGCTCCTGGCCTCTGGGGGCAGGGCGAGGAATGGAAGATAGAGTACGTGGGATACAGGTCACGGGCAGAGCTCCTGGCCTCAATGATGCCTCCTGATCTATCGCTGGGCCTGGACGACCAACACTGGGATGATGATGAGCAGAATGGTCATGAAGATGCCCAAAATCAGGGCCCAGATGTTCAGGCACTTGGCGGTGGAGGCATAGGCCTGGGCCCCGGTCACGTCGCCAACCATCTTCCTGTCCCTAGACTGGGGGAGAGGAGATGGTGAGGGGACCAGGATCCCCCAGCTGAGAGCCGCGTGCTATGGCTCCAGCTCCTCACTGTCTCCTCCCTGCCCTGAGATCAGGGACCACCTCCTCCCCTTCCTCACCCGGCTCAGACTCTCCAGGAGCCTCGGGGCTCATCCTCCTTCTGCCTTGGCCCCAGCACAGGCTGTTCTCCCCACCATGGGGTGAAGTCACCTGTGAGTTCCCTTCTCACTTTCTGGGAGAGCCTGGGTGCCAGTCTGGAAGGTGAAGGTGTAATTTCTTACTGGGCTATAGGGAGAACTGCTCTGGGCTAGTGGATAGCCGGGGACAGACTCTGAGCCAGCCAGCCAGCCTCCTGGAGCCTCCTCCTAGACCTGCACTGGGCAGATTCCCCAAGCCACACACACACACAGATCACACAGACAAAGCCACTGACGTGGGCACACACAGGACAGACGTGCACACAAACTCACAGTCACAGGGACACACAAGTCCCCACCCCAGGCAGCATGTGGGCAGGTGGAGCCCCAGGCTCACCGGCACCCCCTGGATTTCCGCCAGGGCCATACGCACCTTCACGGAGTACGCGAATGCTATGAAGCCCAGGCAGCAGGTGTTCATGAAGAGGGTGTTGAACAGGGACCAGACCACATGGTCAGGCACGGAGGTCTCGCTGCGGATGTGGATCACGGTGGACATCGGGGGAGCAGGGTTGTGGGGCACCCCCAGCATAGCCACTTCCTGCTCCTCCTTGAGCATCTCGTAGTTGGGAGGCTGGCCGCTGTTGACAGGAGAGAAGGTTTGCACAATGTGGTTCATGGTGACCAGCGGTGATCGGGTTACCGGGATGGTTCTCAGTGAGCCCTCCCTTTCCCCAGTAGTTCCGTTTTCTCAACAGTTTCCTCTTCCTGGCATTTGTCAAATGCAGAGCTGGCCAGGGCCAGATAAGGGCAGAACAAATTCCTGAGGATCAAATTACTTTAGGAGAGGGAGGAAAGAGGGGCTGAGGGCTAAGAGGGGCTTCCTCTCTAGAGCCCAAAGGAGCACAAGTCTCATCTTGTTAGTGGTGTGGGGTCCTGGAGACTTCCCCTGTGTTGGGAGTCTCCACACCCCAGGCCAGCAGCTGCAGGACCTCACTGTCCCGGTTCAGGGCTCCTGCCAGGCCTGCGCTGACGCCTCCACACTCCAGGCCCCACAACCGTTTCCCCAAAGCCCTCACCTCTGCCGGGCGCCGTGGCTCACGCCTGTAATCCCAGCACTTTGGGAGGCTGAGGTGGGAGGATCATGAGGTCAGGAGATCGAGACCATCCTGGCTAACACGGTGAAACCCCGTCTCTACTAAATATACAAAAAAAAATTAGCCGGGTGTGATGGCGGGCACCTGTAGTCCCAGCTACTTGGGAGGCTGAGGTAGGAGAATGGCGTGAACCGGGGAGGCGGAGCTTGCAGTGAGCCAAGGTTGTGCCACTGCACTCCAGCCTGGGCAACAGAGCCAGACTCCGTCTCAAAAAAAAAAAAAAGCCCTCATCTCACTTGTCACAGGCCTCATCTGCTGACATCCCTTGTCCTTTGCTGGGGTTGCAGTCCTGCTCCATGCGGGTTTGGGGGTTAAAGGTCCCCGTGTCTCCTGGTGCAGGTCAGAGGGTTGGCGGCCAATGTTGCCTGCCCCAAAGGAGCCCTCCAGGCCCAGGAAAGGGGACTCTGGGAGCACTGACAGAAGAGGGGGCTGTGGGATGCCAATAGCAGAGACCTGGACGGTGGAGTTAGAAGCCATGGCCCTTTCCCCTGGAGGCCCACCTGGGTGACGGCTCCCAGACCCGCTCCACACAGCCCAGCAGCACCCACGCTGCCCAGAGCTCTGGCTGGCTGGTCCCTGGGGCACCCTCCAGATTTCCAGGTTCTGATCATCTCTGCCTCTTCCCTGGGTCCTCACACGGGTGCCAGCTGCTTCCTGTAGTTGCCGCCTGTTTTTCCCATGAACCGGTGCTGCCTCTGAGCAGCTCCTGAGGTTACAGCCTCCCTGTGGAAACACCTTGTGTGGCCTCTGGGCTTCTTCCTGGACCTTCCTTGGCAGAGGCTATTGCAGCAAACAGAGCTGATGCTGTGCACTTGAGCTTGTCAGAGGGGACAGTGCGGGTCACAGGGGCAGGAACGTGGCCTGCAGGCCTATGTGCACCGCGACCTGCGCCCTGTTTAATTCCTGATGTGCTACATGGGCCCATTTTCCTGGGCTTATTCTCCCACCAGGCCAGACTCCGCAGAGGACATCGCTGAGGGTGGAATTTACAGAGATGGGCAGCTGCTCACCCTGCTGTAGCCTTTCACCTCAGCGGGTGGTCAGGTCCACGTCAGTATTCCAGAGTTTACATGACGGTAGCGTGCAGCCGTGTAACTGCAGAGTGATGTGTTTGAGTAACGATGACTTTGGCTCTATAAGATAAATTTTATTGATAATTTCTAAGATTCCTAAGATTTAACTTTAACAATGGCTGTGTCTACCATCGACTCACAGTGCTTCTCGACGTCGAACACCCTAAGTCCTCCTCCTTCTGCTGGCTGGGGTGAGCTCTAAGGGCTTAGCCATGTCCAGGCCTCTACAGGCCTTCTATTCTGGGCCATGTCTCCCCCACACACAGAATGTCCTGGGATCTGTGTCTAGCTCTGCCGTGGGGACACCTCCCCTCTTCGTGGTCTGAAGCCCTCCTGACTGGACTGGAGTGCTGACTGAAAACCAAAAATAAAAATCTAAGCCTCCCCTGCCCCCATGACTGAATGGAGCTCCCTTGGCCAAGGGGGTCCCAAACAAACCTGAAAAACTGAATTCACAGCCTCGAAGGGACAGGGAGGTTGGACAGGCCTACTTATATCCCCTCCCTGTGGAGTTTAGGCACAACCGACCAGCATTAACACTGAGATGGAGCTCATAGTACTGACAAAACAGACTCTTCGTAGCAATAAGGTACCAAATTCCAACTGACTGTGGTACAGCGTCACATGACAGTGTAAACCCTAAATATCTGAGAAAGTTCTCAGTCGATTTAGGACCAAGGTTAAGGATGAGCGGGTGACACAGCCTCAGGAGGTCCTGACAGGGTGCGCAAGATGATCGGGGCACAGCTGGTTTTATACATTTCAGGGAGACATGGACATCAATATATGCACGACGCTCATTAGTGCAGTCTGGAAAGACGGGACAACTCGAAGTGGGGAGGGGGCTTCCAGGTCATAGGTTGAGAAGAGACAAAGGATCGCATTGTTTTGAGTTTCTGATGAGCCTTTGCAAAGGAAGCAATCAGATATGCATTATCTCAGCGAGCAAAAGGGTAAGTTTGAGTTCCATTTGTCTTTTGTCCACAAGGAAATTCCCTGTGGACAAACTGTGAGGGAGGTATATAGCTTTTTGTTTCGGCAGCAGCCGTTTTTAGGAGTAGAACGGGAGGCAGGTGTCCCTAAGCAGTTCCCAGCTTGACGTCTCCTTTTGGTTCAGTGATTTCGGGGTCCTAATATTTATTTTCCTTTCACAACAAATAGCAGGCTCTGAAGGAAATAAAAATTATTTACCCCCAAAATATATGTATTTTTATTTTTGAGACGGGGCCTTACTGTGTTGCCCAGACTGGTCTCCAGCTCCTGGGCTCAAGTGATCCACCTGCCTCATCCTCCCAAAGTGCTGGTGTGAGCCACCATGCACAGCCTCAAAATATATTTATTTGGCATATTTTGAAATGGCCTTGCACAACTGTCTCTTATTAGGGAAATTTGCATTCTGGAGAGAATCTCCTTCCCTTTCTAGGTCTTTTCCTATAGAACAGACATTTAACTAAGAGCCCTTTTTAAGGGTGGAAAAGAGAGATTTTTTTTATCATCCTTGTCTCCAGCCTGCCACCTGGAGGCCTCATCTGCATAACAAGCCCCTTGGCTTCCACAGCCCCGGTTATGTAAACTCAAGAATTTCTTTCGACTAACCAACTCTTTAGGCAAAGCTGAACTTTTTTTTTTTTTTTTTTTTTTTTTTTGGAAACGGAGTCTCGCTCTGTCAACCAGGCCGGACTGCAGTGGCGCGATCTCGGCTCACTGCAACCTCCACCTCCCGGGCTCACGCCATTCTCCTGCCTCAGCCTCCCGAGTAGCTGGGACTACAGGCGCCCGCCACCAAGTCCTGCTAATTTTTTGTATTTTTAGTAGAGACGGGGTTTCACCGTGTTAGCCAGGATGGTCTCGATCTCCTGACCTCGTGCTCCACCCACCTCGGCCTCCCAAAGTGCTGGGATTACAGGCGGGAGCCACCGCGCCCGGCCCCAAAGCTGAACTCTTTAAGCCAGCTGCCCATCAGAAAATCTTTAAATCCACAAAATGAGACAGAATAATATGGAGCGGCTGCGGGAGAACAGAACATTCTAAGCAGCAGCCTCGCATGACTAGCAAAAGAGACTGTTGAGGTTGCTGCAGAAGCGAGGGGCCGATGAGACCTTCAAAAGCAGTGTGGGCCAAGCTGGCTAAGACAGACCAGAGCCACCACGGCGCTGAATGCGACCTATGCGTCCCCTAGGACCTCCTCATAGGAACGTACTCGGCCCACACCCACCCGCACCGCGACACTTCCAGGAACACACAGATCTGCTGTAAACATGGCGGGCGCTCGGCCAAGATGGCGGCCTCCGCGTGCGGCGGGTGGCGGGTGGCGGGTGGCCCCGGGTGCCGTCCCGGGGCCGAGAGCTGCCTTGCGCGGGGCGGGCCCCGCACACCTCCGCGGTCTGTAACAAGAACCGGCGGCCCGAGTCCGCCGAGGCCAGGGGGACAAGCCGGTGACCTATGAGGACGCACACGCGCCGCACTTCGTCGCCCGCCGTGAGGGCCAGAGGTCGCTCACGCGGGGAACCCTGGTGGGGAGGACCATGCGGCGGAGCGAACGGTGGAGGATGCTTTCCGTCGCAAGTTCATGTGGGGTGCCTTCCCGGGCTGCCTGGCTGACCCGCTGGTTTTACAGTGCTGGGCCAACCGGTTGGAGATCTGTGCCCTGGTCCCGAGGCACTTGCCTGCCCGCAAGTTCTACTTCCTCGTGGGCTACAGTGAAACTTTGCTGTCCCACTTTTACAAATGTCCTCTGCCACTCCACCTCCAAACTGTGCCCTCAAAGGTTGTGTATAAGGACCTGTAGGACGATCCCTTTCTTTTGCATCAAGCTGTAGCCTGCAGAGAAGGGAAACGTGGGAAAGAAGTGGTACGCCGGGGGGAAAGGCGTCCCTCAAGAGGACTGAGGCATGGTCTCTCAGCTGCTATCCAATAAAGACCCTCTATGTTGTCTTGAAAAAAAAAATGCAAGGCACCTCAGTTCTGAGAAATCGTCACCTTCTTGCAAGAATCTTCATGATACTCCCCCGCTTGGTGAAAGAAACCCTGAAAGATGGAACCCCCACCCAAACCCCTTGCAAGTGACTCTCTCGAGTCTCCGCCCACACGGCCCTTTCTTGAGTGTGTACTTTTCACTTCTCTTTTTTTTCTTTCTTTCTTTTTTTTTTGAGAGGGAGCCTCGCTCTGTCGCCCAGACTGGAGTGCAGTGGCGCGATCTCATCTCACTGCAACTTCTGCCTACCCGGTTCAAGTGATTCTCCTGCCTCAGCCTCCCGATTAGCTGGGATCACAGGCACGCACCACCGCGCCCGGCTAATTTTTGCATTTTTAGTAGAGACAGGGTTTCGCCATGTTGGCCAGGCTGATCTCGAACTCCTGACCTCAGGTGATACACCCGCCTCAGCCTCCCAAAGTGCTGGGATTACAGGCGCGAGCCACCGCGCCTGGCCTTCACTTTTCAACAAATCTCCCTACTTTCACTATTTTCGGTCTCGTCCTTGAATTTTCTTCTTGTGCCAAGAGCCTGGACACCCGTGGGGGTCCAGGTCCCACTGGCAATTGGGGACCTCCCCAAGCCCACTGGTATCACTGTGACCTGTGACCACACCCCTTTGAGATGTCTTGCCTTTCCTGGCAGAAGCAATGTACACCTTACTCGTGAGGACTAAACTCTGACTTTTTTATCTTGCCCAAGTTCCTATCAAAGGGGTCTGGGGAATTTACCTACAAATGGTAAATTCTCATCAGATGAGTTTTGGTTTTCGTTTGTTTGTTTTGTTTTTGTATTTTCAGTAGAGACAGGTTTCACCACGTTGGCCAGGCTGGTCTCGAACTCTTGACCTCAGGTGATCTGCCTGCCGCGGCCTCCCAAAGTGCTGGGATTACAGGCATGAGCCACCATGCCCGGCCAACCAGATGAGTTTTATTTAACCCTATATATCGTGACTTACTTTCCAACCTGACTCTGGCATAACATTATGAAACAAGGAAGAAAATCAAAATACCCCAAAAACATGTTTCTTTGCCATATTTTGAAATGGCCCCTGCATAGCTGTTCTTTGTGGGGGAAAATTTGCATCTGTAAAGAATCTCAGTTAACATAGCCAGATCTTTTTCTTCCAGACCCTCCCAATCCTGAAGAGATTAATTAAGATATGAATAGGAAATATTGGTCACCTATTGTCTCTAAGGGCAGCCACTATAAGACTTCAAAAGAACTTTGGTTTCCACAATCTTTATTTTTTATTTATTTATTTTTTTGAGACGGAGTCTCTCGCTTTGTCACCCAGGCTGGAGTGCAATGGCACGATCTGATCTTGGCTCACTGCAACCTCCGCCTCCCGGGTTCAAGCGATTCTCCTGCCTCAGCCTCCTGAGTAGCTGGAATTTCAGGCACCCACCACCACGCCTGGCTAATTTTTGTATTTTTAGTAGAGATGGGGTTTCACCATGTTGGTCAGGGTGGTCACGAACTCCTGACCTCATGATTCACCCGCCTCGGCCTCCCAAAGTGCTGAGACTACAGGCGTGAGCCACCTCGCCTGGCCCTTTTTTTTTTTTTTTTTTTTTTTTTTGAGATGGAGTTTTGCTCTTGTTGCCCAGGCTGGAGTGCAATGGCGCGATCTCGGTTCACCGCAACCTCCGCCTCCTGGGTTCAAGTGATTCTCATGCCTCAGCCTCCTGAGTAGCTGGGATTACAGGCATGCGCCACCACGCCTGGCTAATTTTGTATTTTTAGTACAGACGGGGCTTCTCCATGTTGGTCACGCTGGTCTCGAACTCCTGACCTTGTGATCTGCCCGCCTTGGCCTCCCAAAGTGCTGGGATTACAGGCATGAGCCACCGCACCCGGCCACAATCTTGATCTTAACCTGAACACTCCTTTTCTACCAATCCCAAGTCTTTAGACAAGCTCAACCAATTGTCAACAAGAAAATGTTTAAACTCACCTATAGCCTGGAACACCGCTGCCCCTCCCCCCACCCCCCCCACCCCCAGCTTTGTGTTGTCCCGCCTTTCTGGACCAAACCAATGTATTTCTTAAATGTATTTGATTGATACCTCATGTCTCCCTAAAATGTATAAAACCAAGCTGTGCCCTGAGCCCCTTGGGTATATGTTCTCAGGACCTCCTGAGGGCCGCACCACAGGCCATGGTCACTCATATTTGGCTCAGAATAAATCTCTTCAAATATTTCGCAGAGTTGGACTCTTTTCGTTGACACTTGTATTGATCTATGTCTTTGCCTGCAACTTCTGTCTCCCTACAATGTATAAAACCAAGCTGTAGCCCAGCCACCTTTGGCACGTTTGCTGGAACTCTGGAGGCTGTATCATGAGCCGTGGTCAGTCATATTCGGCGTAGGACAAACCTCTTTAAATACTTTACAGAGTTAGCTTTTTTCATCCTGACCAACATGGTGAAACCCCGTCTCGACTGCAAATACAAAAACTAGCCGGGCGTGGTGGCGGGAGCCCGTAGTGCCAGCGGCTCGGGAGGCTGAGGCAGGAGAATCGCTTGAACCCGGGAGGCGGAGGTTGCCGTGAGCCAAAATCACGCCACTGCACTCCAGCCTGGGCGACAGAGTGAGACTCTGTCTCACAAAAAAAAAAAAAAAAACAAAAACAAAAGAAAAAAAGTCACCCCTCTGCTCACTGAGGTGAATGCATATATCTGGTTGCCTCCTTTGGAGAAGCAAGTCAGAAACTCAAAAGAATGCAACCTTTGTCTCTTATCTACCTGCGACCGGGAAGCGCCTCCCCACTTCGAGTCTTCCCTGCCTTGCTTTGCATTGTCCTGCCTTTCCAGACTGAACCAATGTTCATCTTACATATGTTGACTGATGTCTCCTGTGTCCCTAGAATGTATAAAACCAAACTGTGCTCCGACCACCTTGGGTACAGATCCTCAGGAGCTCCAGAGGCTGTCACAGGCACATCCTCAATCTTGGCAAAATAATCTAAATTAACCGAGACCTGTCTCAGATATTTGGGGTTCACAGGCTCAAGCACAGCAGCAAGGAACCCCCCACCCAACCATCCCCTGCAGGTGGCGAGTGTGCGTCCTGGAGGAGGGAGGGCAGCTTGGTCCTGGGCACTCAGGAGTGTGGCCGACTGGGAGACGGGGAAGCTGAGCCTTCTGGCCCGGTGCAGTTGCCACCACTGCTCCGGGGAAGGCTTGGCAGAGGAGGTTGGGAGGGAGGATCCAGGGTCTATTGTTGGCACGTGGGTGGAGGTCCACAGAGCAGGAGTTGCGTGTGTGTGTCCAGAGCTGGGGACCAAGCCAATGTCTTTGGGGGGAAGTCTGGGCTGAAGACATAAATGTGAGTCGTCAGCACACACAGGCATCTACAGCCAGAGACAAGACTGGGGCGGACCTTGAGCCCTAAACAGGACCACTCACCACAGACATTCTGGGATCAGGGAGGGCAGCCGAGGAGGCTGAGGGGAGTGTCCACCACAGGAGCCCACAGGCTCCCTGCATCCCGACACCAGTGTTAACAGCTGTTGCTGGTCCCTGGGGGTTCCCCTGCCGGCTCCTAACAGGCTGCACCCCCTGGCTTTCCCCCCATGTGGTTCTCTCCTTCTCTCTCGCGCCCTCCTCCGACAGCCGCCCTCCCTGTCCCCCTTGCAGGGATGCCTGCGCTCCTAGGGCCTGGCGCTGGTGCTCTGAGAGTGTTAGGGGCAGAGTTGAGTTCTGGGAATGAAGGGGCTGCAGTTTCAGCAGCTCTGGTTCTGAGGAGGGGGCTCCTGTACATCCCTGAATTATGAGGCCCATGGCCCTGAGGCGACACCTCCAACTCTTCTTGGCCTGGACGGAGGGGGCTCTGGCCAGTGGTCTGCCCACTGCCCACTTGGCCAGCAGCCTTTGATGGGGGTGGGGGGATGGGTGGGGGTCTCTGCCACTGCCCGGCCGTAGCCTTCCAAGCGGGGGGCTCCCAGATGGGATGTCTGTCAGGAGGGACCCTGCTGGGTGGTCCAAGGCAGCCTCGGACAGGGGCTCCCTGGGGTGGGGGCTAAGGGGCGGGCCGCACCCTCGGCCCGCAGGCTGTAATTTGTGTTATATATAGCGTTGAGGGGCTGGGCCGGGAGGGCGACAGGGCTATAAGTGAGCGGGTGCCCACCCTCCCAGCACCAGTCTGAGTGTGGAAGAGACGGCGCTGGAACCCATGGACACGGCGTATCCCCGCGAGGACACCCGGGCCCCCACGCCCAGCAAGGCCGGTGCCCACACAGCCCTCACACTGGGGGCCCCGCACCCCCCGCCTCGAGACCACTTGATCTGGTCGGTGTTCAGCACCCTCTACCTGAATCTGTGTTGCCTCGGCTTCCTGGCGCTGGCCTACTCCATCAAGGTGGGCAGGGGCCCTACCGAGGTTGCGGGGGAGGCTCCACTACTCCATCAAGGTGGGGGGAAGGGGGAGGGATGGGGAGCTCCGTGGGGGGTCCTTGCCGTGCTGGGGGCCGCGGGGGGCTCTGCTTGTCCGTGAGGGGCTCTGTGGGCACAGCTATCAGTATGGCCGGGAAAGAGCTCCTCACGAAGGCAAGGCCGGGGGGCCTCTTCTTAACGGGGTCTGGCCCATCCAAGAGCACAGAGGCCATTGGGAGGCACCCACAGAGGTCTCTGCAATCAAGAGGGGGTTCACATGCTGTGGGCTTCTGGAACAGAGGTCCCTTTGACTTCAGCTCCTGGCTGGCAGGGTGGGGGGTGTCTCAGCACCCTGGGGGACCCTCACCCATAGAGAGCTCTGATAGGCTGACACTGGCCTGGGATGGCCCCCGGGTCCATAGCTGGGGCCCCAAGGAGTATCTCCTCAGGCCACACCCCTCCATCCAGATTTTGGGTGCAGTAGGGGCCTTCCAGGTGCCCAGGGTGTGGGTGGGGAAGGGCCCCCAGGCCCCGAGGACACATAGAGATCTGGCCCTGTGGTCTGGTCTCTCTGCAGGCCCGAGATCAGAAGGTGGTTGGTGACCTGGAAGCGGCCCGGCGTTTTGGCTCCAAAGCCAAGTGCTACAACATCCTGGCCGCGATGTGGACGCTGGTGCCGCCACTGCTGCTCCTGGGGCTGGTGGTGACTGGTGCCCTGCACCTGGCCCGGCTGGCCAAGGACTCTGCCGCCTTCTTCAGCACCAAGTTTGATGACGCGGACTATGACTGACAGGCTGGGTCCTGATCTGGGGCACTAGCCCCAGGACACTGACCCCAGGCTGCTGCCCCTGGGGCCCAATACTGACTCCCCGGAGCCTGGCCCTCCTTCTGTGGGGCCTCCATCCCTGCCCCATCCTGATCCTGGGGCCCTCCAGCCCCAACATGGGCACCTAAGGCTGAACCAGTCAGACCCCGGGGTCTTCACCCTAACCCGAGAGTTCCCGGGCCCTAACTCTGCCCCCGATCCTGCCCCTCCCTCCTCACACTCCAGGCCCCTCGGTTCCACGATTAAAAGTGCCTGGTTCCAGAAAGTGCCTCCTGGCCTCTTTCCTGCCTAGCGTGGGGGAAGGAGCTGCCCTAGGGACCACCAAAGCCAAATGCCACAGGGCCAGCCCCCAGAGTCAGTGGCGGGAGCGCCCCCCGCAGCTCAGCAGCCCTGCTTGGCCCCAACTGTCCCCTTCTCTCAGCCACTGGGCGGCCTGTGGCTTACGGGGCGGAGGCCCAGAGTATTTTAGACTAAGTTTGAGAGCCCAGGCCTTTGATCTCTGCTGCTCTGTGGTTTAGCGGCCTGTGCTCCAGAACATCATGGGTGCGTCCCAACCCCACGTGTGTCCACCCCATCTCTCTGTGCGCATGTGTGTGCGTGCTCGAAGTCTGCGTGAGAGTCCGTGCCTGTGGGTGGGCTCCATCTGCGGTCTGGTGTACACCTCCTTCCTTTCTGGGTCATTCTGTCTGTCCCCATGACCCTGCGTGCCCCCTTAATTCTGAGAAATCCCAGTCCCCACGGTGGTTTCCCTCCCTCCTGGGCCAGTGAGGGTGGCTAGAAAGGCAGGGCGGGGACGATCCCATGGGTGGGGCTGGACACACACACAAACACATGTGGGAAGGATAGCAGCTTCCCTTTCTCTCTCACACACACACACACACACACACCCCAACCAAACTATATCCAGAAAGGCAGAAAATGGGCATGTGTGCAACATTCTCTGAGTCCCCTGGTGCTGGGTGCATGTTCTCATATTATTTTACCTGCGTTGTGTACCACAGCCTCCCCACACACCCACCACAGCCTGGTGATGGGAGAGGGCCAGGGACATGCACACTGCGAGGCTGCGGGGAGGCCCTGGGGCCTCGCTGAGGCCAGCCATTGCCGGGAGGTGGTGGTTAACAGCACAGTGGCCCAGGGTTCTGAGCACCCCACTCCGGGGCCCTTCCCTTCCCGGGGAATCGCCGTTGCCTGCCTGCTCTTCCTGGGCTGTGGGCAGGAATCTTTTGGTCTACTCGGAGCCCTGGGCAGCATCCCCTATCTGTGATATGCCTGCAGCCAACGGCTGGCGTGGCAGGGACTCTGAGGGCAGGCCCAGCCAGCCCTGGAGGCAGAGGTGTGTGGAGGCCATGCTGGGCGCTGGAGACAGACAGGACCAGTCCCACAGTGGACCAAGGACAAGGGCAGTGTGCCCACCTGTGCTTGCCTTGGGATAGAGACAGTGTGCCAGCCCTGAGCCTCAGGATTGGCCTGAGAAGGGATCAAACTGTGTCGGGTGCAGAGACTGGGAGGGGGTCAGCCCATGTGTGGCTGGATACGTGTCCCCAGAAAAGAGACGGTCTGCCAGTCCCCAGGCTTACTGAGGGGCAGGGACGACCTGGTCCATTCCCGGTGCTGTGGGTGAGCCACCTTGGGGGAACGGTCACCAGCACCTCCCTGCCTCAGGCTCAGGCTCCTGGGCAGGCGATGAACCCTGACCAGCCCTGCCGGCACACGTGCACTGACCATCACGACCCCCCCAAAAGGGTCACCTCAGGATGTGCAGAGGTGGCCCCACACGCGTGTGGCACGCACGTGCAGCAGGCTTCAGGCCATATCTCTCCTGCGGGCGCAAGGCTACCGACCACCCTGACTTGACACCTGTGCCCACATCACCCTGGCTCTGGGGCTGCAAAGATGAACTCCTGCTGGGGCAACCGTGGCCGGGAGAAGGGGCCCATGCTTCCCTCGGGGAACCTGCCTCTGCCTCTCGCTGCCCAGCGACAGCGTCGGATGGGACCCAGCTCTGCAGCTGAGGGAGCCTGTAGGGGCCGGGGGAGCCACGTGGAGGCGTCAGGCTGCATTCTGCGAGACTCCTGCCCGGCACTGGACTGCATGCCGGGCTGCCCCCTGACCCACAGCCCCTCTCCACTGTGGCCACGAGCCCCTGTGAGACTCCTGCCCGGCACTGGACTGCACGCCAGGCTGCCCCTGACCCACAGCCCCTCTCCACTGTGGTCATGAGCCCCTGCAAGACTCCTGCCCGGCACTGGACTGCACACTGGGCTGCCCTGACCCACGGCCCCTCTCCACTGTGGCCATGAGCCCCAGCAAGCAAGCTGCCATAAAACACGCAGTGTCCACAGGTCTCAGCCTTCTGCACCCTACACGGTTCCTGTCAGGGGAGCCGACCTCTGAGTGCTGGTCTCGGCCGCAGGTGTGCTGCAGCACATGCCTCCCCCACACGCTGCTTCTGGCAGCCGCTGAGGGTGGCAGAGACAGCAGACAGGCCTTGGGAGACCCAGGCATCCTGGCCCCCAGACCCTAGAGCTGCCTGAAAGATGTTTCCACAGGCGTCCTTGCCTCCTTCCCTCCCTCCCTGAGTCTCCGTCCAAACCTCTGCTGTCCTCCGAGGACAGGGTGCAGCGGCAACACCAGAGCAGGAGGGAGATGCAGATGCGAGGGGAGCCATGTTGCTGGGCGCGAGCCTTAAAGTTGCTGTGCTTCCCGACTCAAGTGAAAGGAGAAATGGGACCCGGGGCACGGCCCTCACTTCAGAAGGAAGCACAGCGGCTCCTCAGAGGAATAATGCTCTCCCCAGCACCAAAGCTTTAATTCCTCAGGCTGACAGCGGTGCAGGGGGCCTGGTCCTCATCAGGGTTTCAGCAGCAGATGCCATCACATCTTGTTCTTGGGAAACTGCTGACGACCGAACCCTGGGGCTGAGCTCCCAAGACAAAGGCTGGGCAGGGCCAGGGCCTTGAACCCATGCACACCTGGCTCCAGTCCCTCTGGCTGGTCCGTGGAGAGCGCTGGGGTCTCGCCCTCAAATCCCTCTCCTGTTCTCTGGTGACTTCCCACTTCCCACTCCCCCACCTCTGTCCTCACAAGCGGCGTGGCTGAGGGAAGAGAGCCATCCCACCCCACGCTGTAGCAGAGGCTGCCCAACCTGATTAAAGCTGCCCAGAGTCAAGAGGAGCCTGGGATTGAGACTAAGTCCCCTCAACTGCATGACATGAAAAGTTCCTTTTTGGCAAAGCTGCACCTGAGAGTCCTGAGGAATTCTGAAGGGGCCGAGTCCCCGTCCTTCGTGCCCCTTATCCCTGCTGTCCACGCTGAGGCCTGAGCCTGCCTCTCTGCCTTCTCAGCAGAGCGGCCGGCCGCTGTGACCACTGCTCTCAGGAGAGTGGGGGATGAGAGGCCAGAGGTGATGCAGGCTCAGACCCCGGCTTCAGGAGCTCGGGGTGGGGTCGTGGGACGGTGCGCGATAGCATCAGTCCACAGGGGCAGGCAGAGGCGGTGTGGAGATGCCACGGGGAAGCCACCTGCCCACGGGGGTCCACGGGAGTCCAGGCTACAGGCAGAAAGCCTTGAACTCAGGCCAAGCAGCATGGACCTTCCCTGAGAGCCTGGCTGCAGGTGAGGGATGGCAGGCTAGGAGGGTGCCCAGGAGGGGTGGGTGCAGACGTGGCCAGAGGGAAGGCCCAAGAGACGTCTCTGAAGCCACCGTTCCTGATTATTCAGAGGCAGGGTCCACAGTGAGTGACTCGGTGGGGCTGGAGGAACCCAGGGTGACCCAGAGGGGGCTCTGGAGCGGGTCCCTAACATCTGAAAAAGTCCTCCCAGGGAACTCGGAGCTGGAACTTCCAGGCAGCTTCGGGGGTGACATTTGTATCCGGCCAGCCGAGCGGGGAAAGGAGACCTTGTGTCCTGCAGGGAGAGAGGCAGCCTGGGGGTGAGGGGCAGCCTGGGGTCGCAGGCACCTGGGCTGTTGGGGGCTGTTCTACCTGGCAACAGGGAGAGCCGGGACTGGGATGGCCACAGCTCAGCCTCCAGGTGAGGAGCCCAGGGCCCTGCTCGAGCTGTGACCTCCACGGTCACGGAGTCCTCGGAAAAAGAGAAGTTGAGCTTGTTCCCCTGGTAGAAGATGCCGGAGACGCTCACTCTGGAGATCCCCGACAGACACACAGGGTCAAAGGTCACACCCGCTCGGGTGACCCTGTGGGAGGAGAGGCTTGTGAGGTGGCAGGTGGGGGCATGGGCTGCCCTCTGCCAGCCTCTGCACTTACCTGAACCCCGTGCACCCGAAGACCACCGCCTGCAGGAAGCCCCCCATGCCTGTCAGGAAGTTCACAGCGCCTGACCCGTCTGCATTCTCCGTCCACACCTGCAGGGGCAAGGGCAGCTGACACCAGGACCCCCAGGTCACCGTCCTCTCTGGGCTGCTGTCCCAAGATCCGGCAGGAAGCTCCAGGGGTGCACCCTGCTGTGCCTGCTCTGAGGCTGGGCTCCACTCCCACCACAAGGGGCCCAGTGGGAGGCAGGTGTGGCCAGGCTGACCTTGAAGGGTTCAGCCATGTTGGCAAAGCTCCTGTCCAGGAGGCCCCGGGCCCGCACTGCGTCCTTCAGCTCCATCCAGCCCACAGCAAACATGCTCTGGGGTCAGAGGTAAGAGGACACACAGGGGTGAGGCCCACTGCGTGGGCAGAGAAGACTGAGGCCAATGGGGTAGGAACTCCACAGCCCCAGGGTGCTCACCCAGGTCATGGCGGGGCCCTGGGGGGACGTCACAGCCTCGTAAATCTCCAGATTTTTCCTGCGAACATCAGGACTCAGGGAGAAGGGGACTGGGTATCCCAGGAGCACGACGTCTGCCTGCTTCACCACCTCTCCTACAGGGAGGTGCCGCTGACTGGAAGGTGTTCCAGGACAGACTCGAGGGTCTCGACGGCAGGGGAGGAGCCCTTGAAGGGGTCCACTCACCAGGCTCATACCCATCGAACTCCGGGTGGAAGTTCTGCTCCACGTCAAAGGGTACCTTGATCTTGTCAGCCACCGCCAGCCACTGGCTGGGGATGGGAAGACCCAGGTCCTGGGCCAGGGCAGCAGCAAAGCGCAGGCTGGAGGTGGAGGTAGGTGGGGGAGGCTGCAACCCCTACACTTCCAGCTGCTGCCTGCCTAGTGGGGGCACCGGGGCAGGTCTCCAGCTGGGGCGGGGGTGGGGTGAGGTGAGGGGATCTTGTGTCTGACCTGTTCTGGACCAGGACGTTGGTGTACACAGAGTTGTTGACCCCTGAATGGTACTCGTCGGGGGACATGACTCCTGGACACACAAGTCCAAGATGGTGCTCAGTGCAGAGTCTCAGAGGCCTTCCCTCCACGCCGGTGGTCAGCGTGGGGCTGGCACACGTGAGGTGTCTGAAAATCATCTGCTGAGTCTGGGAGCATCCACCCTTCCTCCCCGAGCCCCTCCCCACCATGGCCTCACCCCTCAGGTGGTACTTTTCCTCCCTGGGGCTCCACTCAACACGACTGCACCAAAACTCGGCCACAGCCCTGACCACGTCCCAGCCACCAGCCTCTCGAAATAGCTGCAGGTCCTGGGGAGCAGGAGGAGGCACAGAGGCCAGGGCCCCAGTCACTCTCATTCCTAGTGGCCTGTCTGTGCCCAGAAGCAAGGCCTGGCATTGAGACACCTGTCCTCAGCCAGCTTCCCAGGACCAGCCCCAAACAGGAAGCCACGAGGAGTGGGGGCTACACCAGCTGCCTGGCCACACTTGCAGGAATGGTGGGCACGCAGCACCTCACCTGGGTGGTATGGTAGTACAGCTCGAAGGCCAACACCACGGCCCCGTTGACGTGGACCTCCTGGACTCCGTAAATGTCCTCAGGGCAAACCTCTAGGCCGGAGTCTGCACTCTCCCAGGCAAACTTGGCTCCCTGAGGGGTTGGGAGGGGGCAGACTTGACCTTGTTGGAGGGGAGCGGTGGCCCCCCAACTTTCCCGTGCCCTCGCCCTGGAGGAGGGGGGGCTCGGCCTGCGCCAGGTACCCTGGCGGGTGCTACTGCTAGAAGGCCCACTGCACGTCCTCACGGGGCCAGGTGGCTTCTGCCCAGTTCTCACCGAGTGCTGACCCTGGTGCAGGGCAGCAAGGGCACCCCAGGGGGTCCTGGGCCAAAGCAGGGTCCCAGCCCGCTGCGGTTCCCACCTCCTCTCTCTCAGGTGCGGGCTGCAGGGCACTGCTGAGGCCCCACAAGCCTCAGGGTGGGGAATCTAGGATGTCCCAGCTTTGTCCAGAGGGGGCCTGGGGAGAGGGATACAGGCCTGGGAGGGGTGTGGGGGCTGCAGGCCCTGCAGGGCCCTACGGGCCAGTGCCCCAGGTCCCCTCACCTGGTAGCCCAGGTTCTGGGCGTTCTCCAGGGCCCCGTCCAGCGTGCGGATGCGGTACTCCAGGATGGCCCTGGCGGCTTCTGGGTGGAACATCAGGATACTCGGGAACATCCAGAGGTCCTGAGAGCACGGTCCCTCGTTCTAGCGCCGGACAGGCCGTCACTGCTCCCGCCCCTCCTGGCCACATTCCGCCCCGGCAGAGCTCCATCGCTGGCGTCTTCTGGGTTCCTCCTCGGCTGCCCACTCAGATCTGCAGGCCCTCCCCACCTGCCCACCCAGTTCTGTCTCCAGCCCAGACGCTCCTGGAGTTCTGGTGCTCAGCCCCACACTTCGCCTCCCCAGCCGGCGTTTGTGTGGCCTCAGAGGCTCCAGCCCGAATATGCGCATGGGCAGCTTCAGGCTGGCAGTGAATGACTCGGCCTCTGAGAGCCTCATCAAAGAAACGGCCACAGCGGCAGCACCGGGAGGCTCAGACAACGATGGAGCAGCCCCAGCACAGTCACTCTCGACACCTCCACGCCCAGCAGCCATCATGCCCCTCCGCTCTGTGCCCTCAGCGTCCCCGTCACCCCCGTCGGCCTCCAGTACCGGGCTCCACGCAGCCCCACAGGCCTTCCCAGTCCCCACAGGTCCCCGTCCTGATAGGTCCCTGGAGCTCCACTGGCCCTCAGGTAAACTCCAAGCGCCACACTACTGTCTACAAACGCTGGTGATCTGGACCTGCAGCCCTTCTCGCCTTGGTGGAGGCCCCTCCCCACGCTCTGGAAAGTGCCTCAGGCCCTCTCAGCTCTGGTCTCTGCACCTTCCATTCCCCTCACCTAGATCACTCCTCTACCAAACTCCTGCACACCTTCCAGGCCTCTTCCCTTTTGCCACAGTCCCTGTGCTTCCCCAACCATAGCCCTGGTCCCAGGGAGGGCAGAGACCGTGGACCTCCATGTGTCGCCTGCTGTGTGGCTGGTGCTGGGTGTACAGTGCTCACCTGGTCCCAGAAGACGTGGCCCCAGTAGCATTCCTCACGGCTCCCATTGGAGAGGCCCCCAGGACTGAGGCCATGGCAGATGTATCCTGGGGCCTTGGGCTGGGGCAGGGCACTGAGCAGGTAGTAGAGGGAGCCACGCAGGGCCTGGCGCAGCTGCAGGGGCCCCACCACGTCCAAGCCACATTCTACCCAGAGCTGGGCCCAGGCCTGTGCGTGAGCCGTATACAGAGCTCCCCTGGCCTGCAGCTGCAGGGCCTCAGTGAGGCAGGCCTGAGCCTCAGCCTGGCTGCCGCCCACTGCTGTCAGGAAGTCCCACGTCCTAGCCTCCTCACCTTCCCCAAGGGTCAGGTCTGGGGGTGCTGGTGTCCACAGCATGTGTACCTCTTGCTGTGGCCCCCCGGGCTGCTCAGGGGTGAGGGTGTGGCCATACAGGTACCTGTGAGAGCGTGGCCATGCCTCAGGGATGAGCTCCCTCCCTGGACTCCCTGGCTGCAAATCCAGCCCCCTCCTTACCGGGCTCCCTGGAAGTCAGGACCCTGATGCAGGTCCAGGTCTGGGCTTTCTGGGGAGAAGGCTGACCGCAGGAGCAGCGTGATGGGCCCGCTCCCCGGGGCCAGGCGGGCGATGGACACTCGGAAAGCCAGCACGTGGGGCAGCGTGCGATGCGCATAGATGCACTGGGAGGCCCGGAAGCGGGGGCCCTCCAGGGTGTGAAGAAAGGAGCCTGGGGAGGCAGAAGCGAAGGCAGGTGGGTTGCCAAGCTATGGCCTCTCTGGGGCAGGAGTGGACCACCCGACCGCTGCCTCTCCCCACAATGAGGCGGATCCCTCTGGGCCCTCGGCTGCTCGTTCCCGCTACAGCTGCACAGGAGGCCTCCAGGTGGAGGGAAGGGGGGACCCTGCGGGCCTCTGGGGCCTCCTGTCTTAGTGAGACTTCCTGTGTAAACTCAGGAGGTGCTGGTGGGATTCGATGCTGTGGTTGCCCCACCGACCTGGAACAATGCCTGGGGCAGGGGTGAGGCAGGCCAGGTGGCGCTACCTGTGTTGGTGTCCAGGGCGAAGGTCTCGGTCAGCTGCTCCCCCATCCCTGCAGGGGCCTCCAGCCGGACGTTGAGGGGGCTGGGCAGCATGGCCCGGTGCGTGTCCCCGCCAGCCCCATTGTACACGCCGCTCACGTGCAGCGTGTCGTGAAACACTCGTGTGCCCAGGTATGCGTTGGTCACAGTGGCCAAGAGACGGGGGTCACTGGGCAGAGAGTGGGCAGCAAACGTGGTGGGGTCCTCGCCGGCGTCCTCCATGGAGCTGCTGGGCCTGAGCGGCCTGATGGGGTGTCAGGGGCCGCGGGACTGGCTGGGCCTCCCTCTTGAGACCGTCTGTAATCCCCTGAAGCCTCCCTCAGAACTGGGGGGAGTTGCGGAACCAGCTGGGCAGCCCCGATTTTCCTGAGGCCCCTCCTAGACGGGGCCTCGCAGGAAAGGAGCTCGACTCTCAGAGGGGCTCAGACCCCAAAGGTTGATCTCCAGGAACCCAGCTGAGCCCCTGAGTGTGTCTCTCCCTCCTGCTACCTTAGAATTCCAGTCCTAACCCTGCTTTCCAAACGCACCCCCCACAACCCCGGTCTTGCCCCCACCCTCTGTGGTCGGGACCTGCGTCTGTTGGTGGCACGTGGGGGCGGGCGTGTGTGGAGGGTGGGGGGAGCGCTGGGCGGGATGGGGGAGGGAGTCCGGGGCTGCCGGGGCGCCGGGCGGGTGGGGGTCTCGGGGGTGTAGGCGGCTGGGGCAGGCGCGGGTGGGGGAGGGAGGATGGGGCGACCGGGGGCTGGGGGGACGGGCCGGGGCGGCCGGGAGCTGCGGGGCGGGGGCCTCTGGGACTCACCGCAGCCCCACCCGGTCGCCGGGCGCCAGCGTGGGAACCTGTGTCCCTCTGCTCCACGCCAGGGCCGGGAGGAAGGAGGAGCCGCCCGGCTGCCGCGCCACCAGGAAGGTCCGCGGTCCCCGCCCCGAGGGCCCGGGCGGTCGCTGGGAGGCGGGGGCGGTCCCTGGGCGGCGGGGGCGGTCGCTGGGCCGGGCCCGGGGGCGGGACGTGGACTCGCGGCCGCGGCCCCGGCTCCCCTCGGTCCCCGCTGGCAGCGGCCGCGTGGGTCGCGTCCGGGGGCCTGGCGTTCCCTGCACGAAGCGCCCTGAGTGAGCAAAGCTCGAGCCTGGACCCCGAGCTGCGTCCCGGGGCGGCTGTGGGTGGGGCCCGCGGGCCGGGGGTTCCCTCCCGCGCCTCCTCCCTCCGCCCGCGCCCCCGGCCGCCTCCACCTGGGTCCTCGCCTCGCTGTCGCCCGAGGGCTCGGGGGCGCTCCGAGGCCAGCGAGACTCCAGCCCCAGCCGGCGCCCGGGTTCTCGACACCGTCCGGAGAAAGAACTCGGGGTCGGGTCAGAAGGAAGCGAGAGGCTGGAAGCGAAGCGAAGGCACAGACCCGCCGCGCTCGGCGGAGCTTGGGTTTCCTCCCTGGGGGGCGGAATGATCTTTAGGGATTCTGGAAACGAAGGGGACTTCAGGGAACCCCGGCCCCCGCCGCGCCTGCCCCTTCTCCCTTATTGGGCGTTTTGCCGGGAAGGCTCATGGACGTCTCACTCGCACGGGTGTTTGGCCGTTTTCTCGCTCTCGTTTTGGGTTTTCTGTTAAACTGCGGTCCCTTTGCCTCGGTCCTGGTGCAGCTGCTGCTTGGGTTTTCCATCCTCCTGAGACCACCGGTGCAATTCCCAATTCCCATCTCAACGCCACCGCCCACCCGGACGCCGCTGGGCTCAGCCCTGGGCCCGCTCGTCCCGGTATCTCACGCTCCCTGACCCGGCCTCAATGTCCTGACCACTCGGTGCAGCCGGAGACGCCGGGGTCCAGCACGTGCTCGGAAGCCTGCTGCTCCCACAGGGTCCCCAGCACAGGTGAGGACGACTCCGCCCGTCCCGCTGCCCAGGCCGTGAGCCCCGGTTTCTCTCTGTCACCCACACAGCATCCAACCTATGGACAGGTCCTGTGGCTCCACCTCCAACACGCCGTGGGCCCACACCTCCTCCTGGAGTGGCTCAGTCGCTCCCAACTTACGCCTTTGTTGAGAACAGAACCCCCACAACATTTAAGGCAGGCCCTGCACTCTGCCCAGAAGGCAGCCATGGCGCCCAACTCACGGAGGACGATCCAAAAGCGCTCCTCACGCAAGCTCCACCCGGCGCAAACCCCCTCCTGCAACTGCCTGGGTTCCCTGACCTCATCTCCTCCCCCTCCCCTACTCCGCTGCGGCTACCTGGCTTCCTTGCTGCTTCTGGAACTTTCCAAGCACGCAAGCTCCACCCGCAAACCCCCTCCTGCACCTGCCTTGGTTCCCTGACCTCATCTCCTCCCCGTCCCCTACTCCGCTGCGGCTACCTGGCTTCCTTGCTGCTTCTGGAACTTTCCAAGCACGCAAGCTCCACCCGCAAACCCCCTCCTGCACCTTCCTGGGTTCCCTGACCTCATCTCCTCCCCCTCCCCTACTCCGCTGCGGCTACCTGGCTTCCTTGCTGCTTCTGGAACTTTCCAAGCACGCAAGCTCCACCCGCAAACCCCCTCCTGCACCTGCCTGGGTTCCCTGACCTCATCTCCTCCCCATCCCCTACTCCGCTGCGGCTACCTGGCTTCCTTGCTGCTTCTGGAGCTTTCCAAGCACGCAAGCTCCACCCGCAAACCCCTTCCTGCACCTGCCTGGGTTCCCTGACCTCATCTCCTCCCCCTCCCCTACTCCGCTGTCGCTACCTGGCTTCCTTGCTGCTTCTGGAGCTTTCCAAGCTCCCCGCCTGGCTTGCTCTGGCAGCATAATTGCCTGAAGCCCTTTTTCTCAAGACCTCTTTGGGGCTTGCCCCCTCACTCCTTCGGGTTTTCAAATGCCCAGTCGTCAGTTAGACTTCCTCAGACCCCCGTTTCATGCAACAGGAAACCCTGCGCTCCATCCATTCCCACCAGCCCCTGGTTCTGCCTAACTTTCCTCCGCAGCATTTATCCGCCCCGCCTCTGAATCTTTATTACATTGTTACTTGTTGATGCATCATAGGCCTTTTTTTTTTTTTTTTTTTTTTTTTTAGAAAGACTCTCGCTCTGTCGCCCAGGCTGGAGTGCAGTGGCGCGATCTTGGCTCACTGCAAGCTCCACCTCCCGGGTTCGTGCCATTCTCCTGCCTCAGCCTCCAGAGTAGCTGGGACTACAGCGCCCGCCACCACGCCCGGCTAATTTTTTTGTATTTTTAGTAGAGACGGGGTTTCACCGTGTGAGCCAGGATGATCTCGAACTCCTGACCTCGTGATCCACCCGCCTCGGCCTCCCAAAGTGCTGGGATTACAGGCTTGAGCCACCGCGCCCGGCCACATCACAGGCCTATTGATTGTGGTGTGTAGTTATGTATCAGATACACATTTATTTATTACTTATTAGCGATGGGGTCTCTCTCTGTGGCCCAGGCCAGAGTGTGGTGGCAAAATCATATTAGGTTGGTGCAAAAGTAATTGCGGTTTTTGCTTACTTTCCAACCAACCTAATAGCTCACTGCATCCTCGAACTCCTAAGCTCAAGCCTCGAACTCTTGCCTCAGCCTCCTGAGTATCTGGGACCACAGGCATGCGCCACCACACCTGGCACACGTATACATATAATATACGTACTTGTGCTATTGCGTTGTGTATCACATATGTGTTGTGTATGTATCGTATATATATTTATTGTATTACACTGTGTATCATATAGGTGTTTGTCTTCTTACCTAGAATGTCAGCTCTAGGAGGACAGGGGTTTTTGTGTTTTGTGAAATGAAGAAATGGAGTTAGAAAGTGGATTATAGTAGGGGATTTCCCCTGGGCAGTGATGGGGCTGAATCCAGAGTCTCCCCCCACCTCCCCACTCAGACTGGAGTCTCAGCAGCCCAGCAGGGTTGAGCAGAGAAAACTCCAGGATTCGAGGACTGTCCGCCGCGGGTCCTGTCCATCAGGGCCCCTGTCGCAGCACTTTCTGCAGTCAGGCTGCCCCCTGAGACTCACTTTCCTCACTGGGGAACCGGGGGCCACCATCCTGCCCTGTGAAAGTGGAATGCTGGAAAGATTGTGAGCACCGACCTGTATTGTACCACGCCTGGCCAGGTGTAATAGAAACCAACAGAAATGAGTCCACAGGGGAATTTACCATCAGTGCATGGGGGCTGCTCACCCACCGTGTGGTCATGCTTCCCACCCAGCACGGGGGTTCTGCGCTGTCTCCACCTGCCCTAGTCTCCCTTCCCAAAGATCTCAGACACTGGACGCCTGTGGGCCTGGGCCATAGCCTCAGGGATGGTCTCATTCCTAACAGGGAGGGACGGTGAACTGCCTACCTCCAGTCTATGTGGGCATAGTTCTGGGGGCTGTTGGGCCACACTGCAGATGGGGATCAGGCAGTGAAGGGTTATTCTGCCCCCAGGTAGGTGCTTAGTTAATTGGAGCTCTCGCTGTCATTATTGTGGCTTGGGGTCGGGGGGTGTTTTCAAGGGGAATGGCTGGAGGGTCTCAGGAGAGGAAGGTGGGTGGAGTAGTGGTGGGGCTGGGGGAGAAGGGGTACCCCAGGTGTGGAGAGAGGGGCAGGTCCTGGGCCTGTCCTGGACGGGGCAGGGTGCCGTGTCTGGGCCTCCCACATGCCTGTCTGCGGCCTCTCGGCTCAAAAGTTTCCCAAAGGCCGAGAGCAATATCCTCCTGCCCTTGGAATGGGCCGTTCTCTCCACAGGGACTTTGACTAGGGTCTTCCACCCTGCTCTGGCCACCAGAGCCTCAGAAGGTCGAGATGAGTTCCTTGGGAGGTTGTGGGTGGCCGTCCAGCGCTGGGTGTGTGATGACCAGATCCGGCTTTGCTCTCTTCACAGCCTGAAGCTCCTGTAGTGACTGCTCGCTCAGCTCCACAGAGGCCAGACTGCAGCCACACGCAGAGCAGAAGCGGGGTCAGCGGTGGGGGAAAGCAGCCAGGGCTTGGGGGCAGTGCCGTGGGGGCAGCCGGGCCGCGGGCAGTGACGGGCAGTGCCGTGGGGGTGGCCGGGCTGCGGGCAGTGACTGGGCTGTCAGCTTGGCTGTGCCACAGACACTCAGGGACAGGTGGTGTCAGTTGAGAGGTTTGTCAGAGGCTGGGGGAGGGGGCAGAGGCCGGACCTTGGGGGTGGCAAAAGGGTATCGGGGCCACTGGCCCAGGGTGCTGCCATGGGCACCAGACAACAGATGAACATTTGGTCAGACAAAGTGGTCAAGGCCCCGAGCTGTGGCCAGGGCTTCAGAGGGCAGGGCTGTCAGGGCTGGGCTCCCAGGTCAGTGTTTGAGCTCAGTCACATGGGAGGTCTCTGGGAGGGGCCCCTCTTCAGGGTCCAGGGGGAGCCCCCAGGCACCCTCCCCCTCCCCGGGTTGACAGGCTGTGTCCCCAGCACCCTTCCCACCCCTGCCTCCACCTGAGGGTCTGCAGGCCGCATCCCTGGTGCTGCAGGACTGCACACAGGTAGGTCACCATGGGGGCGGGCAGTTGGCAGCCGCTGAGATCCAGGGTGGTCAGGGCAGGGCTCTGCCGAAGCATACCCACCAGGTACTGGAGCCCTCGCTGGGGGTCAGGCAGCTGTACCCTGTGGGAGGGCCGACCTCAGGAGCTGCTGGGGTGGCGGGGGCATCCCACGGTCCCTCCCAGGCCAGGCCTCACCTGACCGTCTGCACCCTGCACTGCGGCCAGGCTAGGCCCTCACTCAGCATACGCAGTCCCGCCTCACTGAGCCTGTTGTGGAGGAGGCCCAGCTCCGTCAGTGCGGGGGCTGCCCTCAGGGCCTCAGAAAGGTCTCGGCAGACCGCGTCAGGGAGTTTGCAGTGGGACAGCCTGTGGTCAAGAAGCACAGAGATTTACCTGCAGGCGCCTCAGCCACCACACCACCTCCAACTGCACAAAATGCCCGCTGCCCGGTGGCCCAGGGTTCAGCTGAGAGATGTGTTGGTGCCACATCCTTCCCTGGACCTCGCAGAGCCTGCCCTGCCCTTTGTCACCATGCACCCCCGGGGAGCTGTGTTCATTTCTCCCTGCGACACTCTCTACGAGCTCTTCGGAGAGCTGAGACGTGTTTCAACATGTTTGCCGCACAATCGTCCACCAAGATGAGGTGGCCAACTCAGTTTATTTAGTCCGCTATTCCCTAATGGTTGGGTAGTTGTGTTGTTTCTCCTTTTTTTTTTTTCCATTATAAATAATGGTGTGCTGAACATCTTACTTTACCAGCAGAATTGCTGGGCCAAATGTGATCACCTTTTTGGTTCTTATGTTTATCTCCAGATTGCCAAATCCCCCACCCCCATATCAAGCTAATTTGCCGAGTTGCCATCAACGTAGGATGGACCTGTTTCACCATCAGTACTAGTTCCTAGATTTCCTCTTCCTTTCTGCTCACTTGGTGGTAGCTAAGAGTGACTGGCAAGTTATTGCCATGTAAGAACTGTACATGTGGCCGGGCGCGGTGGCTCATGCCTGTGATCCCAGCACTTTGGGAGGCAGAGGCGGGTGGATCACGAGGTCAGGAGATCGAGACTATCCTGGCTAACCCGGTGAAACCCTGTCTCTACTAAAAATACAAACAATTAGCCGGGCGTAGTGGCGGGCACCTGTAGTCCCAGCTACTCAGTAGGCTGAGGCAGGAGAATGGCGTGAACCCGGGAGGCGGAGCTTGCAGTGAGCTGAGATCACACCACTGCACTCCAGCCTGGGCGACAGAGCGAGGCTCCGTCTCAAAAAAAAAAAAAAAAAAAAGAACTGTACATGTGTAGCCACATTAAATCTCACCCCAACTCTCTGGATCTACTGGCTCCATTTCACAGGGGAGGAAATGGAAGCTCGGACAGATGGACTTGCTACTGGGCACGCAGAAGCCGGCTAGCATTTGCAGACAGCCTGACCTTGGAGCCTGCGCTTGAACACCTTCCTCCACTGCTTCTGAGAACCCAGCAGTTTCCAACGGCAGCCTCCCTTCAGAAGGAAAATACACTCTTGTCTTCTTTAATCCCTCCCTCAGTGTGCTTAGCTGCTTTCCACTCACCAGGACCAACCTTTTCCTACCAGTACCTAACCTGGTAATGAAGCCCCAGACCCTCATCCCCTCCTCCCTCTGCTCTGTGTGGGCAGAGCCTGCCATCTCCAGCACCCACAGGCCTCAGGCTCTGGTCTGACCCCTCAGCCTTCTTTCCTAGGTCATACTTCCGTCTCTGCCCAGGGCATCCTGCTCTCAGCCCGCTCCGTGGGAAGAGCTGGGGGTGTGGCCACTCACGTGAGGCTGCTCAGATGGCACAGTGGGTCAGTCATTGCCTGAAAGAGTGGATGAAGAAGGGAGGCTGGCAGTTGTTTTGTGGTGCCTTGAGAACTGCTGGGAGAGAGAGGAAGGTGAAGCCCACCCTGCTCCTCACAGTGCCTGCCGGAAAGGACTCCTGTCTATCTGTAGTCCTGGGGTCTCAGAGCTGCCCCTCCTCCTCACCTCCTTGCTGAGCCACCCCCTTCACACTCCCCCAACCAAACCCAGAGCAAAACCACTCATCTGTGGCCCAGGCATCATCCCACTGGGGTGTCTGAGTGAGGTCAGTGGGACGGTATCACCCACATCCTCTACATGGGTCTTTGGGTCCCCAGGCCCAGCCCCTGCCAACACCGTGACATTCATCCTCTCAACAGATGCCAAGCCCCTGGGCAGGGGCTGAATTGGAGCTATATTCAAAGGAACTCTGGCAAAAGCCTTGCCCTGGAGGAGCCGAGGGTCTGGTGGAGGTGTGGGGCAGATGTCACAGCAGGGTGGTCGAAAGGGTACTTCTGGAGCCAGTTGGGTCCCCAGCCAGCTGGGGGAGCCAGGGCAGACTTGCAGGACAGGCAGCAAACAGAATATTCTAGGTGGAGGGAAGGGCAAGTGCAGAGGCTCTGGACAGAGGGCATCGTGTGTTCCAGAGCTTATTGTCAGAAAGTAAAATGGGAAGAAGGGCTGGGCCAGAGCTGTAGGGCCATACTAGGAAGTTTTCATAGGTTGTGGGTGGCTGACGGTGGGCATGGTGAGGACACCCTGGGGAAGAAGATAGGAATTCAGTGGTTGCCTTGCAAGGAGGTGGTCAAAGCCTCCCCATCTGGGGAGCCAGGGTCTGGTCTGGAGGTGCGCCCCATGCCAGATGGACACTGAGGTGCACAGGTTTGCACCGGCACACACACCTCACACACAAGAGAGTATCTCTGCCCTGGAGACGCACCTGCCGCCACCCAGGCTGGCCTGGAGCCGCTTCCCCAGGCTCTTCTTCTTCTTCTCCTGCGCAGCAACCAATCTGCAGCTGATCAGCCGCAGTGCCTGTCCAGCAGGGCAGCACCTCACGCAGTAGCTCAGAACAGCCACGTCCATGCGGCAGAAGCGCACTCGCTGCAGCGCCAGCTCCGGGAACCGGCACAGGGCTTGGCGCACAAACGCGTCCTCCTGCGTCTCGTACAGGCAGTACAGCAACTCCAGTGGGTAGTTGGGCTCCTCTCCCTCCTCCTCCTCCTCTGGCTCTTCGGTGTCCTCGAGCCCTTTGGCCCCCTCGGTCACCTCTGGTGCCACTCCGGGGCAGCCCTGTCCCTGTCCCTGCACCCACCGCAGGGCCTCCTGCTTCACACGCTCTGAAACCATGCAGCCGAAGTGGCGCTCGATGTCGCGCATCCGCTCCGCGCTCAGCAGTCCGAAGAGGAAGCGCGTGGTGAGCACCAAGTGGCTGTGCGGCTGGGCGTCCCCACGCAGGAGTGTCCCAACGCCGCCAGCCGCGGTCCTGGGCACCCCGCCGTCCTCCAGCAGGTAGGACAGTGCCGCGAGGAACTCCTGGAAGCTCTGGTCGATGAACTGGTAGGTGACCTCTGTCTCCAGCACGCCCGGCAGCTCCTTTTTGCTGAGAAACAGCGTCTGCACTTTGGAGCCACGAAGCTCCAGTTGCTCCAGTTCCTTCTCGGCAAACTGCGCCCTGCGTCCGAGGACGCCCTCGCGGGCCAGGCGGCACAGATTGCGCAGGTCGCCCTGCAACCGGGGCCCGTCGGCTACCGGAGCCGAGCTCAGAACGCTGGTGATGAAAAGCAGGTACACTGACGTGGTGGTCTTGGACGTGCGCGACAGGTCCCGACCGAGCTCCAGCTGCTGGCGCAGCACGGTGCACACGATCCAGCACACGAAGGGCACGAAGCACAGCGCGAACAGCGTCTCGTTCTCCTTCACGAAGCGGTAGGCGCGCTCGGCCCTCCTCTCATCCCGGAAATACTTGTAGAAATACTTCTTCTTGTCCTTGTCGGAGAAGCCGCGCACCTCGGCGCACTGCGGGGAACACAGGCGGCCCTGCAGCCTCCCGGGGGCGGCGGCGCGCGTGGTCACCAGCAGGAGGGCCGTGGGCAGCAGCGCCTTGCTCAGCAGCCCGCCTAGCACCCGCGCGCCGCTCGCCGCCTCGAAGGGGTCTGTGCAGGGCGCGGCCTCGGGGCCCCCCAGCGCCGGCAGCTCGTCCGCGCCGTCCAGGATGAAGAGCAGCCGCTGCGGCTGGGCCAGCATCTGCGGCACCGGCGCGCCGCGGTCGGGGCACTGGTCCAGGATCAGGTCAGCCAGGCTGCGCGTGCCCGGCCTCTCCAGCAGCTCGCCGCAGGGCATGAAGAAGGCGAAGTCCACCTGGCCCTGGTACAGCTTGCCCGCCGCCCAGTCGTACAGGATCTTTTTGGCCGCCATGGTCTTGCCGATGCCCGCCGGGCCCTGCAGCACCACGGTCAGCGGCCGCCGGCCCTCCTCGTCGCGGCGGAAGAGGCGGTTGAAAGTGTGCGTGTCCGAGCGCCGCGCGCGCCCCGGCTCAGGCTCTTCCGCGGGCCCCATCGCCTCCTCCGGGGCGGCGCTCTCGGGCGCGATGAGCAGCTTGGTGAAGCGCTTGGTGATCTTCACGGAGCGGGCGTTCCTCTCCTTCACCCGAGCGTGCAGCTGCAGCACGTGCTCCCGGTACTTCTTCTTGTACTCTGGGCGCAGCGGGAGACAGCGCGGGGACAAGGGTCGGAGGTGGGGCAGGCTGCGCCCTCCGGGAGCCCACGCCCTCCCCGGCCCTGCTCAGGCCTCAGTTTCCTCTACGGGACCACAGCCCACGCCCCTGGCGGCCCTCCCACCCCGGTCCTCCCCGGGACCCTCCAAGTGGGGTTGGGGACACTCGTGCCCCCCCAGCGAGAGACCCACCGGACACGGAGAGCAGCGTCCCGGAGCCGAGCCCGAGCCCTGGAAGGGAAACTGGGGTGAGGTTCCGCCGAGGGCGGGAACAGGGGAAGGCGCCACGGGGGTCCGAGTCACCCTGAGGAGCACGCAGGGTCCTACCCCTGGGGCCCGCGAATTTGTGGATAAAACGCGCGGGGGCCGGGGACCGCGCCGGGGCTTCTCCGGGAAGCGGGAAGGAGGGCAGCCCAGCCTCTGCCCAGACAGGAGGGACCTCCCGCGCAGAACTCACGCTGCAGCCGCCGCTCCTGGAGCTGCGCCGCCACGTCGCGCGCGTCCGCCCTCTTGAGGGTCTTGCGGGCCACCTCCAGGGCAGGCTCCGGGCCGTAGAACTGGGCCAGCTGCTCCGCGAGGTCCACGGCGTCCGCGCGCTCCAGCCGCCCCCACGGGATGCTGCGTCCGTCCGGGCCCACGTCGCGCAGCTTGTGGCGGAAGCGCTTCAGCTGCTCTTGGCTCAGTTCCTCCAGCGCAGCCAGGAGCAGCTCGCGGGCCACCGCGAGGCGCGGCCCCGTGCTGGAGGCGGGCGGGCGCGGGTCATCGGGGAGCGGCCCTCGGGTGACCCCCGCCCGCCCCCGACTCTGGCGCCGGAGAACCCACCGCGGGCAGGGCCTCAGGGAGTCCCGGGCCAAGCATCGTCTGGATCCATGGGGTGGCGGGAGGGGGCAACGGGGAGTGACCCCAGACTTTTCCCTCCCCCGTCCCCGGACCCGGGTCGGGGCGTCTTGGTGTTCTTCGCCCTCTGAGGGTGAAGTGGGCACTGGCCGCCGCTGATCTGAGCTCTGGGGGGCACCTTCCTCCCCTGCACCTCCCTTTCTGCTTCTGTCCTTCCACACCCCAGGACAGGTCACATGCCCCGAGGGAGGTATTTCCAAGGAACCCTGAGCTCTCTTTCCTCGCTTTCCTTCTTTTCCCTCTCTTCCCGATCCCGGAGCAGAACTGGCCTCTTTGGCAGCAGACACTGCCAGGCCCAGGCTGTATTCCTGGGCCCCCACCCCTGCCACACTTTGGTGGGGCCCAGCTTGGGGCCTTGCACCAGGGCCTGAATCTGAGCCCCTGGTGGGGAACAGACTCCACAAATGCCCTCTGTGGGGAGGCAGTGCTTGGCTCCTGAGCCTGGGAGTGAGGGTGGGGGAAGGATGTGGACAAGGGTGGAGAGCCTGAGGAAGTCAGCGGGTGAGGTGGAGGCCCCAGAGGGCTGAGACCAGCCGGTTCCCAGTGACCACCCTGGGGCCAGCACTCACCTGGAGCAGGGGGCCTCTGGCTGGTCCATGGGGTCTCTTCCTCCCTGGGTCTAGCACTCCGGGGCAGAGGTGGGGATCAGAGAGGTGATTCCTTCACAGGCTGAGCTGGAGCCAAGTCTTAGAGGTTGTCCAGCCCGGTCCATTCCCCGGGTCCACACACCGCAGCTCAGCTGGCACGAGATGCTGTTGGGCACCGTGGCACACGCAGAGCATTGCCCTTTAAGGGCTCCGTTTGGTGACCTTTGATTTTCTTACTCCTTTATCCCATTAATGTTCCCCAAGAACCCCTGGGTGTGGCATCGGGGCATGGCTGTGAGCAGGCAGCTTCAGAGCAAGGTGGGTTGTGTGAAGGAGGTGGCTGGCTCAGAGCCAGGCCTTCAGCTGAGGCCTGGGGAGAGGTTAGACTCTGAAGGCAGGGGTGAGGAAAGACTTCCAGGTAGAGGGAACAGGGGGGACAGCCAGCAGCACGCACCATATATGGGAGGGAAGGCAGTCTCCAGGGAGACGCCGGGCAGGGGTCTGCACTGCAGCCTCCCCACCCGACCTGAACAGCTGGCGGGCAGAGGCTGGACGTCAGGGGTGTTCGAGACCCCTGGGACCAAATGTGAGAGTGTGTGGAACGGGGGGGTTAATATGTGGAAATGAGAGGTGCTGGGTAAAATAAGGCTGAGACCTACTGGGCTGCATTCCCAGGAGGGTAGACATTCTAAGTCACAGGATGAGACAGGAGGTTGACACAAGATACAGGTCATAAAGGCCTTGCTGATAATGGTGTAAAGAAGCTGGCCCAAAACCACCAGAACCAAGATGGCAATGAGAGTGACCTCTGGTCATCCTCACAGCTCATTACTCTAGTTACAGTACATTAGCACACTAAAAGACACTCCCACCAACACGATGACAGTTTATAAATGCCATGGCAAAGTCAGGAAGTTACCCTAT
Organism: Homo sapiens; assembly: GCF_000001405.40. Classification (NCBI taxonomy): domain Eukaryota; kingdom Metazoa; phylum Chordata; class Mammalia; order Primates; family Hominidae; genus Homo; species Homo sapiens. Next base: position 277,656 of record NC_000011.10, on the reverse strand, counting down.
ATGGTCTAAAAGGGGAGGAACCCTCAGTTCTGAGAATTGCCCACCACTTTCCTGGAAAACTCATGAATAATCCACTCCTCGTTTAGCATATAATCAAGAAATAACCATAAAAATGGGCAACCAGCAGCCTTTGGGGCTGCTCTGCCTATAGAATAGCCATTCTTTTATTCCTTTACTTTCTCAATAAACTTGCTCTCACTTTACTCTTTTTTTTTTTTTTTTTTTTTTCATGGAGTCTCGTTCTGTCGCCAGGCGGAGTGCAGTGGCACGATCTCGGCTCACTTCAAACTCCGCCTCCTGGGTTCAAGCAATTCTCCTGCCTCAGCCTCCTGAGTAGCTGGAATTACAGGCATGCACCACCATGCCTGGCTAATTTTTGTATTTTTAGTAGAGACGGGGTTTCACCATGTTGGTCAGGCTGGCCTTGAACTCTTGACCTTGTGATCTGCCTGCCTTGGACCTCCCAAAGTGCTGGGATTACTGGTGTGAGCGACCATGCCTGGCACTTTACTCTTTATGGATTTGACTCAAATTCTTTCTTGCATGAGATCCAAGAACCATGATGTCTGGATCAAGACCTCTTTCTGATAACAGTTTGGCTGTGTGTCCCCACCCAAATCTCATGTTGAATTGTAATTCCCAATGTTGGGGGAGAGACCTGGTGGCAGGTGATTGGATCATGAAGGTGGATTTCGTCCTTGCTGTTCTTGTAATAGTGAGTAAGTTCTCATGAGATCTGGTTGTTTGAAAGTGTGTAGCATGTCCCACTTTGCTCTCTCTGTCCTTTTGGCCACATGAATATTTGCCTGCTTCCCCTTTGCTTTCTGCCATGATTGTAAGTTTCCTGAGGCCTCCCCAGAAGCAAAAGTCTGTACAGCCCACAGAACCAGGAGCTAGTTAAACCTCTTTTCTTTATAAATTACCCTGTCTCAGGTATGTCTTTACAGCAATGTGAGAATAGACTAAGACAAATTATAACAAGTAAAGAGATTGAATTACTAATTACAGGGAAAAAAAACTTTCCCACAAAGAAAAGCTCTCAAGGGAATGCTTCCCAACTCATTCTCTGAGGCCTGTGACACTGATACCAAAACCAGGCAAACTCATCAGAAGAAAACTGTAAACCAATATCCTTCATGAATACAGGCATGAAAAATCCTTAACAAACTACTTCAGAAACAGAATCTATTAGCATATAAAAACAATTACAAACCATGACTAAGTGTGTTTTCTCTAAGGAGTGCAAGGTTGGTTTAACATCCAAAAATCAATTAATGTAACATATCATAGTAATACTTAAGAGGACAAAAACTGCTTGATCATCTCAATAGAGACAGAAAGAATAGTCTACATTTTCCAACACCTCTTCATGGTTAAAAACACTAAGCAAACTGGGAAGAATGGAAGGAGCTTCCCAATCAGAAAATCCCCCAATATTTGGAATAAACAATACACTTGCAAATAACACATGGGTCAAAAAACAAGTCAGAGGAATTAAAAATACGTTTAACCAAACTGGGCATAGTCCTAGCTACAGGACAGGCTTAAGTGGGAGGATTGCTAGAGTTCAAGACCATCTTTGGCAGGGTAATAAGACTTCTGTCTTTTAAAAGATAAAAAAGGCCAGGAAAGAGAGTAGGGGAACGGAGATGAAGGAGAAAATAATATATGTGTAAATATATTTATTAGCACTGAGCTATACACTTAAAATGGTAAAGATGACAAATAAAATTTTGTATTTTTATATAAATTAATATTTTTATTAAAAAATAGAGACTGAGTCTTGCTATATTGCCCAGGCTGTTCTCAAACTTTTGGCCTCCAGCCACTGCCCTCACACCTGTAATCCAAGCACTTTAGGAGGCCGAGGCAGGAGGATTGCTTGAGCTCAGGAGTTCAAGCTACAGTGAGCTATGATAATGCCACTGCACTCCAACCCAGGCAACAGAGCCAGATCCTGACTCAAAACAAAAACAAAAACAAGACATTGAATCTACAATTAATGACCTTCCAAACCAAAAAGCATTAGACCCAGATGGTTTTACTGGTGAATTATATTGAAAACATAATGAAGAAATAACAATTTCCTATAATCTTTTCCAGAAAATAGAGGCAGTAGGAACACTTCCTAACTCATTCAATGAAGGTTGTAATACCTTAATACCAAAACTAGACAAAGACATTACAAGCAAGGAAAAATAACACACTAATATTTCTCAGGAATGTAGATATAAAAATCCTCTACAAAAAGTCAGCAACCCAAACCTAACATGTGTAAAATGAATGATACATCACAACCAAGTGGGATTTACTCCAGACATTCAAGGCTGGTTTAACACTCACATGTAAATTAATGTAATTCATCACATCAATGGGCTAAAGAAGAAAAAACATGATCATATCAATAGATAAAGGAAAAGCATTTGACAAAACCCAACACCTATTTATGATAACAACTCTAGCAAGGCAGGAATAGAGTGGAACTTCCTCAACTTGATAGAGAACATCTACAAAAAAACCTACAGCTAATATCATACTTAATGTTGAGAAGCTGAATGCTTTCTCTTTAAGACTGGGAACAGGACAAGGGTGCCCCCTCTCACCACTCCTATTCAGCATTGTGCTGGAAGTCTTAGCCTTGGCAATAAGACCAGAAAAGGAGAAGAGGGTATGCAAATTGGGAAGGAAGAAATGAACTATTTTTGCTTGCACAGGACATGATTGTCTGTGTAGAAAATTCCAAAGAACAAAACATTCCTGGAACTAATAAGTGATTATAGCAAGGTTGCAGGTAGCAGGGGTAATAAGCAAAAGTCACTTGCTTGCCTAGCAACGAACAGCTGGAATTTGAAAATTAAAACATAATTATCATTTATATTAGCACCAAAAACCTGACTTAGGTATAAATCTCACAAAATATGTACATGATAAACTGCAAATCTCTGATGAAAGAAATCAAAGCTCTAAATAAATATTCCATGTTCATGGATGGGAAGACTCAATATTATTAGGATGCCAATTCTTCCCAAATCGATCTACAGATTCAATGTAATAAAAATCAAAACCATAGCAAATTATTTTGTAGATATCAAAAAACTGATTGTATGGTGGCTCACATTTGTAATCTCAGCACTTTGGGAGGCTGAGGTAGGAGGATGGTTTGAGGCCAAGAATTTGAGACCAGACTGGACAATATAATGAGACCCCATCTCTACAAAAATATAAAAATTTAACTGGGTGTGCCAGTGCATGCCTGTAACCCCAGCTACTTGGGAGGCTGAGGTGGGAGAATTGCTTGAGCCCTAGAGATTGAGGCTGTTGTAGGCCAAGGTCATGCTATTGCACTCCAGCCTGGGTGACAGCAAGACCCTTCCTCTAAAAACAAAACAAAACAAACAGAACAAAACAAAAAAAAACCTGTAAGATTTATATGGAAATGCAAAAGACTCAGAATAACCAACATGATACTGAAGAAGAACAAAGTCAGAGGACTGACGCTGCTCGGTTCAAGACTTACTGTAAAGCTACAGCAATCAGCATAGTGATATTGGCAAAAGACTGTACAGATAAATCAGTGGAACAGAATACAGAGCCCAGAATTGGCACACACAAATATAGTCAAGTGATCTGTGAAAAAGGAGCAAAGCCAATTCAAAGGAAAAGGATAGTCTTTTCAACAAATGATGCTGGAACAATTGGATAGTCTCATGAAAAACAAATAAAAAAATCTAAACACAGACTTTAAATGTTTCACAAAATTTAACTCAAATTATATCATAGACCCAAATGTTAAGTGCAAAACAACAAAACTTTTAGAAGATAGACCAAAGCATGGTGCATAAAAGAAACAATTGATAAGTGGGCTTCATTAAAATGTACAACTTCTGCCCTGGAATAGATAGTATTAAGAGAATGAGGAGACAAGCCACACACTGGGATAAAATATTTGCAAAACACATATTTGATAAAGGACTGTTATCCAAAATATACAAAGAATTATCTTTCTTTCTTTTTTCTTTGTTTTTTTCTTTTCTTTCTTTCTTTTTTTTTTTTTTAGAGACAAGGTCTTACTCTGTCGCCCAGGCTAGAGTGCAGTGGTGCGATCTTAGCTCACTGCAACCTCAAACTCCTGGGCTCAAGGGATCCTTCCCACTCAGCCTTCCAAGTAGCTAGAACTATAGGCATGCATCAACACATCTGGTTAATTTTTATTTATTTATTTAGAGACAAGGTCTCCCTATGTTGCCCAGGCTAGGGATGCTGTCCTTCTGCTCAATGGTGGGATGATATTTCAGTTCGAGGTGCAACAGTTACCAAATTTAGGTCCAAAATCCCTGAGAATCCTCAATGGAACCCATATAAATCTAAACAGCCTCATGACCCAGGGGCCACAGCTGCTTCCAGAAATCTTCAGTTCGGTTCAAAAGACAATGGCGATCTGTGTTCCGCTTCCGCAAAGGGACAGTACCAGGGTCTACCCATGTCACAGAGCACAGTTTTCCTTGAAGAAACCCTTTAGGCTTGTACCCTTCTGCACAGAGTCCTACACTCCGGACAGCAGCTGAAAATTCCCCCTCTGTTCCTGTCACTCATCGACAGCCCTTTGGTACTACACTGTCATCCGCTTCCTCTGTCCTTCTCCCCTGGGCCCCCAACATTCTGACCCCCCACACCTCTCTCCTCGATGCTAGCCCTCTCTCTCCTCTGCGCTCCTCTTGGGGGCGGCGCCGAAGACCCCGCCTCATCAACTCATCAACCTCTCCTTCTGGGACGATTCACCCCAGAGCCTTTGGGGGTCCCAAATGGAACCAAAAGTGGCAGGACCTGCTTGCTGCCAACCCGAGGTCCATCTTCCCCTCTTCTTACCGACAGAACCCTGTGTGTGTGGATCAGCAAAGTGCTTCCCCATAAAACTTTGCAGAAGGTGACCTTGGGACACAGTCTGGGCAATGAGGGGAAAGGGAGCCTGCTGGGTGGGCTTGGGTGGTGGGTGGAGCTGCCACGGCCGTTGGCTCTTGGCCTCCCTCCGTCTTTGTCCTCTTGGACATGGACACAAAACTTGGAGGTCCACGAGCAATGCCCAGGCCCAGGAGCCAGAGGAGATGACTCTGGCAGCTGGGAGGCCACCTCGGGGCTTTGTTCTGGGAGAACGACTCTCCTGTGGGTTTCGGTTTCATGCGGCCCAAGGCCTTCGTAACTCGTACACCTTGGACCTGTCTCCAAGGCCGCAGGTGGAAGGGCAACGTGCACTTGGCCCCACTTCTGACGCCTCCTTCCACAGCAATGCTCTCTGTGGCCCAATCTTCCACGAAAGCAAACTGTCCTCCAAGGCAGGTGCTGGGCGTCCAGTGCTCCTTAAGGAAGGTCTTTCCCTTCCCCACAGAGACCCAGAGAGAAAGCGCCTCCCCCATGAAGCTGCTGGTCAAATGCTCGTTCCATTGGGCACTCACTGTACCAGGAAACCTGCTAGAGCAGCCGAAGAAAGAAAGGTTCAAACTGGTCTCAAAAGTAAGACGGCCTCAACACGGAAGGGAACCTGGACACAGCTGCAACATGGACGGCCCTGAGGACATTGAATAAGCCAGACACAGAAGGACAAATGCTGTGTGTTAGCACTTACCTGAGGCCCCTAGAGCCTCCGACTCACAGAGAGAGTAGAACAGCAGGGGCCAGGGCTGTGGGAAGGGGATGGGAAATGGGTGTTTAATGGGGAGAGAGTCTCAGTTTGGGAAGATGAGAAAGCTCTGGAGAGGGACGATGGTGATGGGTGAACGATGTGAATGTACTTCATGCACACTTAGCAATGGTTAAAATGGTATATTTTATGTTATATAAATTTTACCACAATTTAAAAAATAAGACAAAAAAAGCCAGTGTATCCATAATCTGATTAATTATTAGCTCAAGTGTTTTCCCGAGATAGGTCAGGAAATCAAAGCCTCTGCTTGTTTCTTCAGGAAGGGCCCCTGGCAGGACCTTGAGAACAGCAATTGATCTGCCCCACCCTGGAGAACAGGGGCCGTAAAGTCTTATCAGGGTCATCATGCCACCAACCCTTGCCACCCTCGGAGAACAGGAGCCCGCAAGGTATCCATCCTGTATCCAATTCCCTCTCAGAGCTGAGCTGCTCAGAACGAAAGCTGTCCCCAAGTGTGGATTAATCGTGGCCGCTGGTGGCTGTGGGGTGTCCCTTCACCAGCCGGGGGCAGCCTCCCTCCCTGGCCCCCAGGCCCTGGTGGTCTTCACTGGGGAGGCAGGGCCTTGCCGCCAGGGCCTCCTGTTGGTGGGGCCTGGTGGAGGGGCATGAGTGGGACTCTCTTTCCAGAGGGGGCTGGGCCCCTCAGCCTCAGAGGCAGAACCCCCTCTTTTGCCTCATTAGGTGGATGAGAGGAGGTGCCTATCTTTGTGGAGCCCCAGGACCTGTCCCCTTTACTTCCAAGGACATAGAGGACAGGAGGCCTGGGAGGAGCAAAGAGCCAGAGGCAGAACTGCCTCCTGGGCATATGACGCTCTCCCTTGGGGCGGAAAATCCCTCTTGCCCTGCAGGGCAGGGGGCTCTCCCAGCTGCCAAGGCCATCAGGGTGGTGACATGGAAGCACTAGGGCCCTTCCTGCTGCACTTCGGGAGCCCACCAGGACCTGGGTCCCGCCTCCTCCTCATTACAGGCCCGGGGACCCTCTGCCTCCCGATCCCCTGTGCTACAGTGGACCGAGCCCCTGCCCCGAGGGTCACACCGCTGCCTGCTGGGAAAGGCAGCTGGCCCCCGTCGGGCTGGCTCTCCCTGGTCCAGTGTGCCCTCCTGGGTAGTTCCTCCTCGCTCACCAGCACAGCTCTGGTGCACACACCCACAGCAGGTCCACACGGCTGCCACACCACCTCCCTTCTCTGCTCAAATGTCTCCTCTCCCGAGGCCTCTGACCACCTGCCTAAGGTACTCCCCAAGTTTACTCTCTTGTGCATTGGTGTCCAGAGGCGGTAAAGCCTGGGGGTCTGGGGTCCTGTGCACCCTGTTGAGTGGGTGGCTGGTCCAGCTCCTGGCTCTGCCACTCACTGGTCACTCTGTGACCCTGGACACACTCTAGGTGAGTTTCTGTGTCTGTGGATGGACGGTTCCTGCTCCCTAAGGTGGTTGTGATCTCAAAGTGGTGATATTAAAACACTAAGAGTCGGGCCTGAGTGGAGCGGGGCCTCCTCCTTCACATAAATCAACTGGAAATGGACCAAGGCTGACATTTAAGAACTAAAACCATAAAACACTTAGGAAAAAATGTAGGGAAATCTTCATGACCTTGGATGATGATGATGATGATTATTATTATTATTTTTTTTTTTTTGAGACGGAGTTTGCTCCATTACCCAGGCTGCATTGCAATGGCGCGATCCCGGCTCACTGCAACTTCCACCTCCTGTGTTCAAGCGATGCTCCTGCCTCAGCCTACCTAGTAGCTGAGATTACAGGCGCCTGCCACCATGCCCGGCTAATTTTTGTATTTTTAGTAGAGATGGGGTTTCACCATGTTGGCCAGGCTGGTCTCAAACTCCTGACCTCAAGTGATCCACCTGCCTCGGCCTCCCAAAGTGCTGCGATTACAGGCGTGAGCCACCGTGCCCGGCCGACCTTGGATTCTTAGATATAACACCAAAAGCATGGGCAATGACAACAACAACAAAAAGATAAATTGTACTTCATCAAAATTAAAATCTTTTGTGCATCAAAGGACACTATCAAGGGGCTGAAGAGATCACCACAGAATGGGAGAAAATGTTTGCGAATCATATATCTGGTAAGGATTCATATACGTAATATAAAAAGGACTCCTTCAAATCAACAACCAAAACCCAAACAGCACAATTTCAAAATGAGCAAAGGACTTGAATAGACATTTCTCAAAAAAAAAAAAAGATGCGAATGACTGACAAGCACGTGAAAAGTTGCCCAACCTCGTTAGTCATTACAAAAATGCAAATGAAAAGAACAGTGAGATACCTTCTTACCTCCACTAGGATGGCAATTATTATGCAACTAAACAAAACAAACATGAAGAAAACAAGTGATGGGAAGCCTCCCATGTTGCTGGTGGGACGGTAAAATGATGCAACTGTTGAAAACAGTTTGTTTTTTCTTAAAAGACGCGGAAGAATTGAAAACAGGAACTGAAACCACACTCGTGTTCACTTTGCTAGTAGCGTTATTCATAACAGTCAAAATGTGGAAGCAACCAAGTGTTCCTAAACAGGTGAACAGACAAACAAAACTCAGTCTATCCGTACAGAGAAATGCGATTCAGGAATGAGAGCCCGACGCATGGGTGAACCTTGGGCACATCACGCTGAGTGACATGAACCTGACACAGAAGGACACGTACTGTATGAATCCACTTCTATGAAATAATTAGAACAGGCAAATCCGTAGAGACTGAAAGTAGATGAGACACGTGACCAGAGGCTGGGGGGACGGAGGAATGCAGAGTTGCTGTTTAATGGGGACGGAGTTTCTGTCTGACGGATAGAAAGGATTTTGGAAATAGTGGTGATGGTTACACAATATTGTGCATGTAACTAACATCATTGAACTGCACACTTAAAAATGATTAAAACAAAAAGAGTTCTGTTACGTCTGATCCTTTGCCACGATTTTTAAATAGCGCCTGCCCCGTGGTCAGTGCCTCCTGTGTTGGCCGCAATGCTGTGCTCCTCACAGCTGGCGCTGACCGCTATTTCCTGCTCTAGGGCGGTAGGCGGCATCTGAGAGCATGAACAAAATGCCCTACCCAGAAGGAGCTACGTCTTTGTTGGGAGACAGAAAATAAACAGGATACATAAATAAACAACACATGGATTAAACAGTGCCAAGGGCGGGGCGCGGTGGCTCATATCTGTGATCCCAGCACTTTGGGAGGCAGAGGCGGGCGGATCACTTGAGGTCAGGAGTTCGAGATCAGCCTGGCCAACATGGTGAAACCCCGTCTCTACTAAAAATACAAAAATTAGCCAGGCGTGGTGGCGGGCATCTGTAATCCCAGCTACTCGTGAGGCTGAGGCAAGAAAATAGTTTGAACCCAGGAGGCAGAGATTGCAGTGAGCAGAGATCACGCCACTGCACTCCAGCCTGTGTGACAGAGCGAGACTGCGTCTCAAAAAACAAAAACAAAAAACAAACAAAAACAGTGCCAAGGACAGAGCAGAGCGGAGAGAGGAGAATAAACGAGGGGGCAGGTCCGCGGTGGGGACGCAGTCAGGTGCAGGGCAGGGCCGTGGTCTGGCAGGAGCTGGCCCACTCAGGACACAGGAGGCCTGGGTGGCTGGGAGAGCCAGGGGGGCCGAGGAGCGGGCAAGGCTCCCTGGGCTGCTGTGGGGCTGGGGAGGGTGTGAGGGAGGGAGACGTCCGGCTCTCCTGAGGGGAAGGGAATCAGAGAGGGGCCACGCTCTGCACATGCGTAAAAAGGGTGGATCCCATGTGGCGTGTGAGATGAGAAGGGCTGAGGCAAGAGGAGGGATGGAAGTGGGGAACTAGAGCGAGGAACAGGGTTTGCAGGTAACGCCCAAGGCCCAGGTATCCTAGTTTGAGAAGCCTATTTACCAGGGAGCTGGGATGGCCGGGACCAACCCGGGCAGCAGCCGTGCAGCCCCTCCTAGTCACCACCCCCAGCCCAAGGAGGGACAGGTGAGGACTTCAAAGGGCCAAGCCCTCCAGCGTCCTCATCAGAAGCTCAGGTGAGGGCACACAACGTGAATTTACCGTTGCACAGTGCAAGCTCCAGCAAGTGAGGCTCAGCAGTGCCCTTGCAGAAGGAAGTGTTTTCCCCCAGCCTTGTCCCCGCTGCGGTGATTCCCCTCAGGGCAAAAAATCACTCCCCGGAGGCTCCCGCAGTCCCCCAGAACCATTCACTGCCCCATCTCTTCCGGGTCCACCCCACGAAGCTTGATCCACTCTCTTCACCCTCCCGGCTCCCAAAACTGTCCAGGGACCCGTGGAATTTCAGGGTCTAACAGCAGCAAAGCACCTTTTGCTCTCAAACTTCTCTGAAGTTCATTCCGCCCTCGGGCTGGCACGATGTCCTGTCCAGCTCCTCCCGCCTCCTCCTCGCCCCTCCCCCTCCTCCCCTCCTCGCTCCTCCCCCCTCCTTGCTCCTCCCCCCTCCTCGTTGCTCCTCCCCTCTCCCTCCCCCTCCCCTCCCTCCTCGCCCCTCCCCCTCCTCCTCGCCCCCCCTCCTCCTCGCTCCTCCCCCCTCCTCGCTCCTCCCCCCTCCTCGCTCCTCCCCCCTCCTCGCTCCTCCCCCCTCCTCGCTCCTCCCCCTCCTCCTCGCTCCTCCCCCTCGCTCCTCCCCCTCCTCTTCGCTCCTCCCCCCTCCTCCTCACTTCTCCCCACTCCTCCTCGCTCCTTGCCCTTCCTCCTTGCTCCTCACTCCTCCTCCTTGCTCCTCACCCCTCCATGTGGGCTGGAGATTTGTCTGTTTTGCTCACTGACACTTCCCAAGCACCTAGAACAGGGCCTGGCACCCAGTGGGAGCAGCTGATGTTTCCCGAACAAGTGAGCCCAGTAACTTTCAAACAGGCAATGGAAGCGCCAGAGGGCTTCCCCCACTGGCATTATTTTAAATTTTATAGGCAATGACTGAATATGTTAATTTTAAGAAAATCTAATAGTATAAATATGTATGAAATAAAAAGTGAAAATGACCTTTCCCTCCATGAAAGTCACTGTTCTTTCCACAAAGAATCTCTGTGAATCATTTAGTGTGGTACCACAGACCAATTCTGGGGCAATTATACAGACATTCTGTGACGCTGATCTATTTGTGCCATTACCACACTGTCTATACTTATCACTATAGCTTGATAATAAGTCTGGGGTGTCAGTTCGCCACCTTTATTCTTGTTCATGTTCATGGCTGTCTTAGCTATTCTTGTCCTTCACATTTCTGCTTTCATCTTAGAATTAGCCTTTGAATTCCCACTAATGGAAAACCTGTTGGGATTTTGGTTGGAATTTTACTGAACCTATAGTTCCATTTGGGGAGAATAAAAATTGTCAAAGTAATCTATTTTAAAATTCATGAATATAATATAACCTACCAATTATTTAAGGCATTTAAAAAACATCTCTCTAGAATGTTTTATAGTTTTCTATGTAAATATTATGCCCATCTTACATTTGATATTTTTTATGCTTTTAAAAATATCATTTGTTTGGCCAGGTGCAGTGGCTCATGCCTGTAATCCCAGCACTTTGGGAGGCCAAGGCGGGTGGATCATGAGGTCAGGAGTTCAAGACCAGCCTGGCGAATATGGCAAAACCCTGTCTCTACCAAAAATACAAAAATTAGCCAGGTTTGGTGGCACGCACCTGTAATCCCAGCTACTCCGGAGGCTGAGGCAGGAGAATTGCTCAAACCTGGGAGGTGGAGAGTGTAGTGAGCCGAGATCATGCCACTGCACTCCAGCCCGGGTGACAGGGCAAGACTCCATCTCAAGAAAAACAAACAAACAAAAAAATCTTTTTTTTTTTGCTTCATTGTCTAATTTTTTATTGATGGTACACAGAACTACAACTAATTTTGGCATATTGGCATTACAGCCAGTGGCCCTGCCAAATACATTATTAATTCTAATAGCTTATCTATAGATTCTCCTAGATTCTTGACACCCTCAACTATATCATTTTAAAATAATTATAGTTTCATTTTCTTCTTCTTTCCAATCCTTATAACTTTTATTTCTTTTTCTTGCCTTATTGCACCGGCTTGCATCTCCAGTACAATGTTGCCTTGAATTGGTGACAGTAGATATTCTTGCTTCATTCTCATTCTAAGATGAAAGGCTTTCAATATTTCAGCTTTTACTGTGATGTTTGCTTCAGACCTTATTTATTTATTTTTCTTTATTATTATTATTATTATTTGAGATGGAGTTTTGCTCTTGTTGCCCAGGCTGGAGTGCAATGGTGTGATCTCGGCTCACCGCAACCTCCACCTCCTGGATTCAAACAATTCTCTTGCCGCAGCCTCCCAAGTAGCTGGGATTACAGGCATGCACCACCAGGTCCGGCTAATTTTGAATTTTTAGTAGAGACAGGGTTTCTCCATGTTGGTCAGGCTGGTCTTGAACTCCTGACCTCAGGTGATCTGCCTGCCTCGGCTTCCCAAAGTGCTGGAATTACAGGTGTGAGCCTCCTCGCCCAGCCCTGTTTGTTTATTACAGATAAGACTAAGGAAATTTCGTCTATGCTTAGTTTGCTTCTTTCTTTTCTTTTCTTTTCTTCTCTCTCTTTTTTGCTCTTATTGCCCAGGCTGGAGTGCAGTGGCACGATTTCAGCTCACTGCAACCTCCGCCTCCTGGGTTCAAGTGATTCTCCTGCCTCAGCCTCCCGAGTAGCTGGGATTACAGGCACCTGCCACCACACCCGGCTAATTTTTGTATTTTTAGTAGAGATGAGGTTTCACCATGTTGGCCAGGCTGGTCTTGAACTCCTGACCTCAGATGATCCACCCGCCTCGGCCTCCCAAAGTGCTGGGATTACATGCGTGAGCCTCTGCACCCGGCCTTAGTTTTCTTTTTTAAAAGAAATGATGAAGGGACGTTGATTTCTATTACATGCTATTTCTGTATCAATTGAGGTAATCAAATGATTTTTTTCTTTTCCTGTTAATGTAATGAGTCGCATTATTTAAATCATTTTAAACAAGGCTATAAACCCAACCAAATGATGTGATGACATATGTTTTTATATAGGTAGATTTGATTTGCTAATGTTTTCCTTAGGATTTTTGTGTCTGTTTATGAGAGAGATTTTTATTACTTTATCAATGTCCTTAACAGGTTTTTAAAAATAAGGTTATATTTGTTTCATAAAAAGAGATAAAAAGCATTTCTTTTTTTTCCTATTATCTGGAAAAGTTTGTGTAAGATTTGTATTATTTCTTTCTTAAAAGTTTGGCAAAATCCACCAGTGAATCTATCTGTTTGAGTTTTCTTTGTGTGAAGATTTAGGTAGAATTCACTGATGAAACGATTGAGGCCTAAGTTTTTTCTCTGTGGGGAGGTTTTAAATTACAGTTTCAATTTCTTTAGCACAACTGTTCAGATATAGAACTATGTAGATTTTCTATTAATTCTCATGAGAGTTTTTTAAAGTTTCTTTTCTTCTGAGAATATGTCATATTTAATGTGTCTTCAAATTTATTGACATAAATGTTCATAATTTTCCTTTATTAACTTTTTAATATCTGTAAGATCTGTAGCAGTGCCCCCTTTTCATTCCTGAAGCGTGATATTTGTATCATCTCTCTTTTTTCTTAAACAGCCACACCTGGAGTATCTTCATTAATTTTATCAAAACAATTTTTTTCAATTTTTGTCTTGTTAACCTTCTCTATTGTGCATTTATTTTCTATTGTTATTAAGTCCTACTCTTATATTTATTTTTTCTTCTATTTTCTTGGAGTTTAATTAGCAACCTCTACATCCCCAAATTATTATTATTATTTTGAGACGGAGCCTTGCTCTGTCTCTCAGGTTGGAGTACAGCTGTAGGATCTTGGCTCACTGGAACCTCCATCTCCCAGGCTGAAGCAATTCTCATGCTCCAGCCACCATGGAGCTGGGATTACAGGTGCACACCACTATGCCAGCCTAATTTTCATAGTTTTAGTAGAGACGGGGTTTCACCATATTGGCCAGACTGGTCCTGAACTCCTGACCTCAAGCAATCTGCCCGCCTCCACCTCCCAAAGTGTTGGGGTTACAGACATGAGCCACTGCACCTGGTCACCCCCAAATTTTTTAGAAGAATGCTTTGTTTATCAGTTTTTAGATTTTATTCTTCCGTAAAAAAAAAAATCTACATGTGCCTATATGTGTGTGTGTATATATAGTATGTGTATTATAGTATGTGTATTATATATTATATATACTGTATTATATATAGTATGTGTATTATATATACATATATACACACATATATACACATACTATATGTATGTGTACATATATATAAGGATATACATAAAAATATATATATATTGCCATAAATTTACTTCAAGGCATGAGTTTATCTGGATACCACAAATTTCGATATACCATATTTTTATTATTTTCATTGTAAATGTGTTTTTTCACATTTTAAATATTCTTTTTTTTTAACTTAATGCTTTAAAAATGTTAAAACCATGCACACCATACAAAAACCAGATGTGGGCTAGATTTGACACACAGGACGTTTGCCAGCCCCTGAGACAGTATGTAGCTTTTTGGGCCCAGGTATTTTCACTGAGGATAATGTATGTGAGATTCACCCATGTGCTTTTGCGTCTTAGTAGTTTGTTCATTTTTATTGATAATTAGTGTTTCCATGTGTGGATGTGATCTGCTGCTTTTTTTTTTTTTTGAGACGGAGTTTCATTCTTGTTGCCCAGGCTGGAGTTCACTGGCGTGATCTCGGCTCGCTGCAACCTCCGCCTCCCAGGTTCAAGCGATTCTCCTGCCTCAGCCTCCTGAGTAGCTGGGATTACAGGTGCCTGCCACCACACCCAGCTAATTTTGTATTTTAAGTAGAGACGGGGTTTCTCCATGTTGGTCAGGCTGGTCTTGAACTCCCGACCTCAGGTGATCCACCCGCCTTGGCCTCTCAAAGTGCTGGGATTACAGGCGTGAGCTACCGCTCCCTGACAAATCTGTCACTTTTTTTTTTTTAAATGAGGTAGAGTTTCGCTCTGTCGCCCAGGCTGGAGTGCAGTGGCGTGATCTGGGCTCACAGCAAGCTCTGCCTCCCGGGTTCACACCATTCTCCTGCCTCAGCCTCCCAAATAGCTGGGACTACAGGCACCTGCCACCACGCCTGGCTAATTTTTTGTATTTTTAGTAGAGACGGGGTTTCACCATGTTAGCCAGGATGGTCTCAATCTCCTGACCTCGTGATCTGCCCGCCTCGGCCTCCCAAAGTGCTGGGATTACAGGCGTGAGCCACCACATCCTGACAAATCTGCTGCTTTTTAATTTGCTTTATTTGTTTAATAACTGGTATGTTTCGGACACCTTTCCATGTTGGTGTATATAAATATACTTCACTATTTTTGTCTTCATCATAGTTGCCTGTGGTTGAGGTGTACCACAAGTTATTAATCAGTGCCCTATTGATGAAAATTGGATCAGTTTCATTTCCCTCCTCTTATAAAGAGTGCTCTAGGAAACAGCCTGATGCCTGGGTTGGAGGAAGGCCTCCATGGTCAGTGCTCGAGGGAACAGCCTGATGCCTGGGTTGGAGGAAGGCTTGTCATGGCCTGATCAGGAGGTTGTGCATGTCACTCATAGCCACAGTCACATGGCCGACCCTGACAGCAGGAAAGGATAGGACATGCAGTCTAGCTATTTGTCCAGGAAGACAGGAACAGAAATTTTGGAGATCAGCTAGCAATCTCTGCTACGTTACTCATGCATATTTTCCATTGTGTGTGTGTGTGTGTGTGTTTTTTTTTTTGAGGTGGAGTTTCGCTCTTGTTGCCCAGGCTGGAGTGCAGTGGCACAATCTCTGCTCACCGCAACCTCCGCCTCCCGGGTTCAAGTGATTCTCCTGCCTCAGCCTCCCGAGTAGCTGGAATTACAGGCATGCACCTCCACGCCTGACTAATTTTTTGTATTTTTAGTAGAGATGGGGTTTCTCCATGTTGGTCAGGCTGATCTCGAACTCCGACCTCAGGTGATCTGCCTGCCTTGGCCTCTCAAAGTGCTGGGATTACAGACATGAACCACTGCACCTGGCCTCCAATGTGTTGTATTTTGCTAATTTGCATGGTACGCATGCACACACATACACACACACACCCCCACATCTGCCGTGTGGGAAACTACTTTATCAGCTAGAGTACTGTGCTTATGTGTACTTCCTTTGCTCTTAGTCTTAACAGACTTCACTCATTTCCAAAGTTACCAAGTCAGTGCCTTTCTCATCATTCCCTTCAGTGAGGTTGTTTCTGCATTTGTAACACAGTTAGATTATTTTGTCACATGCTGCATTCCATCATGGGATTCCCTGATATTCTAAATGATATTTTAACATTTGCATACATTAATGTTTACTCTTTGTACTATAAAGCTCTATGAATTTTTAATTTTTATTATTTTGAGAGAGGATCTTGCTCTGTTGTCCAGGTTGGAGTGCAGTGGCCCAATAATGTCTCACTGCAGCTTCGGCCTCCAGGCTCAAGCCATCCTCCCACCTCAGCTTCCTGAGTAGCTGGGACCACACGTGTGCACCACCATGCCTGGCTAATGTTTTTATTTTTTGTGGAGACAGGGGTCTCACTATGTTACCCAGGCTGGTCTCTAACTCCTGGGCTTAAGCAGTCCTGCCCTGGCCTCCCAAAGTGCTGGGATGACAGGCATGAGCTACTGTGCTTGGCCCTCCATGAATCTTGACAGGTGTATAGTGTCATGTAGCTACCTAGTGTCCGGCTCTTGGACTCTTTTCTTTTTTTTCTTTCTCTCTCCCTTCCTTGCTTCCTTCCTTTTCTTTTTTTTTCTTTTCTCTCTTTCTTTTTCTTTCTTTCTTTTCTTTCTCTTTTTCTTTCTTCTTTCTCTTTCTTCTTTCTTGCTTTCTTTCTCTCTTCTTGCTTTCTTTCTCTCTTCTTGTTTCTTTTTTTTTTCTTTAACATAAGTTAATGCTTTTATTTTTTATTTTTTGAGAGAGGATCTCACTGTGTCACCCAGGCTAGAGTGCACTGGCATGATTATGGCTCACTGCAGCTTTGAACTCCTGGGCTCAAGCACTCCTTCCATCTCAGCCTCCCAAGTAGCTAGGACTATAGGCGCTCTATATAGGACTAGGAGCCACCATGCCTGGCTAATTTTTAAATTTTTTGTAGAGGCAGGGTCTCAGTCTCACTATGTTGCTGAGGCAGGTCTCAGACTCCTGGCCTCAAGTGATCCACTTGCCTCAGCCTTCCAAAGTGCTGGGATTACAGGTGTGAGCCACCATGCCCAGCCCAGATCTTGGTTTCTAATACCATTCTCCAGCAGAAGGAACCAGGCCTATTGGCTTATTCTATGTTCACTTATTCCAGGACAGGGGCAGAAAATATATGAGTCTGGAGCATTTTGTGGTACCAGAAACTAAGAAAGTGTTCAAAACAAGCAAATTAAAAAGCTCCACAATTTTGAGGATATGCTAAAGGAACACAGGGCTGAAAGAAAGGAACCCAATACCCAGAGCTGGGACAATCTGAGCAACAAAATTAACCAGTGTTAATTATAACCTAAATATAAAATAAATACGCTTGAGTCCATACTGATATAAATAAATGAATCAGTAATAATAAGTGGGGAAAAGAGACAAGCCTTTAATGCAAAAGAATGACAAATAAAGCCTGTAGAGACCCCACCCCCAAAGAGGTGGAGTGTGACTGGCCATCCTTAGGTGGGGCTGTGCATAGTGACTTCCTCCCAAAGGGAACAGTATGGGAAGGGGAGTGAAAAGAGTCACTTTGCAATGAGGAAAGCTGACAGACGGTCTCACCCAGGTGGCCGAGGCCAACATCAGGAGTGAGAAGTTCTTGGTATGATGTGATGAGAAGGGCGCTGTCCCTCTGTGGTCCTCCTTCTCAAGCCCCAGAGCCCTAATCTAATCATGAGAAAAGCAGCAGCCGAACCTCAATAGAAGGGTGGGGTGTTCTACAATAAACCTGACCAGTTACCTTCAAGGTCACCGAAAAACAAGGAGAATGAGGAGCCGCCCCAGCAGACAGGAGCTCAGGAGATGTGGAGACTGAATGTAAAATGGTGTTGATCCTGGAACAGGAAATGAGGGAAAGTGTGAGGAAATCCGAATCGAGTATGGACTTCATGAAGTTCGTAACTAATGTATCAATATTGGTTCATTAATTGTGACAAATGTATTATACATATTGTATTAGCATTCTCCAGAGAAACAGAACCAACAGGATGTGTGTGCGTGCGTGTGTGTGTGTGCGCGTGCGTGTGTGTGTGTACCCACCCATCCCCAACACACATATATGTGGAGAGAGATCTATTTTGAGGAACTGTTTATGTGATTGTAGAGGCTTGGTAAGCCCGGAATCTGATAGAGGAGCCCAGGTGGCTGGAGGCCCCGAGGAAAGCTGATGCTGTGGCGGAGCCCGAGGACCATCTGGAGGTGGAATTCCTTCTTCCTCCTCAGGAGAGGTCCGTCTTTGTTCTCCTAAGATCTTCAACTGATTGGATGAAGCCCACCACATCATGGAGGGTCTTCTGCGTTTCTCAAAGTTCACCAATTTAAAGGTTAGTATTTCATCCAAAAAACACCTTTGCAGAAATATCCAGAATAATGTTTGACCAAACGTGGGCACCACGGCCCAGTCAAGCTGACACACAGCACCATCGAAACCGTCAGCGCTGGGCAATGCTGAGACTGTCGACTGACACCAGAGTCCCGAACGGGCAGGTTCCATGTGAAGAGGGCTTGGGTCAAAGCTGAGTTCCCGACGAGGGGTGTGCACAGGGGTGGGGTGGAGGGCAGAGGGCCACACCCTCCACAGGATCTCTTCCCATGAATCCCAAAGTTTCAGTAAATTCTACTAAATCTACAAGGTACTTAGTGGAAATGTGTTTTTTTAGATGAAAGGAAGGGGCCAAGTCTTAGTATCTGGCTTAATTTTTTGGAAGTGGTCATTCAGTTTTGAAGAAAATAGTGTGAAGTATCAAAGTTTTTATGTGACATGAAGATGGTATTCAAGCTTTTTTTTTTTTTTGAGATGGAGTCTTGCTCTGTCGCACAGGCTGGAGTGCAATGGCACAATCTCAGCTCACTGCAATCTCCGCCTCCCGGGTTCAAGCAATTCTCCTGTCTCAGCCTCCCGAGTAGCTAGGACTACAGGCGTTTGCCACCATGCCCAGCAAATTTTTGTATTTTTAGTAGAGACGGGGTTTTGCCACGTTGTCCAGGATGGTCTTGAACTCCTGACCTCAGGTGATCCACCTACCTTGGCCTCCCAAAGTGCTGAGATTACAGGTGTGAGCCACCGCGACCGGCTGGTTCTCAAACTTGGCTGTGTATCATACTCACCTGGGGGGTTGTTGTAACAGATTATAGGCCCACTCCACTTTCCGATTCGTTTCCAACAAGCCAGGTGATGCTGATGCTGTTGGTCCAGGAACCACACTTTAAGAACCACTATTTTACGTGAAGAAATAGGTTTCTAATGCAATAAAAAAGGAGCATGCAAATGTTTTCATGCATGTGTGCTCTTTCTGGGTCTCTGATTCGAAGAGCTCCATGGAAGAGGGCTGTGCCCCCGTCTGTGCCTCCTCCAGCAGCTTCTGTGGTTCCAAGTCTGGACACAGGGTGGTGCCATGTGCCCACAGGTGTCCACCGGACTTTCCAGGTGGTCCTGCAGGCCGAGGTGGCCTTGCAGCTTTGTGAGAGAGGGTGTGCGTGGTGGCTGGTCTCCCTCCCGCCTCCCAGGTGCGTTAGGGGTATGTCCAGGGCAAGCTTGATAGGTATGTGCTGAGTGGCTGAAGAAGGTGAGGGTGAAGATTCAGGTAACAGGACTACTTTTGTCCATCCACGGCCTTGAGCGCACCTTCCGATGCTGCCCCTGTCCAGGATGAGCCAGGATGGGCCAGGACGGGCCAGGATGAGCCAAGATGAGCCAGGATGGGCCAGGACGAGCCAGGATGAGCCAGGACGGGCCAGGATGAGCCAAGATGAGCCAGGATGGGCCAGGATGAGCCAGGATGGGCCAGGATGGGCCAGGATGGGCCAGGATGAGCCAAGATGAGCCAGGATGAGCCAGGATGGGCCAGGATGAGTCTGGAACCCTGAGCCTGCAACCCTGAATGCTCTTCAAGTCTCAGTTTCCCCAGCTGTTACGTGGGGCCTTAATCTCCATCCTGCAGCCCCACTTGGCCACCTTCTCTTTCTCTCTGGGTCACATCATTTTCTTTCTATTAAAGGGCAGACCTGGGGGTGGCGGGGAAGAGGGTCCAGGCCTCAGGATGATGACAGGAGAGGCCATCTGGGGCAGCCTTGCTGTGGGTGGGGGACTCAGGATCTTTAACCACAGGGTTTGGTTTGAACAAGTGGTTCAAACTGGGGACTAAAAACAAGGCTAGGATAAAGACCAAAGCTCACTTCTGCTTTTGTGGGGCCCCAGAAGTAGAAGCTGCGTGAGTGTGAAGTGAGGAGGACAGGTTTGTGCTTGGAAAGGTCAGAAAGGTCGGAAGACCGGTGAGTGGGCAGGTGGGAAGAGGTTGAAGGCTGTGGACGGCGTGGCCATCTGGGCTTGAGGGAGGCCGACAAAACCTCTCTCTCCTGGAGGGCAGTGTTTCCTCCTGGCATCGCTGCTCCCACCCCTGCCAGCTCCCTCCTCTCAGCCTTCATCGGGGGCATCACCCACCCAAGGCTGGGCTGGCTGGGGGCTTGTTTGGAAGCCTAACGTCCTGAAGCACAGTGGGCCTCTCCACTGCCCACCCACACACGCCACCTGCACCCCCCACTCCACTGAAGCCCAAAAAGGGCAGAGGTGGAGGCCTCCCTCGGGGGCAAGCCTGGGTGGTGGTGCAGCTAGTTCTTATCTGTAAAAGACAAAACACCATAGCCTGGGAGACTGATCCTTTGAACACGCACTCAGGTCCACAGCCTTATCCAGAACTGGACCCCAAAGCTATAATTAAAGGTTCAGGCGGAAGGGATTATTACAGAGGAGGGGCAGAGCCCCCCACTGCCTGAGGCTGGTATCAGGAGCCCAGCACTGCTGGAGATAACATTCAGGACACCCTTCTTCCTCTGGCCTCACAGGACTTGGCTCCTGCTTGAGAAACCAAGTCAGATGAAGACTGGCCAGGGACCCGGAAGGTGGGGTGGAAAGCCTAGGAAGTAGTCTCACATTTAGGACAAATGTGGTTTCTGGGGAAGAACAAAAGTAAAATCATGTTCCTAGTGAAATTTGCTCGTATCACCAATTTACCATTTCAAAACAAACAGATAGGGGCGTGATTGTCCATAGTGAGGGTGATGACCACAGCCAAGCCTGGAGGTACAGACAATGACCATGGATAAATCTGGGGGCCTAGGTGGGGTCAGATGTCCTACTGCTTCTACTGGCTCCTGGGCTTGGACTCAGCTGTGGCCTTTTTCATTGTCAGTGATAATACTGTGGGTCATTCTGAAGGAGAAGTGTAATCCCCACAGTTGTCTCTCATGTCTGACTTGGCTTTGTATCCTTCAAATCTAGCCCAGTGCCCAGCATACAATAGAAACTCCATCCATCCTTATAACAACTCCTCCAATCATCCATCCACCCACCCACCTACCCACCCATCCATCCACCCACCCATCCATCCATCCACCCATCCACTCATCCACCCATTGACTCATCCATCCACCCACCGACCCATGTATCCATCCATCCGTCCGTCCGTCCGTCCGTCCGTCCGTCCGTCCGTCCGTCCGTCCATGCATCTATCCATCCACTTATCCACTCATCTATCCATCCACCCATCCACACATCCATCCATTATGGATCCCTGCATCCATCCACCCATCCACTCCTCCCACCCACCCATCTGCCCATCCATCCATCCATCCGTGCATCTGTCCGTCCACCTATTCATAAACTCATCCATCCACCCACCATCCATCCATCCATCCATCCATCCATCCATCCATCCATCCATCCATGCATCCATGCATCCATCCACTCATCTGTTGTCCATCCACTCACCCATCCACCCATCCATTCATCCATCCATATATCCATATGCCCATCTGTCCATCCATCCATGTAACATTGACTGAAAAAGTCTGCTAAACCAGACACTGCTCCAGGCTCCAAAGATTCAGTGGTGAACACAACGGAGTCTCTGCCCTCATGGGACTTACATTCCAGCTTCAAAAACAGAGAGTAAACAAGATATATCTAAGGAGATGTCATTTGAGCAAAGCCTAAATGATCTAAAGAAACAAGTAAAAACCTGAGGGAAAGGCTGTCCAGACAAAGGCGCCAGTGAAGGGTGGGAGTGCCCTGTGTCTGGGATGTGTTTGGATTATAATCCTGAAAGACACACTCCTGAGTCTTGAAATCCTGAAAGATCAAAATATCTAAAGTGTAAAATCTCTAATATTTAAAATTCCAAAAATCACAATCACAGGAATCATAGAAATTTTTAAAAAGTAGCGCCACTTAGAAAATGAATTTGAATGTATTCTCCAAGGAAAGCCATGTCCTAAAAGAAAAAAAAAACAGCTATTCATTGTGATGCAAGACTTCAGAATATAGTTAATGGGGTCGTGGAAGTTTGCCAGCTCTTACAGAATATCTCTGCATAGTTGCCCATAATCTACTGTAATATGACTTACACAGAAAATTCGACATATATGGCTTTTTCAAGTTGAATTTTCTGTATAGTTTTTTTAGCTTTTTTCATCATCATAAATTGTCAGCATTATTTTTTTACAGTTCACTATGCTCTCATTTTATCCTTGCATCATTTCAATACTGAAGATATAAATTAGAACACTTATACAGTGTTCTAATTTGTTTTAGGCATTTTTTGCAAAACTGACTCCACAGAAGTGCATTACCACAATGTTGTCTGTGTGTGTAGGTAAAAATGGGATATTTCCTCAATAAATGAAGAGATGTCCTTTTTGTACATCTGCATTTGTGAAAAATTTCTCTAGATCTTGGTTTTTTTGGTGACTGGCTATGTGGTGGTGAACTGTTGCGGTTCTAGATTGAGCCTGTTAGAAGGCGTAGGTTGTTCATCCTGGCTTTTCGGAAGACTGCAGTTATGAACCTGGGCGCACGCAATTCCCACCCGAGCGGTAGGTGTTCATGCATTTCCCCTCTCAACACATTTCTTTACGAATACAGCTCATCTGTGCATAACTGTCATTGGTATGACTGTTTACACTTGCAGAAACATGGATATTATTATTGTCTATTTTATTGTGTGAAGTGGCCTATGATGTGTTCTGTCATATGTCATGTTTTTATGTTTCTCAAATAAATCCCCTTTAAAAATGTAAATAGATGGCCAGGCGTGGTGGCTCATGCCTGTAACCCCAGCACTTTGGGAGGCTGAGGCGGGCGGATCACCTGAGGTCAGGAGTTTGAGACCAGCCTGACCAACATGGAGAAACCCCATCTCTACTAAAAATACAAAATTAGCCAGGTGTGGTGGCAGGCGCCTGTAATCCCAGCTACTCAGAGGGCTGAGGCAGAATTGTTTGAACCCAGGAGGTAGAGGTTGCAGTGAGCGGAGATGGTGCCATTGCACTCCAGCCTGGGCAACAAGAGTGAAACTCCGTCTCAAAAATAAAAAAATGAAAAAAAAGTAAATAAATATCTTTTAAATAATTTTAAAATTATTTTTTCCAGAAATATATTTTCAGAATTTTGATTTTTCGGGATTTCAGCATGCAGAATTGTGTCTCTCTGGGCTGTGATCAGCTCATGTCTGGGATGAGGCAGGAGCCTTGGTGGGGTGCAGGGAGAGCAGATGAGGGTAGGAGCAGGACCAGCAAGGCAGGCAGTGGTCAGAGCACTCAGGCCTTGGGGGTGAGTGAAGCCTGTTGGAGGATGCTGAGCAGCGGCAGCAACAAGACCTGATTGTTCTGGAAGACTGTCTGGGCTGCTGTGTGGAGGAGCGGTTATGGAGGACAGGTTTGAGGCTGGACTTAGGGAGGGTGGGGAGTCAGCGGGCTCGATGTACACATGAGTGTCTGAGGGAAATGGAGGCTCACACTAAGACATTTGGCCTGAGCAGCTGAGAGGGGCTGCGGAAGGTTGAAGGGTGCACCACAGGGCCTTGGGAACTTGACAGTGAGGTGGGTATAAAGGCTAGTGGTCAATAGATCCCAGCAATTGTGACTGACGAGGAACAGCTGGGGTGTCAGGCCATCTGGACCAGGGCCAAACGAGGTCTGGAGAGGGTGGGTGGAAAGACCGAGAGGGGTCTGGGGCCATGAGGTCAGGCGAGGCCTGGACGAGGTGGAAAAAACCAGGAGCTCAGACACCAGCAACCAAAGAGGAAAAGGCTGGAGAAGATGCCGGACAACTGTTCTTTGCCAGCCTAGCAGACTTGTGGGTGCTTTCCTCCAACAGGAGCAGGCCGTGGGGCTCTCACATTCATCAGCTTCCTGGTTCCTGGAGGCTGGGTCTCACCCGACCTGGAGAGCTGCAAGAGCTCCATGCTGTCACTGCAGGCCCAGGACTGAAAGATCACATTAAACTGTCCTTCCACCTAATGTTCACTCTGTGATTCTTTGTGTACGTGCACCTCCACTCCCAGACGGGGAACCTCAAGGTGGTTTCCTTTACATGCCCAGTCCCAGGGATGGCTCATGTCCGCACTGGGGCACACCAGGTCACAGATGCTGGTGGCTATTTGAATGATGAGTGGTGACAAGGATGTGGATGGATGCCTGTGTCGGGGCAGGTACCTGAGAGGGCTGGAGAAGGGAGTGGATACCCCTAGGTCTCTCTTGACTAACAATAAAGATAGGACCAGCGTCTTCGTTAGTCCTTGGTGCTGGATTCTGCCCGTCTACTGTATGTGCAGGGAGGAGAAGGGCCAAGGCTACCCCCACCGTGTCTTCCCAAGGTTCCAACTCATGCTTTTTAACCTCCAGGCACAGGCTTGGCCTGGAAGCTAAGCCCAAGAAAACAGAGCCACAAGAAGAACAAAGCAGAGGGGTTTATTATAGGAACATTCTCAAACCGCAACGGAAAAGATGTCCGTACAGGTGGATGGGGATGGAGATCCACCTCGGAGTACACAGACTTCAGGGGGCCTCCTGCCTGGCACGTTCTTTCTCTCCCGTATCACCTAAGACCCTGAGACCCCCACCCTCTGCAGGAGAGACCCACAAAGAAGCCTCCTCCCTGTGGCCTGGCTCCCATCAGGGACAGTCCTGTTTTTAGAGCAAGAACAGTCTGTACTTCAGACAGGATCCCAACCCCCACCCAAATTCAATGTCGACCGTCTGAGCAGCCAGCTTCATTGGCTGCAAACGCCTCTCTCAGGTGAGTCAAAGGAGACACGACGGGGAACCAGGGGGCCCTAGGTGAGGATGTCATGGGCCTGGTGCTCCACCAGCATCTCCATGCTCTTCACATCCGTGCACCAGAACTCCAGGCGGTCCTTCATTCCCTTGATCTGAAATGGAAATCCGGACACAAGGGACGTTAAGACACGCAGGAGACACAGGCCGAGCGGCCGGCACAGCACCTGATGGGGTGACTCTACATCTCCAGCTAACTCTCTAGGGCAGCTCTAGTAAAAAGGACCTCTGAGCTGGGGGAGTGGGACGGGACTTGCCGGGTTAATTCTTTTCACAGGAACGTTAGAAAAAACTTGCATGAAAGAAAGCAGACAAGGACAGAGGAAATCCACAGGATCGCATTTCCAGCAAATGTAAGAGCGACGTGAGCTCAAATCACAGAACCAGGAACGTATCTGATCAGAGCTCCTATCTTAAGATTAAAAGGCACCGTCAGCACAACCAGTGCCATTGTCATCATAAGCTTTTAAATGCAGGGTTCAAACCCTAGGCTTGCATTAAATTAGGCTCTTAGAAAAACCCAACAGCAGTATTTCCTTCTCCAAAACCTCTTGTCTAATAATGCTGTCTTCCCAAATGGCTTCCATCCAAATGAAACTAAGACGGTATAGACACAACCCCTCAAAATCCACAGAGGTGAATAATGGGTTTCAAACACATCACCTGTTGCAAATCCAACACTCGGGGCTGCACCCAGGTCATGTGGACTCGTTTGTCCACCTCGTCTATACTGCCTTTCACCAGCCCCACCGAAAGGGCCTTCATCACCAGAAGCTCCACCTGTGCAGAGAGGGAGGCGTGTGTAAGACAAGATAGCCTGACACACCCCCATGGACCCAGATGGCTTGTGAGAAGCAGATGCCGCTCCTCCCGTCATTTTTTACTGTCTAGGGAGCACAGCGCTCACACAAGAGCCTTGACTCCTCCATGTGGCAGCTTTGCTGCTCTAACACCCTGAGCCTAGGGACCGTACCTCATTCACTGTGATTTTAGCACTTTTGGCAATTTCTTCAAAAGTGAGTTGTCTGTGATTGGCAGGTCGTGTGAAAGTCATCTGGAAAAAATTTTATTAACTATTTTAAACTATTTTTCCAAATAAAAATAGAGAACTGATAAGGATGTTTTGTCAATATTGGCTCTGAAAATAGAGATCTTATTAGTACCCCACATACTAAAAAGTTTCCTAATATTAGACATATATCTTGTTAAGAACAAGCTTTTAATGCTTAGATAAGAAGGATAACAGCAAAATGCCTTACAGGAGTTTCTGACAGTAGCCATTGTTCAATCCCCGAACAAGTACTTGAGGCCACAATTTGCCAGGGTTGACCAGGGGTGACCACGGCAAACCAGAAATCTAAGGGCCACTTCCTGACGAAGCTTAAGTTCTAGTGGGGAAAGACAGATGTGCGTGTACACAAGAAGCGACATGCAATGAGGCAACAACTGCATCACGGGGAGAGGGGCAGCTACTTCATCTCAGTTCAGATGGTCAGGGAAGGCCTCAGGGTGGTGGCAGTGGGGTGGGAGGGTGTCGTCTGAGCTAAGAGCCAAATATAAACTTAGAAGAGCAAGTGGTAGCAAAGGAAAAGGAAGGTGGTGAAGAGAGCGGCGCACAGCAGAAGCAGCACCACTGAAAGCTCACACTGCTCAGCACAGGCTTGGAGAGTGCAGCGCCCCCACCTGACCAAAATCTGAAACCACAGACAAAGTGGCTCCTGGGTGTTCGCTTACCTCCATGAGGCACAACAACTGAATTTTCCTCAGAAGCTGGGCTTCATTAGCTGCTAAATCAGGCTGTAAAGTATAGAAAGACAGAAAAATGTCTTCCATGTTTGTGCTTATCAGTTACTTAACTGGGGATCTGGAATTCGTTCTATAACAGTAGACCCAACAAAAACCAGCTAAGCAGATCCAAACATTTCACATTGCAGACTGCTGAAGCTCATTAACAACAAGTGATCTGAGCTTCATTCTTCTTAGGAAATGGAAAGAGTCGCACCTAACTGGGACACTTTGTCAAGGCAAGGAATTTACAAGGTAAGATTTGTATTAATGCTACAGACACCATTAGGCAGGGCCACAGGGTACGGGCATTTCGAGAAGACTCTCCTGGTCAAGGTGCTGTTGGGAAGGATACACCCTACTGCCCAGGGGGGTTCTTTCAAGGGCTGCTGCCGGCTCAGTGAGCCAGTGCAAGTGGAGCCCCTCTGAGGAAAAGCTTCCTTAAGTTCTAGAGACTTGTTCTGAATCAAAAGAGCAAGTTATTAATTTATAATGAAAAATATCATTGTCCTGAGAACTAGAATATACGCTTCTGCAAGATATGCATCATCTCTTCTTATGGATCAAAACGTTACCTGTGAGCACAGAATTAAACCAAGGAGACTTGTTGTTTTAATTCAAATAGCAACTCATATCCTGACACAGGTAGCCCCGATGGGGACATTTCTGCCACAAGTACTGGACAGGTCAAGCTCTGTAAAGGGCTCACTACCCCTCCAGACAGGCTTTGCTGCCTGAATAGATGCTGCCAACATGCATCTACGATTTTTTTTTTTTCTTTAAATTGCTATAACTAGCCATCTTCCTTTCTGAGTGTCACCTTTTTTTGAGATATCAATAAATAATCAGACCACAGTTAGGTCTGGCTGCATCTGTGCTTTCTGCCTCTTCACAGTGCCTTCATCTATATCTACCCTGCTCCACTATGCATGAATTTTACAAGTTTATTTTAAACTGAGAAAATTGAAAGTTTCAGAAAAATACAAAAATAACCATAATTCCTACCACAGTTAACATTTTATTAATATTTACTTCTAATAATCTCATTAAAAAAGAACATACTTATCATTAAAGCTCAAGCCCTTGTTGAGCACCTTTCCCTAACTCCCACCTTCCAGAGACAACTTCACCCAGTGCCTGCCCTCCCCTTGCACTGAGGTGAATTGGCTGTTCTCCCTGCATGGACCTCTCCCTCTCCCCGCACCCGCCGCTCTCCCCCTCCCCGCACCCGCCGCTCTCCCCCTCCCCGCACCCGCCGCTCTCCCCCTCCCTGCACCCACCGCTCTCCCATTCTCTTCACCAGGCATTTGTTCCTCCTTCATCCCATGCTCTCTCCCACCCACTCATGTTAGCCTCACACATCCCTCTTTCAGTTCAGCAAAGATACTAAACTTTTCCGTTTTCTCCGCTGAGTGCACTCTTCCCGTACCTCTTCACTCATTCCTAAGGTCACACAGACCTTAGGTCACTATGACTTCTACATCTTCTGTGACACCCCCTCCACCCAGCGTAGATGCAGGGCCCACATTCGATTCTGTTTTCTCAGAACACCCTCACTCTTTGTCTGCAGCACTGAGTAATGCTGTAGCTAACCAACCACTTAACTCTCTGCTCTATGAGAGCAAGGACTAGCCTATCTTGGTCTCCTCTTTGCCCTGTTCTTTCCTGTGTGCCTAGGGAAGACGCTCAATGAACATCTGTTGTATGAGCGAGTAGATACATGGGGGAATAAGGGCTGGGCATCGTGGGAGTCCTACCTGCTGGCCCCAGGCAGTCTTCAGAGTCTGGAACCGCTCTACGTTGCCACTGTTGAAGGCATAGAGGGTGTCAATCAGCCACTGCCGGTCAGTATTCCTCAGGGACTCCAGCACAGGGTGCATGAGCTGTGAGGATGGAGATGGTCAGCTAGTAACACTTTAGTCTCTCTCGTTAAGGAAGCTGAGCTCAGGGTCAACTTACGAGTTCTCCAAAGTTAAAAACTCCCTCGCCGAGAAGTCCTGCTAGCCCCAGCGTGAAGGCTCTCTCCTGCTGCTCAGACACTATGGTAGCAACACAGGCCCACTTACAATCCAGTCATAATAATCAGTCCTGTTTAGCTTTAAAAATCTCATATAACAAAAAGTAAAAAAACATTGTTTGTAATGGTTGTTATTACAAAGCCTTGACATTAGTCACCTCTTCTGAAGTATTGGGTTGACTTAGATTATACCAAGAACCATATATACATGGGTTTTTTGGGAGGAGCATTCATTTATTTTTTCCTAAATATATGTGAATCTATTCATATTTTCAGCTGTGCCACTTCCAGGAAGTGCCTTAAATCTCTTTTCTGCTATGGCAAGGAATAAATTTAAGTTACCTAACCTAGCTTCTTTTCAGACCAGAACTAACTTACTTTCTGTTCCTAGACAGCAAGTCTATTGTTCTCTTGACCACCTTAGTTCCTTTTCCGATATATTTTTCTTGACATACAGTAATAAAAACTGCATCAACACTGTTAAGAGTTGCTGGTCTCCTTAGCTTCAACAGTGTTTTGTGAGAAACATCTAAAATATGCTGAAAATTTATTTTCTGAACATATATTCCTTACACTTTTTCCAAAACTCACAGGTCATTTTCTTTCCACTCTCAAATCCTTGAAAGATTTAATAATTTGTCCCCATGGGTCTGGAATTTCAGTTTTCAAAACAAGGGTCTCAGCTACAGGGATTTCACGTGCCCTTTATTCTGCAGCAGAGGGGTGGGCGGGGAGGGCTCAGAAGGTGTTGGCGTCATGGTGCTTCCTACAAATACCTGTGGCTTAGGTAACAGTGAGGGACTGGAGAAGGGACAGTGAAGGAGCGAGGAGGAATTAGCCTCATTTTCATGTAAATTAAATGCTGGAGACAAATATAATGTAGAAACTAAAGGTTACACAAATCTTCCCATTTTTTTCTTCAAAACAGGATGAATCCATCTGAGTAATTTCTTTTTTGTTTGGATGAGATGGAGTCTCGCTCTGTCACCCAGGCTGGGGTGCAGTGGTACAATCTTGGCTCACTGCAACCTCCACCTCCCGAGTTCAAGTGATTCTCCTGCCTCAGACTCCTGAGTAACTGGGATTACAGGCACCCACCATCACACCTGGCTAGTTTTTTGTATTTTTAGTAGAGACAGGGTTTCACCATGTTGGCCAGGCTGGTCTCGAACTCCTGACCTCAGGTGATCCACTCACTTCAGCCTTCCAAAGTGCTGGGATTACAGGCGTGAGCCACCGTGCCCAGCCCCACCTTAGTAATTTCTGAGAACTGTCACCTCAAGCAACTCACAGATGCTAAGTTTGGAGAATATGCTCCTGTGTGACATGGATTTAATGGCCTAGGTTACCTGGTAGATCCTTGATGTCAACACAGCCCAAAAACCGCAGAGCATCTTTGTAGTAGGACGCGTGGTTTCCGATTGTTTGATAGTATTTACTGGAGAGATCATAGAAACGACTGTGAACCGATGTCACACCAGGAAGGTTGTTGAGCATTTCTTCAACATCTTCAATTGTTTCCTATACACAGGAAGGAAAATCATCTCTCTTTTTAAGTTAAAAGTTTATTTTATTTTTTTAGAGACAGGGTCTCACTCTGTTGCCTAGGGTGGTCTTGAACTCCTGGCCTCAAGTGATCCTCCCACCTCAGCCTCTGTAGTAGCTGGGATTACAGGTTCAAGCCACTGTGCTTGGCTAAGATTTTTAAAGTAATATATTGTGAGATGAAAAGCATCAACTACCAAGGCAAAGACTGATGAATGTGACCGCGTTAAAATGGAAAACTTAATCCAAAACACAGAAAAAAGTACAAAGACAAGCTACAGACTGGGAAACAATATTTACAACATTTATAACCCACCAGCAATTATGACCAAGGAAATATAAAAACACTTACAAATGAGTCAGGAGACAAGCAACACAGTAGAAAAATGGGCAAAAGACATTAACAGGCAATTGACAAATTTGGGGACACAAACAGAATGGCCAATAAACCACTAGTAATTGTGAAATGCAAATTAAACCCCCAACAAGATATAATTTCACTTCTATTAGATCAGCAAGAGTTAGAGCCTGAAACTATCAGGTGTTGAAGACATGGAGCTTCCAGAGTACTCATATGGTGCTGAGGGAGCATGTATCTGGGAAAGGCAGAGATGCACACAGCTTGTACCTGTAGTCTCTAGGCATACATCTTGGTGAGATTCTGCCCACACACAAGGGACCAGGCACAGAAATACTTATGGCAGTACTGTTTGTGATAGTAAAAAAAACAACCTAAATCTCCCTTTTTTTTTGAGACAGAGTCTCGCTCTGTTGCCCAAGCTGTAGTGCAGTGGTGCGATCTCGGCTCACTGCAACCTCCGCCTTGCAGGCTGAAGCAATTCGCTGCCTCAGCCTCCCGAGTGGCTGGGACTACAGGCGCCCGCCACCATGCCCGGCTAATTTTTGTGGTTTTAGTAGAGACGGGGTTTTACCATCTTGGCTGGGTTGGTCTTGAACTCCTGACCTTGTGATCCACCTGCCTCAGCCTCCCAAAGTGCTGGGATTACAGGTGTGACCATCGCACCTGGCCCTAAATCTCTTCAATAGGAGACTGGATACATATGTTGTGAAACACTTATACAATGAAATACCGTATAGGAGTAACAGCACATTGGTTACACATACCCACATGACTCTGAAACCTAGTATTGAGCCAATGTTAAAACGCTTGAGTTACACACCCCTATTTAATGAAGGACAAGGAAATGCATGGGCATGAGAGGGAGCCTGGCTGGGGGAGAAGTGTGGTCTGAAGGGTACTGGGACCCTGACTGTGCCGTGTGGCTTCATTCCTTCCTAAGCTGGTTGGGGCACATGGATGCCTATTACAGCATTCTGTACTGTGACTTATAGCTTTCAATATGTCTTAAAATATTTGAAAATAAAATGCACTAAGTATGCATATGGGTTAGGACTGACAATAAACAATAAAAAGTATCTTTTCAGGGCAATGAGGACATGAACACTTTAACCCTTACCCCCAATATTTTCTTTAACATTGTGATTAGCAAACACACACACACACAAACACACACACACAAACACACACAAACACACGAACACACATGCAAACACACACACACACACACACACACACACACACACACACACGTTCTGGTTCAACCAGGTGGACCAGCCACATGTCGGTTTCACTGCCACCCACATCCATACCTGTCTCCCAACTGCACCAAAACATAATTGAACATAAGAAAGACATAAAAATAGACAGGATACTTCAACAACATTTAGGAGGCAGAAGGAAGATGGAGAAATAGCACGTGACATGCCAGTGGTGTGTAGGCTGACCTTGGTCAGGGAGAACCAATGTGCTTTGGGCTGACTGAGGCCATGTGGAGTCATTATTAGACGGATGTGCTGTGGTCACACAGGGGAGTGCTCTTTTGTTTAAGGGCAACAGGCATTGTATCAGCAACTTACTCCTAAGTGGTTTTGGAAAAAAGCTACAGACACACACAAAGGCAAAAGCGGTAAAAGGTTAGCAATCGGGGGGGCTGGGCGCAGCGGCTCACGGCTGTAATCCCAGCACTTTGGGAGGCTGAGGCAGAGGGATCACTTGAGGTCAGGAGTTCCAGACCAGCCTGGCCAACATGGCGAAACCCTGTCTCTACTAAAAATACAAAAAAATTAGCCGGGCAGGGAGGCACGCGCCTGTAATTCCAGCTACTCAGGAGGTTGAGGCAGGAGAATTGCTTGAACCCGTGAGGCGGAGGTTGCGGTGGGCCGAGATTGCACCATTGCACTCCAGCCTGGGAAACAGAGCGAGACTCCGTCTTTAAAAAAAAAAAAAAAAAAAGGTTTGCAATGGGAAATTTAGGTTGGGGTATAGTAGTTCTTTGTGTTATTTTTGCAACTTTTCTGTAATGTAAAAATGTTTTAAAATAAACAGTAAAGAAG
This sequence comes from Homo sapiens, assembly GCF_000001405.40. Classification (NCBI taxonomy): domain Eukaryota; kingdom Metazoa; phylum Chordata; class Mammalia; order Primates; family Hominidae; genus Homo; species Homo sapiens. The sequence continues at coordinate 244,837 of NC_000011.10, read as the reverse complement.
AAAAATAGGTTATTTTTTTTCCTAGGGTTTTAAATAATTTTAAACCAAAGATAAATCTGTATTATGGTGATCTCACCTTTGTAACCTGTAGGTCCCCGATGTTTAATTTTAGAGCTCCAATTGCTGTTTTACACAGGATCACTGCCTCATCACTACTTTTCACCTAAGACATCAAAAACAAAAACAAGAAACCTCAGAATGTGGGCAGTTGACTAACAAAGGAAGCTAGCTACTTGTACATTAACTTAACCTTGATGACTAGAGGCCTTGTGGTCTCTAAAGGTCTGGACAGTGAGCATGAACACAAGCTGTTAAGTCATACATACTCTAAAAGGTACTAAAAGGTATTGCCCACATGCCACATTTACCTTCTCACGAGTCTTTTCCAGAAAAGTAAGAGCCACATTAGGATCTGGAAAAGAAGGAACAATCAGAAGGACCATCAACAGACTGGTTTCTGCTAACCAAGACACCCTTAGGTAGGGTAATCTTTAGGTTTTGACCATAAAGTATAATAAAAACATAATATCTGATACAGAAAACACAAAAGTTCAGTTAACTTATATTTCAATTTTAACCACCATTTGGATCTGCTCCTTTATAAAACAAAGTGAGACTTACCAGTCATCTGTCTAACTACATGAAGAATGATTTCCACGAGGGACAAAGGGTTCACCCTGAAATAAAAGCCACCAGCCTTTGAGCACCGCCGAGCATCAATGCACTCATTTTCAAAGTGAAAAACGGATGAGAGGCTTTTACCTGTGTTCAAATTCACTGATAAAGTTTTCATAAAGCTGTGAAACCAAAACATGGAGAGAAATTATAGGATGTCTTTTATTCTGCAAAACGAAGACCCCAAACACTATCTTTGGTAAAGAAGCTGCATCAATGCTATCAAGTTGGGAGTGTGCAAGCCACAGTGCCCAGCACACAGTAAGCAATGCATGTTTGCAGAATGATAGGAGACCATATCAGGGCTTACTTACATTCACATAAATGATCAACAGATTACTAAGGAATATTAGGTTTCTTCTAGTTTTGGGAATTAGAGTACTGACCTATAAGAACCTCCAGACAGATTCCTATATTCTTTCTTCCAGGTACTGTAAGCTAAATAGACTATCAGATTGAAACGCTCCCTCAGTTCTCTCCCTGTGGCTTCCGGGCTGTTGGTATTTGGACCCTTGTGAAGATGGCCTGCGCTGCCGTGTGGTCCCCAGCCTACCAGGACAGGTTTATTTGTATCTATCCTGCTTATTTAAATAATAAGAAGACCACTGTGGAAGGAAGGTGAATCCCATAAGTAAGGCTGTTGAAAATCCTACAGCCAGAGATTCAAGATCTATGTTCAGGTTTATTTGTATCTGTCCTACTCATTTAAATAATAAGACCATTGTGGAAGGAAGGTGAATCCCCATAAGTAAGACTGTTGAAAATCCTACAGCTAGAGATTCAAGATCTATGTTTAGCAGTTGGACTTAATGCATTTCTTGAGAAAAATAAAATGTTCTCTAGAGAATGGAATCGTGATGTTCAATATAAAAGCAGAATCTGGGCCCAGCTCAAACAGGAAAATGGCAGCCTCTATCTTGTACATTTCCCACCACGTTAAGTCAGTAATGTTGTGTGCAGCATAAATGATACCTAAATTAAAAACAAGGACACAAAAAAACAGGAGGTGGTGACCAAAGTCTTCAACAAGGAGAGGGAAGTAAAAAAAGGGAAAGAAAAAGACGTAACCATCCGGGCGCAGTGGCTCACGCCTGTAATCCCAGCACTTTGGGAGGCAGAGGTGGGTGGATCATGAGGTCAAGAGATTGGAACCATCCTGGTCAACATGGTGAAACCCCGTCTCTACTAAAAATACAAAAATCAGCTGGGCATGGTGGCGCGCGCCTGTAGTCCCAGCTACTTGGGAGGCTGAGGCAGAAGAATCGCTTGAACCAGGGAGGCAGAGGTTGCTGTGAGCTGAGATTGTGCCATTGCATTCCAGCCTAGGCAACAAGAGTGAAACTCCATCTCAAAAAAAAAAGAGAAAAAGAAAAAGACATAATGTAGTATCAGGATCAAGTATGCGGTACTACTGTAAGAGACCTGAATGGAGGCTTCTAATTTGTATCAAAGGAAAACAGAAGCTTTTCGTTTGCATCATTTAACTGAACTGTGAACGCTTGTGCCTCCCATCTTTATCATCGGAGTTGACAGTGAAAAAAATTTATATCAGAAGTTTGCATCTCAATTTTATGGAGTATAAAAGATTTTTTTTGACATTCAACGCAGTTTTTTTGGAAGAAAGAATATCTTAAAATGGACAATGGACTGTACAATAAGTTACTTGAAATCTTATATCTATCTTCTGTGTAAACATGTTTCAGATGAATTTCAATTAGATTTGAAATACACATTTTGTTCACCTATTAAGTTAATGAAATAAAATTTAAAACAAAAAGAGAAATGTTTGCTAATCAAACAGAATGGAGTTCCTTCAGATTTTAATTAAAGCTAATTATGCACCGTTTTCAAATTTCTTAGCCATTCAGCACACTTGAGCACTTCCTCAGACTCCATACTAGATACTACAACATAGAACGTGTAAGACAAATGATGTGTCTTCAAGGAGCTCCTGGTCCACTGAAGACAGTCTTTAAACAAATAAATGACAATACAGTGAGTTTAAGAGCAAAAAGAAAGAAAGAAAAAAAAAGGGGCAGAAGTGCATCAGCCAAAGGGAGAGGCTTCAAAGGTTACTGTAGAAGTGGCAATACTGAGTTTCAAGGAATGAAGGGCGGTTAGAGAGGTGGCCATTTGGTGTGGGAGGGGAAGAAGCTGAGAGAAGAACATTCCAGACAGTAACAAACATGTGCAAAAGCACTGAAGAAAAAAATACATTATGTTTCAGGGGCATTTCTGAGGGACACAGACTAGGAAGCACTGAAGATTGGTCTCTGTCCAGAGTGCAAGGCCGAACCAGAGGACACACATGATCATTTCTATTTTAGAAACACGCCTGGGGCAGAGAGGACAGCAGGTGAAAGAGACTGAGAGAGAACAGTCAGAGGCTAGTACTGGCCAAGACAGGAGAGTGAGGGAGCAACCGTAATGAGGATGGATGAATAATTTGAGAGAGATTTAGGGGTAACGAACCAGACTCACTCAGATGTGGGCCGGTCACAGAGAAGGAGAGCTGACAATAACCCCTGAGTTAGGGGTAACTGGGCCAAGAGCGCCTAGTGTGGGCACAGTAGGAGAGGGAACCTCCAAATGACCTTAACTTTGGATTAGGAGAGCCTGTAGTTCCTCTGGGATATGAAGGTAGAAGGATGAAAACACCCCTGTAGCAATTACATATTCCAATCAGGCACACAAGAAACAGTCAACTAAATAAAATGGCATTTTTGTCCCGGTGCTGTGGCTCACGTCTGTTATGTAGCACTTTGGGAGGCCGAGGCTGGTGGATCACGTGAGGACAGGAGTTCAAGACCAGCCTGGCCAACATGGTGAAATGCCATCTCTACTAAAACTACAAAAATTAGCCAGGTGTGGTGGCACACGCTTGTAATCCCAGCTACTTGGGAGGCTGAGGCATGAGAATGGCTTGAACTGGGGAGACGGAGGTTGCAGCGAGCTGAGATCTGCCATTGCACTCCAGCCTGGGCGACAGTGCGAGACTCTGTCCCTTTGCCCACCCAAAATAAATAAAATGGTGGCCAGGTGGTGGTTCACACCTGTAATCCCAGCACTTTGGGAGGCCAAGGCGGGTGGATCGCCTGAGGTTAGGAGTTTGAGACCAGCCTGGTCAACATGATGAAACCCTGTCTCTACTAAAAATACAAAAATTATCCAGGCGTGGTGGCGGGTGCCTGTAATCCCAGCTACTCTGGAGGCTGTGGCAGGAGAATCACTGGAACCCGGGAGGAGGAGGATGTAGTGAGCTGAGACTGTGCCATTGCACTCCAGCCTGGGTGATAAGAATGAAACTCCGTCTCAAAAAATAATAATAATAAATAAATAAAATGGCATTTTTATTACAAAAGACTATTTCAAAGATATCTTCCTTATTAGAAGGAAATGTTTGAACTTTCCTGACATGTATTAATCTAAAAAATTACCTTAAAAAAGAAGCCCACTAAGTCCAGAAAGTCAAAATTACTTCTGGTGACTATAAATTCAAAAATACTATCCATTTTACACTTATGCTAGCTGGATCCCAACAAATTTTAAAGGTTTATTCTGTCTATGGGAAAAGTAAACTCAGATCTGCCAACCTAAATAAACATCACCTTACCATGAGGTTGAGGAAATATTTTGTCATGTGTAGAAAAGTGATTTAAAGATAAGAAACCAAAGGACAGAGATAAACAATTATGAATCATCTATCGTGATGATTTAGAACCTTAGGGAACAAGTATTAAGACAGGTCTCAGGCCAGGCACAGTGGCTCCTGCCTATAATCCCAGCACTCTGGGAGGCCAAGGCAGGCAGATCACCTGAGGTCAGGAGTCTGAGACCAGCCTGGCCAACACTGGTGAAACCCCATCTCTACTAAGAAATACAAAAATCAGCTGGCTGTGGTGGTGGGCACCTGTAATCCCAGCTACTTGGGACGCTGAGGCAGAAGAATCGCTTGAACTCGGGAGGTGGAAGTTGCAGTGAGCCAAGATCGCACCATTGCACTCCAGCCCGGGCAACAAGAGCGAAACTCCGTCAAAAAAAAAAAAAAAAAAAAAAAAAAAGCAGGTCTCATTTATCATTTTCCCACATAATCCAGAAGACTGAATGTTCAGCAAAATCTCCAGGCTTACAGATGATTGTAAGTTCCTCTGAATAGTAAAATGTCAAATTGATGGCTATAAACCACAAGAAAATCTTACAAGCCCAGGTGGTGGGGTAGCAAGGTGGTAAGCTCTATTGCGAGCATATAAAAGTAATGTATTCAGGAGAAATGACTCAAAATGTAATTATAAGCTATCAGTTGCAATGCTGGTATGAATCTCTGATTCATTCAGAATCAGAGAAAGCCATCATAGAGTAAGATGTCAGGAAAAACTTCAAAGAGGAGGCTACCAGTGAGCAAATTCGTGGGGATGTGTCAGGGGATCTGGGGAAGGCTGGGAAAGAAGGTGCGTATTTGTCTACTGCTGAAAAAATTCTAAAAGTCCTCTATTACAGAGGCAGCATGACACTATACAGGACTCTCCCTCCAATCCACCTACCCTCAACCGAAGTACAAAAGGTGTTTTATTTTCCACACTACCCAGGACAGAAGTGTCTGGGCAAGCAAGCAGTGCGGCTTAAAGAAGGGGAGTGATGGAAGTTATCTAAGATTCCCACAGATAGTAATCTTCCTCATACCTTACTCCACCCTCTAACTGGGTTTGAACTTTGTTTCTAAAACTAGAGTACTAAAAAGAAGCCTATGAACTAAGATACTTAGGCATGTTGTAAGATAATACTTTATGCTAGAATTTCAAAAAAAGCCAGAATGTCAGTGTTTGAATCCTCTTCTGCCACTTATCAGCAGTGATCTATGGTAAGTTACTTAAAGTCTTATGTTTGCTTCTACATCAAAAAAGTGAGATAGTAGTATCTACTGACCAGCGTTGTCATGAAGGATATGTGAAGCGCTCAGACCAGTACCTGACGTAAAGTGACTGCTGAATATTGGAGCTTATTATTATTATTAGCATAAAGCCTATCTTATTTTCAAAAGTCCTTGAGCACATTCATATAATCTAATCTGGTATAGCAAATTATTTACCTTAATGAGACCATCTCCTTGGGCAAAGCACGGATCCTGCACAAAATCAAGCACCTGAAGTGTCAGCTGATGCCACAACCTGAAAAACATACAGCCCTTAAGACCTCTAACCTAATATCCAGTCACAGACACCTCCAGCCTTGATGATTCTATCAAGTCACAAATACAGGTTGGGTATCTCTAATCCAAAACTCCAAAACTCCAAAATTCAAAATGCTCCAAAATCCAAAACTTTTTGAGCACCAACATAGGGCTCAAAGGAAATGACCACTGGAGCATCTCAGATTTCAGATTTTTGATTTATGGATACTGAACGGGTAAGTATATATCGCAAATATTTCAAAATTTGAAAAAATACTAAATCCAAAAAAACTTTTGCCCCAATGCATTTCTTTCTTTCTTTTTTGAGACAGAGTCTGACTCTGTTGCCCAGGCTGTAGTGCAGTGGCGCCATCTCGGCTCACTGCAACCTCTGCCTCCCAGGATCAAGTGATTCTCCTGCCTCAGCCTCCCGAGTAGCAGGGATTACAGGCATGAGCCACTGCGCCCGGCCGCCCCAATGCATTTCTGATAAGGGATACTAAATCCATACTAACCAGTCTCTACGGTGTAGCAGAAAGAATGCTAAAGCAGATGTGATAAACCTGAGTTCTTTTCCTGGCTCTGCTATTGAATGGCTATGTCACTTTGAGATCACTTAACTTCTCTAAGACTCAGTTTTCCCAGGTATGAAATGGAGAACATTAATCTAGATTAACTCAAAGGGTTATTGTGAGGTTTCACTGGAAACGAGAACTTTGGAATCATACATATCTAACTTGAGATGCTGGCTCTTCTACCTATTAGCTGAGTATCTCAGGGAAGGCAATTAAAATGAGCTTCAGTTTCCTCCTCTGTGAAAAGGATGAATAAAGGATTAAATAAGCTAATATTTAAAACCTCAGGGACAGTGACATAGCGCTTCATCCAAAACCCAAAGGCTAATATTTAATAACGCAGATAAAATGCTTTGAAAATTACCAAGTGCTATCCAACACAAACCATTATTTGCCAAACATTAATTTGCTCTCAAAAACTGCTAATAGCAGAAGGCTGCTGAATGCTAAACATCATCAAAACATGTATGGAACATCTATGTGAAAGGTATTATATTAAATGCTAGGGTTAACAGGGAGGTTACTACAGGAGATGTATTTTCTATGGAATAGCTCCAGCCCAATGCCAGCAATTTATTCTACTCATATTAAAAGGAGGTTAGTGCTTAGCAAGAATTTAATTGCTCTGCAATTCATCCTGTTTCTAAACAAACCTAAACTTTAAGATCTTTCTAGGGGCAGAAAGCCCATGAGAAATACAATGGAAGGTAAAGACAATGGGACGGCGGAAGTGGTTGCACCCCGTGCAACCAGCTGCAGAATGAATAGGGAAAACAGCAAAGCTGTACTAGCCTCTGGTTTATCAACTCCAGACCATGAGAAAGATAACTGTAGATACAGTTACACTATGACAAGGCTAAGCACGAATCACCAACATGTTTCCCAAAGTGGGTGGTGGCCCTGAAAGTGTGTTTGCTTGTTAGATGGAATCAAGAGCTAAAATCAAAGGCTACTCCTGAACCGTTTTAGTAAGACCCGAGGTAGGAGTTCAGAAGCCTCAGTCTCAGTCCCCCGTTAAGGAAGCAGTGAATCTCAGACCGAAACATCCTGGCTACAGCTCTTGGCCCTCGTGGTCTGTCATCCCTCTTATTCCTCGACCCTGCCACTCAAGGTTCCTCAGCAAACCTTGCCGGCACAGCCGGTCGCTACACGTCCCCGTTTCCCCCCAACTTGGGTCTGGGCGCCCTCAGCCCATCAAGGGTCCGCTCCTCCGCCCGCCTGCCCCCTCCGTCTCCCTCTATCGCCGGGGCCCAGGGCCCGTCTGCTCGGCGCTCACTTCTTCGTGTAGAGCTCCTCCAGACGGTGCCACACAGCGGGCTGCCCGGGCCCGGAGTTCTGGCTCTGCTGTAGGAAGCCCGGTACGTCCTTCATGACAGCAGGAAGACCCCCGGCACAGAAGAACAACCGGGATGTCAGCACCGCGGGGATGGCTGCCGGAAATGCTCACTCACTTCCGGCGCCGAGCGGCGCGGGGCAGGCTGGGAGCGCCGTAGCAGGCCGGGGGCGGGCCCCGCTGGTTGCTCGGTTACAGCGCGTCTCTGCGCTCCGGACAAAACTCTCCGGCGTTTGCAGCCCACTTCCCGCGCACTTGGCTGTGCCATTGAGGCGTCAAAGAGTGTGGGCGCCTGTGGTCGAACCCGCTACGGACTAGCTTTGTGGTGTCAGCCTTTGTGACCCGGAATTGCTCCTGTCAAATGAGGATCTTCCCAGTAGTGTTTTGCGAGGATTAGGTGTAAATATAATGCCTGACCATAGTAAAAGCGCTCAGAAAGTATTAACTATCACCGCCATCCGGGTTGAAAAAGGTGTGAGCGCAGGGTACAGAAATGCTGGCTCCAGGTTTGACCTCCGGGGCGAGAGATGAGACACCAGACTAGGGAACTTCCTCTACTCGCCTCTACGTCTACCTGGGCGCGCCGGAGGCGTCGGCAAGGAGGCGGGGGCGGGGCGCGGAGGCGGGACCGGGGCGCCGGGGGCGGGGGCGGTAGGCGGAGGCGGGGCTGGGGCGCCGGGGGCGGGGGTGGGAGGCGGAGGCGGGGCCGGGGCGCCGGGGGCGGGGCGAGTCCGGAGGACTCCTTGGACTGCGCGGAACATGGCGTTCTGGGGTTGGCGCGCCGCGGCAGCCCTCCGGCTGTGGGGCCGGGTAGTTGAACGGGTCGAGGCCGGGGGAGGCGTGGGGCCGTTTCAGGCCTGCGGCTGTCGGCTGGTGCTTGGCGGCAGGGACGATGTGAGTGCGGGGCTGAGAGGCAGCCATGGGGCCCGCGGTGAGCCCTTGGACCCGGCGCGCCCCTTGCAGAGGCCTCCCAGACCCGAGGTGCCCAGGGCATTCCGGAGGCAGCCGAGGGCAGCAGCTCCCAGTTTCTTCTTTTCGAGGTATTTTGGGCAAGGACAAGCACTTCTTGCGTGTTCGTTGTCGACACCTCGCCCACTCTTTCTCACCTTGCCGTGTTTCCTTTGCGGCATGTCTGGGAGTTTACGTGCGTTCCAACACCGGGGCCTCCGTCTTTATGCTGATCTGTGGACGTCACTTATGGGGGTTTTGTCGTTTATTTCACCATTCCCTCATTGAAATACGTTCTAACCTTTAGTTATTGTGCATCATGCTGTGGTGAATAACCTTGTTGGCACCTCACTGTTTGCATAAATTCCTAGTACTGGGATTGCTAGGTCCAAAAGTATATGCATTTAACGCTTTAATGATCCCTCATAAATGTTGTGCGGTTAATACTCCCACTGGCATGTGATCGTACCCGTCTCCATAGTAATTGCATCTAAGAACTGAGGCTACATAGGAAAAAATCTTAAGGTCCATGGTTGTTAGGTATCAGATGCCCTATAATGGATGAATATTTAAGTAAATAATGGCACATTGACTTGCTGTCTGACACAACTGCTGAAAATGTTGGTGAAAAGTGAGTCTCGAAGTGGTAGCTCACACTTGTAATACCAGCACTTTCGGAGGCTGAGACGGGGATCGCTCGAGGCCAGGAGTTCAAGAGCAGCCTGGGCAACATAACGAGACCCCCATCTCTACCAAAAATTTAAAAATTAGCCGGGCATGGTGGCGCAAGCCTGTTGTCCCAGTTACTCCTGAGACTAAGGCAAGAGGATCCCTTGAGTCCAGGAGTTCAAGGCTGCAGTGAGCTATGATTGAGCCACTGCACTCCAGCCTGGGTGACAGAGCAAGACTCTTATCTACCTGTGGGAAAAAAAAAAGAAAAAAGTTTAATAGATCCTGAAGAGTTGGCCGGGCGCGGTAGCTCACGCCTGTAATCCCAGCACTTTGGGAGGATGAGACGGGTGGATAACGAGGTCAGGAGTTCGAGACCAGCTGGGCCAACATGGTGAAACCCCATTTCTACTGAAATTACAAAAATTAGCCGGGCGTGGTGGCGGGCGCCTGTAATCCTAGCTACTCAGGAGGCGGAGGCAGGAGAATCACTTGAACCCGGAAGGCAGAGGTTGCAGTGAGCCGAGATGGCACCATTGCACTCCAGCCCGGGCGAAAGAGCAAAAACTCCGTCTCAAAAAAAAACAAAGATCCCGAAGAGTCAGTCGTTCATCCAAGAAGCCCTGACTGAGCTCTTATTCTGTGCCAGACTCTGTTCTAGGTGCTATGGATGGAGCAGGGACCAGGACCTACAAACACGTGGAGCGCATTCTAATATCTGTGATACTCTGCAAAACTGTTAAAACAAATCCTTGCGGCCGGGCGCGGTGGCTCACGCCTGTAATTCCAGCACTTTGGAAGGCCGAGACGGGCGGATCACGAGGTCAGGAGATCGAGACCATCCTGGCTAACACAGTGAAACCCCGTCTTTACTAAAAATACAAGGAAATTAGCCAGGCGTGGTGGCGGGTGCCTGTAGTCCCAGCTACTCGGGAGGCTGAGGCAGGAGAATGGCGTGAACCTGGGAGGCGGAGCTTGCAGTGAGCCGAGATCGCGACACTGCACTCCAGCCTGGGCAACAGAGCGAGACTCCGTCTCAAAACAAAACAAAACAAAACAAAACAAAAATCCTTGCTACCACTGGCCCTAAAGCAGGAGGCATAGGGCTGCGTGTGAGGAGTAGTCCATTGCATGGGCTTCCTCCAGTTTGGCTTTGGATTTTTGAGCTCTCTGAATTTGTTGTTTGTGTCCTTTGCACAGTGTCCCTCCCAGGTTGCACCCATGCCTGCCCCTCAGGGTCCCCCACTCCCAGTGAATTTCACACCATGCAGCATGTACTTTAAGCCATACATCTTACGTATGTTCCAGACATTTGGTAAAACGCCGTTTATGTGTTTTTCAGTGACTCACAAACATTTTATTTACGTAAATGAGGAATGTACTCAGGCACCCTTCGTGATACCTTGCCCTCAGCAGGCACTCAACAGCAATAATAACTTTCATTCCTTTTGTGCTTCTCTTAACAGTTCGTGTTTAGTAGGAGCACAGTAGCTGTTTGGGGAACGACCTTAAGTGAATAGATGTCTGAAATGCTGTGTGAAGTGGGGCGCTTAATAGGTGGTGAGATGGTTTTAGAACCAGGGTTTTCCCTCTTTGCTTCTTGACTCCTTAACCAGTTTTCATTAGGAGACCCCTTTGGAGGTTTGCAGTCAGTCAGAGTTGAGTGCCTACTGAGTGTACTGAATTATGAAATGAGCACAGTTCCCATTAACCTGAATTTTTTGCTCCCAAGTAAGTCTTGATTTCTGATTTATGACTGCTTTTTGTTGTACCCCAATAGTCGTCTAAGAAAGGTGATTATTTTGAGAGGCCTGGGGAGACACACATGCTCATTCTCGAGGGTGGCGGTGGTGCAGAGGGCAGAGCCATGCTCGTTCTTGCTATCCTGAGATTGGTTGCTATCTGTTTCCTTTGCTGCTGTGTTTTTTTCTGTCAGTATTAAAGGTGGAAGAAGGTCCATATCTTTTTCTGTGGGTGCTTCAAGTGTTGTTGGAAGTGGAGGCAGCAGTGACAAGGGGAAGCTTTCCCTGCAGGATGTAGCTGAGCTGATTCGGGCCAGAGCCTGCCAGAGGGTGGTGGTCATGGTGGGGGCCGGCATCAGCACACCCAGTGGCATTCCAGACTTCAGGTACTGCCCACAGTCCCACCTGCCTTCTGCGCTCCCCTCCCCTGACTCCTGCCCTCCCCACTGCCCAGTTTATTCCACTTCCCTGTCCTCTTCCAAAGGCCTCAGAGCCTTTCTTCTCTCCCTGCAGATCGCCGGGGAGTGGCCTGTACAGCAACCTCCAGCAGTACGATCTCCCGTACCCCGAGGCCATTTTTGAACTCCCATTCTTCTTTCACAACCCCAAGCCCTTTTTCACTTTGGCCAAGGAGCTGTACCCTGGAAACTACAAGCCCAACGTCACTCACTACTTTCTCCGGCTGCTTCATGACAAGGGGCTGCTTCTGCGGCTCTACACGCAGAACATCGATGGGCTTGAGAGAGGTGAGCCCTCTGTGAGTCGCACACATTCTTTTTCTCCCACGGAGGCTCGGGTGCCTGTTTCTCCCAGGGAGGCTCGGGTGCCTGTTTCTCACAGGGGATGCTCGGGTGCCTGTTTCTGGGGACGGCCAAAACCTATCGCTTATGCTTCTTCCTTGGGACTTTTTTTGAGCCAACTAGTTAGGGCTTTGTTCCCAAGGAAAATGTCCTCTGGGTGTTTAAAGGCCACTGCTTGTTCTCCTGCATACCTGCAGAGCTGTGTATTTTGGGCAGAAGTTGACATTGTTTTGCCAATCTGGTGTGATGATCTCTTTTTTTCTTCTCTCTTTTAAGAAGTGTATTATGGAATTTTTTTGAGCACACACAAAGAGAGCAATGTAACGAACCGTCCTGTCCTCATCACCAGCACACAGCCAGTTCTTCCTGCGTCCTCACCACCTTCTTCCAAATCCCCAGATTATTTTGAAGCAAATCTCTCACATCATGAATTTAATCTAGAAATAATCTATAAACACATGAATGGATAGCTCTAGAGAATACTTTAAAAACAACTCCGGCCGGGTGCCGGATTACAGGTGTGGGATCACACCTGTAATCCCAGCATTTTGGGAGGCCGAGGCAGGTAGATCACCTGAGGTCGGGAGTTCGAGACCAGCCTGGCCAACGTGGCAAAACCCCGTCTCTACTAAAAATACAAAAAATTAGCCAGGCGTGGTGGTGTGTGCCTGTAATCCCAGGTACTCGGGAGGCTGAGACAGGAGAATCTCTTGAACCCAGCAGGCGGAGGTTGCAGTGAGCCGAGATCGTGCCACTTCACTCCAGCCTGGGCGACAGAGGGAGATTCTGTCTCAAAAAAATAAATAAAAATAAAAATAATTAAAAAATAAAAACAACTCTGATAGTGATTCACACTGAAGAATCACTAGTAATTCCTTAATATGGTCACACTTAGTCTGTGGTGATTTCTTGACCGTATCCATATGGTGCCCAAACCAGCGATTCACAGGTTGTGCCAACTTCTGGCCGTGCACCTAACGGAAGCACTTGGTGGGGCCTTTTCCTTACGTGCAGTGATGCAGACAGGTGCTGGGACAGTCAGCTCTCCGGGAGCCAGGCTCCCGGAGAGACTGCTGATGTGTTGTCAGTTAAAAAGAGGTGGCACCTTGGCTCCAGGAATGTGTTTCCTTGCCAGAAGGATCCCCTGACTTGGAACCACAGAGGCAGCAGCGGATGCCCCATGTTGGTGGGCTCTTCTCCCAGAGGTGCAGCAGGGCAGGCCTTGTGGGAAGGTGGGAGCTCCTGGCTGTGAGATTCAGCACTGCTGAGTTAGGGCAGCGACAGGGACTTGGGAAGCCTCCTGCAGCTGGGACCCTGGCTGTGCCACCGCAGCCTTTCAGAACCAGTTAATACTAACACAACTTTCATAAGAAGTCACTTTTTGTCTGTTTCTACCAAGCAATTCTTTTGGAATTTATGATATTTATATCCTCATTTTAACTTGGTATCTGTAGAATAGAAGATATGTTCCTGGATATTAGATATAAATTTTTGAGACAGGGTCTTGGCTCTGTTGCCCAGGCTAGAGTGCAGTGGCATGATCATAGCTCACTATAGCCTGAACTCTTGGGCCGAAGTGATCCTTTTGCCTCAGCCTCTGGAATAGCTGGGACTACGGGCATGCACTACCATGCCTGGCTAATTAAAAAAATTTTTTAAGACAAGTCTCACTATGTTGCTGAGGCTGGTCTCAAACTCCTGGCCTCAAGTGATCCTCCTGCCTTGGCCTTCCAAAGCACTGGGATTACAGGCATGAGCCACTGCACCCAGCCTGGTATTAGGTGTAATTTTTTTTTTTTTTTTTGAGACAGAATCTCGCTCTCTTACCCAAACTGGAGTGCGGTGGCACGACCTCAGCTCACTGCAACTTCCACCTCCCGGGTTCAAGCGATTCTCCTGTCTCAGCCTCCCCGAGTAGCTGGCACTACAGGTGCCTGCCACCACATCTGGCTAATTTTTGTATTTTTAGTAGAGGTACGGTTTCACCATGATGGCCAGGCCGGTCTTGAACTCCTAGCCTCAAATGATCTGCCCACCTCGGCCTCCCAAAGTGCTGGGATTACAGGTGTGGGCCACTGTGCCCGGCTGGATATAATTTTATTTGAGCTTTTATCAAATGGTTTTTCGTACTGAGTTTTGACAGGCTTTGTTTTAACCGTGATTTGGCTCCAGCTAGGTGCCCCTTTGCTCCCCTGCCTTATTCTGGTTGATGGCGCATGTAGGTGATACGGGCATGAAAACCAGGCTTGAGGACATCACAACCCCAAGGGGCTGTGCCTCCTTCCAGGAGTCCTGCCAAGCCCAGAAGTTGTGCTCTTGGCCTTGCGTGCTCATCTCGGAGGCGGCAGCAACACTTCGCTTTGGCTTGAATTTCAGTGTCGGGCATCCCTGCCTCAAAGCTGGTTGAAGCTCATGGAACCTTTGCCTCTGCCACCTGCACAGTCTGCCAAAGACCCTTCCCAGGGGAGGACATTCGGGTGAGTTATCCTGCTGTTGGTTGTCCTTCTGCAGTTTGCTGTTGGGGTGATCTGGAAAAGTGGTATTTTATAAGCATTGTCTCGAAAGGACAGTTGAACAATAATAGTGTGAAACATTTTATTTGTAAATTAGAAAATCAATACATGCTTGTAAAAAAATTTAAGACAATATAGAAATATGTAGGGAAAATGAATCTCCCTTCAGCCAATTCCAGCTGCCCACTTTTTTTTTTTTTTTTTGAGATTGAGTCTCACTCTGTCGCCCAGGCTGGAGTGCAGTGGGCGATCTCGGCTCACTGCAACCTCCGTCTCCCGGATTCAAGGAATTCTTCTGCCTCAGCCTCCTAAGTAGCTGGGATTACAGGCGTGAGCCACCACGCCCGGCAATCAGATGGCCTTTTGTGCCGAGCTTATTTCCTGAAAATGTTTCTCGCTCCTTCGCCTTGTAGCTTGTGTTAGTATTTCATCCTGTTTCATGGCTAAATGTTCCACTGATGTATGCACCACAGTTGGTTTGTTTGTACATGGATGGGTGTTTGGGTTGTCCCACCTTTCTGCTCTTGTGTATAGTTCTGCTGTGGAGCATATGCAAGTATTCGTTTGAGAGTCCTTGTTTTTTATTCTTTTGAGTATGATACCTACAAGTATTGCTGGGTAACTCCACGTTTAGCTATATTTATTTATTTATTTTTTGAGACACAGTCTTACACTGTCACCCAGGCTGGAGTGCAATGGCGCGATTTCGGCTCAATACAACCTCTGCCTCCCGGGTTCAAGCGATTCTCCTGCCTCAGCCTCCTGAGAAGCTGGGATTACAGGTGCCTGCCACCATGCCCAGCTAATGTTTTTTGTATTTCTAGTAGAGATGGGGTTTCACCATGTTGGCCAGGCTGCTCTTGCATTCCTGACCTCAGGTGGTTCACCCGCCTCGGCCTCCCAAAGTGCTAAGATTACAGGCGTGAGCCACCATGCCCTGCCCATGTTTAACTTTTTTGTTTGTTTGTTTTGAGACGGAGTCTAGCTCTTATCACCAGGCTGGAGTGCAGTGGCGCAATCTCGGCTCACTGTACCATCCGCCTCCTGGGTTCAAGCGATTCTCCTGCCTCAGCTTCCTGAGTAGCTGGGACTACAGGCACACACCACCACGCCCGGCTAATTTTTGTATTTAGTAGAGTAGTTTCACCATGTTGGCCAGGATGTCTCGATCTCTTGACCTCGTGATCCGCCTGCCTCTTTCTCCCAAAGTGTGGGATTACAGGCGAGAGCCACTGCGCCCGGCCCGTTTTAACTTTTTGAGGAACGAATATACTGTTATCTGCAGAAGCTGGACCATTTTACATTCCACCAACAGTGGGCAAGGGTTTCATCTTTTCCACATCCCAACACTTACTTTCCATTTTTTAATTACAGCTATCCCAGTGGGTGGGAGGTGGTAACCCACTGTAGCACTGATTGGCATTTTCCTAATGATTCATGATATCAAACATCTTTCCATGTGCTTTTTGGCCATTTGTATATCTTTGGAGATTGAAGTCCTTTGCGCATTGTTTAATTGTGTTGTCTTTTTTATTGTTAAGAGAGTCCTTTATATATTCTGGAAGCTAGATCCTTATCAGAGACATGATTTGCAAATATTTTCTGTCATTCTGTAGGTTGTCTTTTTTACTTTGTTGATGTCTTTTGATGCATAGAAGTTTTGATTTTGATGAAATCTAGTTTGTCTATTTATTTTCTCACTCTTTTGGAATCATATCTGAGAAATGGTATTGTTTTACTCCTGTTTTCTTATAAGAGTTTTATAGTTTAAAGCTTTTACATTTAGTTCTTTGATCCATTTTGAGTTAATTTTTGTGTGCGCTGTAAGGTAGGGATCCAGCTTCATTTTCTTTTATGTGGATATGTAATTGTTCCAGCACCATTTGTTTAAAAAAACTGTGGTCTTGGCATTGTTGTTGAAAATCAGTTGGCCATAGGTGTATGGGTTATTTCTAGAGTCTCAATTCTATTCCATTGTTATCTGTATATCCTTGTGCCTGCACTATAATGTTTTGGTTACTGTAGCTTTGTAGTAAGTTTTGAAATTAGGAAGTGTGAGTCCAGCACATAGTAGAAACTTGATATATACGTATTATTGTTTTGGTCAACTCATTCATTGAATGACCAATTTATTCAACAAATAGTTTAGTCTCCTCAGTGCCAGGCCCTTTGCTGGGTTCTGTGGATGTGAATAGAAATTAAAATAAGGTGGAGTCATCCAACAGTTACAACTGGGTGCCATACGAATTTTACTATAAATATGTACTGGACACTACACTGACTCAGCTGTAGGAACAGAGTAGGCTGGGAAGCACCTTTGAGATGAGGCCGTCTGGATGTAAGAGTCTGTTTCTGGCAGCAGAGACCTGGAGTGTGGGAGGCCTGCTTGCTCTGTTAGGGTTTGAACTGTATCCTGACGATCATGGGAGGCATTGGAGGATTTTTAGGCAGGAAAATGATGTGAAGGGATTTGCATTTAAAAGAGATTATTTGGGACTGGGCACAGTGGCTCACGCCTGTAATTCCAGCACTTTGGGAGGCCTAGACAGGCGGGTCACCTGAGGTGGGAAGCTTGAGAGCAGCCTGCCAAAATGGTGAAATCCCATCTCTACTAAAAATACAAAAATTAGCCAGGTGTGGTGGTGCACCTGTAATCCCAGCTACTCAGGAGGCTGAGGCAGAAGAATTGCTTGAACCTGGGAGGGGAGGTTGCTGTGAGCTGAGATCGCACCACTGCACTCCAGCCTGGGTGACAGAGTGAGACTCCATCTCAAAACAAAATAAATAAATAAATAAGAGAATAAAATAGATAATTTGGGCAACAGGTTGATGTTAATTCCCCACCTTTGTTCTTCTCCTTCAGTACTGTGTTGGCTGGTCTGAATCTTTTGGCTTTTCATATAAATTTCTGAAACTGTTGCTATCTGTTCTCTGCCTGTTTTATTTTTGTTGTTGTTGTTTGGATTTTTTGTTTTTTTGAGATAGAGTCTTGCTCTGTTGCCCAGGCTGGAGTGCAGTGGTATGATCTCAGCTCATTGCAACCTCCCCCTCTCAGGTTCAAGCGATTCTCTTGCCTCATCCTCCTGAGTAGCTGGGATTGCAGGCATGCGCCACCATGCCCAGCTAATTTTTGTATTTTTAGTAGAGATGGGGTTTCACTATGTTGGTGAGGCTGGTGTCGAACTCCTGACCTCATGATCCACCCGCCTCGGCCTCCCAAAGTGCTGGGATGACAGGCATGAGCCACCGTGTCTGGCCTCTCTGCCTGTTTTTTAAGACTTTTGTCTTTGGAGTTTTGCGGTTTCTCCACTGTGGTTTTCCATATGAATTTTCTTTTATTTCTTCTGCTTAAAATTTGTAGGCCAGTTGGTCATGGTGGCTCACGCCCGTAATCCCAGTACTTTGGGAGGCCGGGTGGGTGGATCGCCTGAGGTCAGGAGTTTGAGACCAGCCTGACCAACATGGAGAAACCCCATATCTACTAAAAATACAAAATTAGCCGGGCGTGATGGTGCATGCCTATAATCTCAGATACTCGGGAGGCTGAGGCAGGCGAATTGCTTGAACCAGGGAGGCGGAGGTTGCGGTGAGCTGAGATTAGGCCATTGCACTCCAGCCTGGGAAACAAGAGCGAAACTCCATCTCAAAAAAAAAAAAATAATAATAATAATTGTAGGCCTTCCTTAAGAAAAATAAAATAAAATTCTAGGCTGGGCGCGGTGGCTCCTGCCTGTAATCCCAGTACTTTGGGAAGCTGAGGCGGGTGGATCACCTGAGTTAGGAGTTTGAGACCAGCCTGGCCAACATGGTGAAACCCCGTCTCTACTAAAAATACAAAGATGAGCCATTTGTGGTGGCACCCATCTGTAATCCCAGCTACTCGGGAGGCTGAGGCAGGAGAATTGCTGGAACCCAGGAGGCAGAAGTTGTAGTGAACCGAGATCATGCCACTGCACTCCAGCCTGGGTGACAGAGCGAGATGCCATCTCAAAAAAATAAAATATAAAATAAAATTCTAAGCCCTGCAACCAACTGAATGGAGCCCTCCCCTTGGTCAAGGGAACCCCAGAGAAACCTTGGAAGCTTGAGTTCCTGGCCGTAGCAGGAGAGGAGGTCAGACGCGCCTCACTGTACCCCTCCCTCCCCAGCCACCATTAGGCTTCTTCACTAAGGGCTAAACAGAAACCAGCCCTTTTCAAAGACTCTACACTGCTAATGTGGATTACTGGTTTATCTTCCCAGATACAGATTAAAGACAAGATGAGATTAATGGTTCCTTCACCCTTCCCTGAGAGGTCTGCTTAGTTCTCTTCCTCTGTTTCCTTCTATCTTAGGTAAAATGTACATTTACTGGGCACTTACTGAAGTCTCACAAGTACGTAACCACTCACCTCACAGCCACCCTCCCTCTTTGAAGGACCACATGTAATTACTAAACCTCCTGAGAACCTCTTGGGACAGAAACAAGCACAGATGTGCCGTGACTCATGTTTTTCCTGTGGGCACCCTCAGGCTGGCTCAGTAGCCCTCACTTGCTTGAGATCCTGAATCTGCGGGTTGGCGTCTTTCATGGTTGCTGGATCATACTCTGCCGTTATCTCTTCGGATATGAGTTGCCCCTAGCCCACTATCTGGCCCCTCTCTTTAGGGACCTCTGATTGAACATACATTAGACCTTCTCTCTCCTGCTGTTCCTGATCACTCTTCTGTCCTGTAATTGCTGCTTCTTGTGCTGCATTCTGGGTAATTTCTTCTGGTCTTTTTTCCAGTTTACTAATATTGTATTCTGTTATAAGGTCCTTCCATTGAGTGTTTCTTTCTTTCTTTTTTCCCAAACAGCAACTCAAAACAGACATTGAGTTTTAATTTTGGTTCCTGTACTTTTTATTTCTAGAAGTTCTATTTGGTTATTTTTCAAGTCTGCTACATTATTACATAATTTTTTAATAATTTTATATCTTTAATAGATAGTTTTTTGTTTTGTTTTGTTTTGTTTTGTTTTTTGAGACAGAGTCTCGCTTTGTTGCCCAGGCTGGAGTGCAGTGGTGCAATCTCAGCTCACAGCAACCTCCGCCTCCCAGGTTCAAGTGATTCCCCTGCCTCAGCCTCCCAAGTAGCTGGGATTACAGGCACGCATCACCACGCCTGGCTAATTTTTTGTGTTTTAGTAGAGACAGGGTTTCACCATGTTGGCCAAGACAGTCTCGATCTCCTGACCTCGTGATCTGCCCACCTCGGCCTCCCGAAGTCCTGGGATTACAGAGCTGAGCCACTGCGCCTGGCCTTTGATAGATATTTCAAGTTCATCTTTTTTTTTTGCTTCCTTAATTTTTTTTTTTGCTATACCCCATGCCTCCAAGATAACAGTTTTTTCTTTTTAATTTAAATATAATACAGTTTTACTGTGTATCCAAGAATATCTGAAATCTTTCGTGGGTCTCTTTCTTTTGTCTTTTGTATCTGTTGCTTTTTGCTGGGCTGAGCCTGCTTAAAACAAGCCCCGTTAGCTGTAAAGGTTTACCTTAGAAAGTCAGGTGTCTTCCTCTGTAACTCTCTCCCTTTTCCATCTGCTCCAAGGCATTTATTTATATTAATCTTGACGCAAAGGGAAGTTGTGTCCACTTCACCTTGGCCAGTAAGGAAGCAGTGTTTGGCAGATGTTGTTACTCCTAATAATGCCAGCCAGTGAGTGAAGCTGACCTGAATGCCTCCCAGGGCTGAGGCAATGGCATGATCACCGAAGCTCAAACCAGAGACAGTTTCACCTTTCTGACTGAATAGTGTTCGGTGTAGGCCAAATGCCTGCAGACTACTGTTTGAGGACTGGTGTGGTCTACCAGGTGTTTCCTTAGCGCCTGGATGTCTCTGGCTGCCATCCCAGGGATAGAGCATGGTGTTAGATACGCTAGATGCCTGCCGAAGTAATTATGGGTGAAACATATGATGTCCAAGATTTGCTTTTAAAGGCTCCAATACCTCCTCCCAGATTCCGGAGGGCTGTGAAACAATTAGCTATGAAAACTGGTAATTCCTGAAGCTGGGTACATGGGGGTTCATGATCCCTCTCTCACCTTTTTTGGGGGAGAATGTTTGAGACTTTAATAAGAACTTGTTGCCTTTTCCTTTTACAGGGTGTTGCAGGCATCTTCCTCAGGCCTGTTTTCTCTGTTTTCCAGGCTGACGTGATGGCAGACAGGGTTCCCCGCTGCCCGGTCTGCACCGGCGTTGTGAAGCCCGACATTGTGTTCTTTGGGGAGCCGCTGCCCCAGAGGTTCTTGCTGCATGTGGTTGATTTCCCCATGGCAGATCTGCTGCTCATCCTTGGGACCTCCCTGGAGGTTTGTCAGCAGGCCTGTGCAGGGAGGAGGCTGGAGGGCAGGGGAAGGGAGGGGTACAGGAGTCATCTCATGGGCTGTCGGCAGGCCTGTGCAGGGAGGAGTCTGGAGGGCAGGGGAAGGGAGGGGTACAGGAGTCACCTCATGGGCTGTCGGCAGGCCTGTGCAGGGAGGAGGCTGGAGGGCAGGGGAAGGGAGGGGTACAGGAGTCATCTCATGGGCTGTCGGCAGGCCTGTGCAGGGAGGAGGCTGGAGGGCAGGGGAAGGGAGGGGTACAGGAGTCATCTCATGGGCCCTTCCAGGGCTGGTGCCACTTTGGGAAGGTGAATGGATTCAGCTGGGGTTCCAGGCTGAGGGAGCAGCAGCCTGTGCAGGAGACAGGAAGGTGGGAAGCTGCTGGGCTTTGGAGGTGGTATAGGTGTGGGTGGGGCACCACGTGTGAGGAGAAGGGAGAAGGATGGGGGTGTGGGGGCGAGGTGGAGGGGCAGGGCCTCCCAGGTCAGATCAGGAATACTGATGCTGCAGTGGGAGGAGTGATAAATCCACAGGGACTGGCCCGGGGACGTAGCTGCACCCTTGGGGTCAGGGAGGCCTTTGGGGAGTGGAGAGTGGAGCAAGCAGTGCCAGGAGGCTGGTCCTGGAGAAGGTGGAGCTGTGGTCGCCTGAGGGATGGCGAGGAGGGGGACTGGACTCGCAGTCTGTGATGTTTTGGGGACGTGAGAAGGAGGCGTCTGGCTTGGTCTGTAAGGTCAGGGCACTTGCTGGTGAGGCGTGATTTGGGAGGGAGGATGCCCAGCTCGGTTCTGTGTGTGTCTGAGGTGTCGGGAAACATGCCCTGGATGTGTTCAAGCAGCTGTTCTGCGTCTGCGTCTGCAGCTCAGGAAATTCCTAAAAGCTGTGATGAGAGCAAGAAATGAGACCATGAAGTCAGTGTGTGCGTGACTGGATGTAGGCACCGAGGACAGAAGGGCCAGAAAGACCTGTGCTCAGAGGGGCCCAGGGCAGCCACAGGGGCCCAGAGCATGTGTTTGTTCAGGCATTCATTGTGTGCTGGGCCCTGCTCCAGTGCTTTGGACATACACGGTCAGATGTCAGTGTAAGAAGTTATATAGTTTGTTAGGAGATGATTGATGTTATGAGAAAGATAACAAGTAGGATAGAAAGGCTAGAAGGGTTGGGAACCAGCTGCAGTGTCAAGTCAGGCAGGTGGAGTTGGATCTAAGAGTTTACCGAGGTGAGGAGGGTCTGGCAGGGGACACTGCACAGGTGACAAGCAGCAAGGAGGGTGGGGCGAAGTCAGCATTGATGGCCACGGGGCTGGAGCAGAGAAGAAGGTGGGGCACAAGTGTCATCTCATGGGAGGCTGGCGCCACCTCAGAAGGTGAATGGGTTCAGCTTGGGTTCCAGGCCAGAGTCTGAAGTTGAGAGGACTCCGTTGGGTGCTGGGCTGTGAGCCCACCATGGGGGCAAGACTGGGAGCAGCAGACCCAGCAGGGCCCTTGTAGGTAATCACCGGCTGGCACTGGCTGGGGGCCAGGTAAAGCCAGCAGAGGCTGAGGGGTGCTGGAGTCTGGGTGTGTGTGAACGCAGAGTGGGTACGCTGGCACAGTGCATGGGAGGCCGTGGATTCCCAAGGACCCCAGGGCTGTGGCTGGAGCAGCTGGAAAGACGGAGCCGCCGCTTCCTGAGATGGAGAAGCCTGGTAGGTGGGTTTGGGGGAGCTCAGGAACTCAGCCTTGTTTCCACGGATTTGAGGATGTGCTGCGGACTGGAGGTGTTGAGCAGGTGGACATGAGTCTGGAGTCCAGGAAGGCCCAGAGGCAGGAGCTGGGGTGCTGGAGTGAGCAGACAGGAGAGCCCAGGGTGTGGACAGACATGAGAATGCCATGCTAGGCCTAGGATGGAGGGACAGACACAGGAGGAGCAGTCAGAGGGGCCATGGTGGTCAGCACAGTGTGGGCTGAGACCAGCTGACCGTGCTGGCCACCAGGTGTGGACACTTGGGCCACCAGCCATCTTTATTGTTGAAGTGAAATGAAAATGGCCTTTTTCCTGATTATAAGTGTATCATGTGTGTCTTTGAAAAGATTCGTACATTATATAAAGATATAAAGCAAAGGATCAACTTTTTAATCCCACCAACTGTTAGCATTTTATTCTGTGTCCTCTCAGCTTTCTTTTTTTTGTACAAATGCATACGTACAGATGGTAATTTTAAACTAAAAGTTGGACAGCACTGTACATTCTATTCTGCAGCCTGCTGTTTTCACGTAACAATGTGAGTCCATGGAGATGTGCTGCGTTGTTAATGCCAACAGTTTCCCTTACACGGATATGAGGTCCCAACTGAGAAACCCATGTCTGTAAGGCTGGTGCCATCATGAACTGAATGAGCTGGTGTCACGCACAGACTCTATCTCATGTGCTTTGTGGACGAAATGTTAATGTGTTTGACTGTGGAGTACCACTCCAGATCCCCTTTAGGTGTGACATAACGTGGGATGTAAACCATATGATCTTTTCTAAAATCTCAAAAATTCTGAAACATATTCAGCCACAAGAGCTTTAACATAGATTTTGTGGATTTAATACAAAATTTATGTAAGCAATTTCTTACTGATGGACAATGATAATAAATAGTATATAATTTTTACATTAAAAGTAATGCTGGGCCAGGCACCGTGGCTCACACCTGTTATCCCAGCACTCTGGGAGGCCAAGGCAGGAAGATTGCCTGAAGCTAGGCATTTGAGACCAGCCTGGGCAGTATAGTCAGACCTCGTCTCTACAAAAAATAAAAAGATAGCCAGGCATGGTCTGTGTAGTTGCAGCTATTTGAGAGGCTGAGGAAGGAGGATTGCTTGAGCCCAGGAATTTGAGGTTATAGTGAACTATGATCATGCCACTGCATTCCAGCCTGGGTAACAGAATGAGATCCCGTGCTGTAGTGAATATCCCTGTGTATCATCCTTATCTACTCATGCAAGTACTCCTGAAGGGTAAATGCTGTAGTGAATATCCCTGTGTATCATCCTTATCTACCCATGCAAGTACTCTGGAAGGGTAAATGCTGATAAATACTGAGAACTTGCCTTCCGGTGAATATCCCTGTGTGTCATCCTTATCTACCCATGCAAGTACTCCTGAAGGGTAAATGCTGTAGTGAATATCCCTGTGTATCATCCTTATCTACCCATGCAAGTACTCTGGAAGGGTAAATGCTGATAAATACTGAGAACTTGCCTTCCGGTGAATATCCCTGTGTGTCATCCTTATCTACCCATGCAAGTACTCCTGAAGGGTAAATGCTGTGGTGAATATCCCTGTGTATCATCCTTATCTACCCATGCAAGAACTCCTGAAGGGTAAATGCTGATAAATATTGAGAACTTGCCTTCCAGAAAGATGTAACAATTACACTGCCACAAACTGTGTTTTTATGTAGCCATTTTATCACATCCTCACCAAAACCAAAATCACACAAATCAAATTGGTTAAAAAATGCATGTGTGTGTGTGGAGGGGGGTGCGGATTTTGCCTTTCTGTAGTAAAGAATGAAGTTCATCTTTTCATGTTTATTGCCAGTTGTGTTTCTTCTCTTTGGATTGTATATTTGTACCTCTTGACCATTTTTCATTGGGTCATTATAAATTAGCAATATAAATTAGTTTTAATTTTAGTATAAATTAAATAATATAATTACATTTTAATGTTAATATAAACTTCTTTCTTTTTTTTTTTTTTTTTTTTGAGACAGAGTCTTGCTCTGTCTCCCAGGCTGGAGGTTCAGTGGCGCGATCTCGGCTCACTGCAACCTCCACCTCCCAGGCTCAAGCCATTCTCCTGCCTCAACCTCCCGAGTAGCTCGGATTATAGGTGCGTGCCACCACGCCCAGCTAAGTTTTGTATTTTTAGTAGAGACGTGGTTTCACTATGTTGGCCAGGCTGGTCTTGAACTCCTGACCTCAGCTGATCTGCCCGCCTCGGCCTCCCAAAGTGCTGGGATTATAGGTGTGAACCACCATGCCCAGCTGTTAATATAAATTTCATTATAAATTAGCATTATAAATTAGTTCATAAATTATATGTTTATAAATGAGTTTATCAATTAGCAATATAAACTATTGTCATATGTTGTAAATATTTTTGCAGTTTATGATGATGAGAGGTTTTTAAAAATTTTAAATTTTCTACATAGTAGTTTTATGTAGATACCGAGATAATAGTATTTACATAGTCAGATCTGTCATTTTCCTTTGCCTTATCTGACTTCAGTTTTTACGCCTAGAACGTTCTTCCCTATCCTTACTTGTAAATCCTTAGTTTTCTTCAAGAACTGTTTTGTTTACATTGAAACCTTTAATCCATTTGAATTTTTTTCAGTGGGAGGTAGGAATGGAGTATTTTCCTCCCAGATAATGAGCCAGTTTTAATGCCATTTATTAATGTATCCATTTTTTTACCTTGTTCCTCTTAAAAGAAGCTTTGAGAGCTGTATGAAGAAGCCTGATGGCACCGAGCTAGGCCTCTCTAGAGGCTGGGTGGGGAAGACCATGGAGAGACGTAACAGTAACTCCTGCTCGGGGGCACCAGCTCGTCTGGGTGCCCGATGCTGGTGGTGGCTGTCAGAGCAAGCAGGGCTAGCCAGAGGAGATGGACGAGTCTGTGCTGTTGTCCCTCTGCGTCATGCTGGGAGACAGCGAGGTGGGGAGGACAGGGAGAACAGAACGTGCTCACAAAGAGGAGGCAGGAAGGTTGGATCCCTGATGAGCCTTGGAACGGAGGTGGGGAAAAGCAAGGATGTGTGGAAACAGCAAGAAGTGGGAGAGAGAGAGAGAGGCGGAGGGGAGAAAACCGTCACGGAGGCCAAGCGGCAGGAGCTCAGCTGAAGAAATGAGATTGGTGGTGGGTTTTCCCTATATCGCAGGCTCTGACTGCCAATCTGCTGCTCCTCCAAGGCCTCGGTGGCTGTGGCATGAAACATCCTGAGGAGCTTGTAAAGTGGACACTGTGCCCCTCACGTTTGGCCCATTTTTCAGGTGGAGCCTTTTGCCAGCTTGACCGAGGCCGTGCGGAGCTCAGTTCCCCGACTGCTCATCAACCGGGACTTGGTGGGGCCCTTGGCTTGGCATCCTCGCAGCAGGGACGTGGCCCAGCTGGGGGACGTGGTTCACGGCGTGGAAAGCCTAGTGGAGCTTCTGGGCTGGACAGAAGAGATGCGGGACCTTGTGCAGCGGGAAACTGGGAAGGTACAGACTGCTGAGGAGGACCATCCAAGGGGCTGCCCTTCTCACTGCTCTAGGGTATGGTCCACCTGATATGGAGCCCCGTTGGTTAACACAGTAACAGTAATAGCTGATGATGCTGTGAATCCTGCACCAGGCACTACCTGGACCTGACTGGGTGTTACTTTCAATACCTCCATTTAGAGATGAGGAAACAGATGCTAACAGGCCAAGCAGGGACACGGTCCAGACACTCAGGGCTGATGAGTCTGTATTCTTAACAGACTATAGGCGTTACCTTCACTCCCTAAAATAAAGCAGCCAACAGTGTCCCTCTAAGGCCTGGTATGTGATTCTAAGATGATACGGGTTAAAGAACTTTGAGAAGCTAAAGTTCTCTGCATCTATGTGGGATGAAGGCTACATGAGTGATGCTTTTCGGAAGTAATTGGTATGAGAGCCATTGATCAATTATAATCCGCTGAGGAAAGCCAAAGAGCCTTGATGCTTTCTAAGAGATTTCAAACCGCCTATAAACAAGTGAAGTTACAGAAAATGCAGTTTCCCATAAGAATCATGTAGCATGTGTAGCCTTGATATTAAGGGTTTTCAATGGGAGGTGGTAGCATTAAGCATTTAAAGTCCAGTGTCATGATTACAGGCAGGTGTAACACTGTCCAAAGGGGATTTCACCAGTGTATTAGTCTGTTCTCTGGCTGCTCATAAAGGCATACCTGAGACTGGGTAATTTATAAAGGAAAGAGGTTTAATGGACTCACAGTTCCATATGGCTGTGGGGGCCTCACAATCATAGTGGAAGGCAAAGCAGGAGCAAAGTACTGTCTTACAAGGTGGCAGGCAAGAGGACGTGTGCGGGGGAACTGCCCTTTATAAAACTATCAGATCTTGTGAGACTTATTCACTATCAGAAGAAGAGTGTGGGAAAGACCCGCCCCCATGATTCAGTTACTTCCACTTGGCCCCACCCTTGACACATGGGGATGATTACAATTCAAGGTGAGATTTGGGTGGGGACACAGCCAAACCATATCAACTACAATATATCACAGTTGATGCTCCTCTTGCCTTCCAAGGCAGATGTCTTAGGAAATCCTGATCCTTTTTCCTTGTCCACAGCTGTGGCTGCCTCATGGCTCAGGGCCATGGGGTCAGCACTCTCCTCACCTCCACCAGTCCAAGACCTCCAACCTCTGGTTGCAGGCTGATTTTTTACCAATCATGGTCACTTCATTATGGAGGCAGGGAACCCAGCTAACAATGAGGCTTAAACGCTGAGAGGCGAGTGCCTCCTGGCCAGCTCACAAGGCAGCGGAGATCTTAGATCAGCCCAGCAGGCTTTTTTGAGGGATCCTTTTCCTGCTCCAACTTCATATTTTCTTTTTTTTGTAATGGAGTTTCACTCTTGTTGCCCAAGCTGGAGTGCAATGGCACGATTTTGGCTCACTGCAGCCCTGCCTCCTGGGTTCAAGTGATTCTCCTGCCTCAGCCTCCTGAGCAGCTGGGATTACAGGCATGTGCCACCATGCCTGGCTAATTTCTGTACTTTTATTAGAGATGGGATTTCATCATGTTAGTCAGGCTGGTCTCAAACTCCTGACCTCGGGTGATCCACCTGCCTCAGCCTCCCAAAGTGCTGGGATTATAGGCATGAGCCAGCAGGCCCGGCCCAACTTCCTGTTTTCATAGAAAAGCAGATTGTAACTCTGGTAGCTCCTGTGGAGTTTTGGAAGTGGCTTAATAGGATTTGAACTGTATAATCTAGTTTCAGAGAAATGTATGTAAAATGGGTTATGATTTCATTTTCTGTTTTTTACAGCATTACTATCCAAGGGGTTACTTTTCCAAATAGTGAATGCTTTTAAGCACATGAGCATCAGTACATATTGATTTGGGTACTTTAAGACCCATAGAATGAGGCTCTCCATTTAGCCACCCTGTTCTGCCCAGGCCTGCTGGGATCCTCTTAGCCCAGCACAGCAGCAGCAGTATTTGCAGAAAGCAGCTTGTTTTGTGAAATATTTTGCATGTCTGCAGCTAGAGCTGTTTGAACAGAGATCTGCTGGCCTGCCTGGGTGTGTAAACAGATAGCTGATACCCTCTGTCTTCTGTATTCCAGCTTGATGGACCAGACAAATAGGATGATGGCTGCCCCCACACAATAAATGGTAACATAGGAGACATCCACATCCCAATTCTGACAAGACCTCATGCCTGAAGACAGCTTGGGCAGGTGAAACCAGAATATGTGAACTGAGTGGACACCCGAGGCTGCCACTGGAATGTCTTCTCAGGCCATGAGCTGCAGTGACTGGTAGGGCTGTGTTTACAGTCAGGGCCACCCCGTCACATATACAAAGGAGCTGCCTGCCTGTTTGCTGTGTTGAACTCTTCACTCTGCTGAAGCTCCTAATGGAAAAAGCTTTCTTCTGACTGTGACCCTCTTGAACTGAATCAGACCAACTGGAATCCCAGACCGAGTCTGCTTTCTGTGCCTAGTTGAACGGCAAGCTCGGCATCTGTTGGTTACAAGATCCAGACTTGGGCCGAGCGGTCCCCAGCCCTCTTCATGTTCCGAAGTGTAGTCTTGAGGCCCTGGTGCCGCACTTCTAGCATGTTGGTCTCCTTTAGTGGGGCTATTTTTAATGAGAGAAAATCTGTTCTTTCCAGCATGAAATACATTTAGTCTCCTCAAAGGGACTGCAGGTGTTGACATGAGTTGGAAAGGGAACCCTGGGATACGTGGCGTCCCCTCTATTGGAACAGTCTGAGGACTGAAGGCATTTGTCCCTGGATTTATTGGAGACGGCCCAGCTCCTCCCTCTGAAGGTGGTCACATTCTGTTGACTCTCCATACTCAGCCTCTCCTCCAGAAACAGATCTGTTCCAGAACATTCCAGCACTTTCTATCTGGCCTCCTTGTCCCCACACTACGCCCCCCCACCCTCGCCAGGGCTTCCTCTAGTGACACTGTTAGAGCTAATCTCTGAGACAGGGAAGGCATTACTCACTTAAAACCCAGGCTGAGTCCTGGCCACCTGCTGGATTGTGACATAGGAGGTGGAATCCACTGAACTGCTACTTCTGCACAGGCTCCTTCTCCTGGGGCTGTACCCAGGCCCAGCCCTGATGGCTCACCCTGTCAGGCACCAGCTGCTCCCTCCTGGGCTCTCACCCACCTGCACATCCTCCTTCCTAGCATCACATTACCTGCGTGTTTCCCCAGACAAAAGCACTTCCCATTCTTGAACCTTGCCTACCCTGGGCTGAGCTGACGGCAATAGATTTAATGACAGTGACTCCCAGGAAGGGGGTCCTGTGACTTTGCGCCTTAATAAGAACAAAAGGTGGAATTGGTGACCTAGGAAAACTGTTGAATTCTAAAAAGAATGAAGTTAGTTTCTAACCCTAGTTAATGTTCCTTTTTTATTTTTTGAGTCTTGCCCTGTCACTCAGGGTGGAGTGCGGTGTTATGATCTCAGCTCACTGCAACTTCCGCCTCCCGGGTTTAAGCGATTCTCCTGGGTAGCTGGGATTACAGGTGTGTCCCACCACACCTAGCACATGGGCATATTTGTAATAGAGACAAGGTTTTGCTATGTTGGCCAGGCTGGTCTCGAACTCCTGGCTTCAAGTGATCCACCCACCTCGGCCTCCCAAAGTGCTGGGATTACAGGCATGAGCCACTGTGCCTGGCCCCTTTATTTGATAATTTACACATACATTTTTGTCCAAAACTCTTCTTTATTTCAAGATGATGTTTCTGTGGCTATGTGTGGTATGTGGTATAAATCTCAATCTATGGTCACACGAGGGGCATTTTCCTTGTTGTAAGTGTAGTCTAAACCAGTAGGAAGGAGGTTTAATTGCCAAAACCAGCGAGAACTCGGGCACTGTGGATACTACAGTGGGCAGCTGAACGAGGACCAAGGAGAATGTCTAAGAGGCCTCCAGCCCTGCGCTCAGTGAAGACAGGACAGGAACAACAGAGCATACATACCTTGGAAGGGTGTGTTCTGATATACTCGTATGGAAAGTTCTGACAGGTTTTCTCCCTGGGAAGTGCAGCACATACCCCAACACACTGGCTCTGCCAGTGTGCCAATCCCAGATGGTGCTTGCTTTGTGTGCACCCACACCCAAACCCCTGCCCTCCCATATGCTCTTCTGTGTGCCCAGGTAGGCCCTGCCCTCAGGCAGCAGCTTCTGAACACATTCCTCTTGGCGCAGACAAAAGAAAGTACTTCGTCTGTGGAATTCGAGGCTGAGCCTGAGTTCTAGCACAAGAAGACCGTTGCAGTCCAGAGATGAGAAACTGGACCAGAGGCAAATCATGAACAGAACGGGAGTCAAGAGAAGGGGTTTCTAAGATGGAGAAGTGGGGGCGGGTGTGGATCCAGTGGGATGTGGCTTCCCCAGGTTGCAACCCCAAGGAAGTCTCTGGAAGCAGCACCAGTCCTGATGGGGGAGCAGAAGAGCTGCCATCCTCAGTCAGGGTCCGAGTCAGGGTCCGAGGAGAGCTGCTGCTCCATAGTCTCGCACATGGCATCCTGCAGGGACGTAAGATGACCCCGGGGACTCATCCCCATTGGCTGGATGACTCTGTTCCTGTTGGGGAAAGGTGCAGTGGGGCTGGGGAAGGGGCCCAGTTGGCCAGGCAGGGGTCCTACTCACCCGTGGCTGCTACCTTCCTCTCTACCAAGTAGGCTGCTCCCATTTACTGGGGAAGCCTGGTTGGACCTTCTGTTAACTGGGCCCAAACCCTAACTGCTGCCTCCTGGCTTTAAGCAGTTTCCTATTTTAAACATCTAAATTGGCCTTAAGCAGGCTCTTAATTTGGACACTGGGCCATCTCCAATAAATCTGGCGACATTAGTCTCTTTTTTTTTTTTGAGACGAAGTCTCACTCTGTTGCCAGGCTGGAGTGCGGTGGCACAATGTCAGCTCACTGCAAGCTCTGCCTCCTGGGTTCAAGTGATTCCCCTGCCTCAACCTCCCGAGCAGCTGGGACTACAGGCGCCCACCACCACGCCCAGCTAACTTTTTTTTTGTATTTTAGCAGAGATGGGGTTTCACCATGTTGGCCAGGATGGTCTCGATCTCCTGACCTTGTGATCTACCTGCCTCAGTCTCCCAAAGTGCTGGGATTATAGGCGTGAGCTACCACGCCCGGCCTTAGACAGTCTCTTAATTTCTCTGGGCCTCAGTTATCATCTGTAAAAGGGGCACAATACTGATCTCAATATACCCATCCCCTGGGGGATTTCCTCCAGGGCAAGTGATTTCAAACGTGAGCAATGCAACCTAATACCAGGATCCTAAGCTCTCCTCTGATCCTACCTCCTGGGGCTCACAAGACAGGATGTGG
Organism: Homo sapiens; assembly: GCF_000001405.40. Lineage (NCBI taxonomy): Eukaryota > Metazoa > Chordata > Mammalia > Primates > Hominidae > Homo > Homo sapiens. Next base: position 213,469 of record NC_000011.10, on the reverse strand, counting down.
GTCAGCTCTCCCTTCTCCCAGCTGCAGGCCCCTCCTCCTCATGCCACACACCTGGAGAGCTTGTCAAACATGGTCACCAGCTTCATGGCCTCGTGCTCCTTCTGCTCCTCTGTCATGCCCTCCATAGGGTTAGGCGGCTTCTCCTCCACCCTCCCGGTCACAGGGTTTATGCTGTTTCCCAGTGGGTGGAATGTGGGGAATGCATTAGTGACTCTCCAGGACAGGAGGCAAGCCACCTATTTTCCCAGTGGGGTGAGGTGGGCAAGGCAACTGCAGGAAGAGGCCTCCCTCCAGAAGCGGCACAGGTAACCAGCTCCTGCCATCTGCCACCTTCTGGTATCCCAGATAGCACTTAGGAACAGGTGCTTGATTCTGGAAGCTCTTGCCCATTTGTCATCCTGTCCCACCCTACAGGGGTCCACATGGGTGTGGAAGCAGGGACTATGGGGCTGTGAGTGGAGACCCGAGGGTGTGTTGGGGGTACACACCTGGCTTTGGCTTCCTTGTACTCATCTGTGTCTGTGTCCTCATCCTCTGAGTACTGGCCCTCGGGCCGGCCTCCTGCCATGAGGCCCCTGGCAGCCAGAAGGCCAGCAGCATTCCCATAGCCTGTGTACTTGATGAATCGGGGCACTGAGGGGCAAGGCAGAGGTCAGTGTGCAAGCCTGGCTGAGGTGGGGTGGGCTGGGACCTGGGTCTCCATAACTCACCACTCTCAGAGCACAGGACAAACAAGAACTCGGCAGCCACCCTCTTCACATCTGTGTCCAGGTGTGTCATGAGGCGGACAAGCTTGTTCCGCAGCATCTCCCCAACCTCAGGCCGTGTCCTCACATCCCGCAGAGGGGGCAGCACCTGGGGAGGTGGCCATCCCTAAGCTTGGGCTTAGAGCAGCCAAGGGTCTGTGATCAGGGCCGAAACCACATCCCCCAGGAGCACCAGCTCCTCAGCCTTATACCTGGGCCTTCAGGAACTTCCTGGCTGGGCGGTGCATCCGGGCACATTCAGTCAGCACGCTCAGCACGGGAGCTACACTCTCCTTCAGCCTGTGTGTCTGTAGAGGATTCTCTGTCACTGGGGCTATGCCCCTGCCTAACTTGTGACTGGCACAGAGTTACACCTCCCCACCACCCCTTCCCACCAACATACACAACAGCTGGTCCTGGCGGCAGAGGTTTGGGAAGAGGCCCCTCTGCAGTTAGTCAGCAGAAGGCCAAGAGTGGGTGGTGGGTGTCTGTGTCACTTTTGAAAAGGACAGGGATAGAGCGTAACTCAGAGGTACTCGTAAGCTTTGTGACTTGGGAGAAATAACTGCTTTAAGTCTAATTACTTCAACTATAAACCAGAGCTGGGAAGAAAACACAAAGCAATTAAAGCTTTAGACTCGCACACACATTGCCCTCAGATGTTGGTGGCAAAAAGAAACGAGAACCGAATCCCCGCTCTGTGTACTTCGTGGACAGAGCAGGGAGTTCTTGACCCTCCTAGCATAATGTGCCTGGACCCCAGCACCAGCAGTGGCAGCGACGGGCACAGACAACCCCCTAGCTGTGTGTCCAGTGCCAGCTCCCTATCCTGACTGGCTCGCAGGCACCTTGTGTGTCCCTTGCTTAGGCAGGTAGATTCCCAGGAGGTCTACTAAATCTCGGTTTATTGTACTCCAGCCTGCTTTCTGCAAGCTCCTGGAAGATGGTTAGAGCCCCAGCTGTCCAGATGCCCTGTAGTGCAGTCACAGCAATCAGAAGGAAGCTTTGATCTGAGGTTCCTATGGGTCTCCTCAGGATGCTGAGGGACAACTATGCTTGTAATCAAGGGCTGCCTGTGTTTAAGACTTAAAAGTAGGGACTGGGGGGCTTCTCTGGACCACTCAGTAAAGATCCCCAAAGATTTAAGAAGTGAAACCTTCAAGTGTGTGGAAGGTGTCCACATGCTTCTCATGGAGGAAGGGTCTGGCTTCTTGCCAGGCTGGACCACAGAACAACCGGAAGAGTCGCCCATATCACACCACCAAGACAATCTCCACGTACCAGTGTGGACAGTGTGGAAGCACTGACCACATCTGTGCAGGAGAACCAGTGCCAGAGCCACTGGGGGAGCCTGCACAGCCATCCCCAGCCTACCTTGTGCAAACGCTTCTCTAGGAAGATGAGGAGGGCACGAATCACATCCATATTCACTCCCATGAACTCCGTGGAGTCTCCATGTGGCTCCAGGGTGAGGAGAACATCCAGACACTTGAGGGGCAAGTTCCCCAGGAGGTTCACTGCGTGGCTGGGGACAGATGGAGGTAGGGGTTTCAACAGGGCTAATCCCTGAGCACAGGTGCAATCTTTGTGACTCCGCTGAACCACACATTACATGAGCTGGCATCTGAGTCCCAAAGGGGCAGCGCTAGGGACCAAAGCCAAGGGCAGGGACTGATCTGAGAGGCACTGCCACTCAGCTGTACAGTGGGGTCCCCTGGGGAAGTGGGGGCACTGAGACACACTGCCTCCCCGACCCTGTCTGAGCCAAAGCGCCAGACCATCTCTGGAAACCCAGACCAGCCTAGGGGCAGGTAGACCAAAAACGGGGACAAGGAACCAATGTGCCCTAGTAAGTACCATACTGTTGCCACTACCCAAGGCCCAGTTGGCACATTCCTGCCCCCAAATTCATGGCTATGTCCAGTCTCACTCACCCAGACAACGTCAGACTCTCTAGGGTGGGGCCTGGGCTCTCAGGTGGTTCTGGTTCAGAGCCGGGGTTGAGGACGACCATCTAGACATGTGGGCACACTTCCCTCCCAGAAAAAGCCCCATTCTCACCCGTGGAACTCCTCTGTGCGGTCTCCAGCAGTAGCGATCATCACACAGTGCCGGAGAAGGGTCCCCAGGTGTCGGTAAAGGGCAGCGTCTTCCTGACCAAAGAAAGAAGGGTTCCTGTGAGGAGCCCCACTCATCCCACTGCTGCCTGCTGAGGCTCCACTGTCTGTTGCACTCCAGGACTGTGTGGCAATGACTGTGCACCTCCTGTACTGCATACCTGGTCCCCTGGGGTCTTCCTAGGTGACTCTGGGTAGTGCTGGGGGCAAAAGATGACCACTGCTGTCTTCCTAAAAACTCCATGAGTATTCTTCTAAGAGCACTTCCCTGATTAGGAATGCTAACACATACCTTAGGGATGAAGTCACACTCTGTCTCAGCCCCACTCACAGCCTCATGGTGGAGGATCTCTTACAGTCTCCCCAGACACCACACAGCCCTCCTGCCAGGCAGCAAGAGCCAGAAGGGGCCTCTACTTCCCTCAGAAGCCTTTCCTGAGGTCCCAGCCCAGAACTGGCATCTCCTTGGCCTTGTCCCAACAGGCTGGGAGGTCCTGTCCTCTCCATGTCTGACACCCAGAAACCTGAAGGTACCCAGTAGGAAGCAGGTCCAGGAAATGTTGGAGCTGAGTTGAGACCCATCCATGGGTTAAGGTCAGTGCTCACCTCGTCCACCTCCCCCTTGATGGAGTCCAGGGTGATGTTGAAGAGCACTTTGAGGATCTCCATGGCCCGCTCAGTCTCTTGGGAAGGAAGGAGCGTGGGTGGGGGGTTCCCTTCAGGAGTCACCCCCAGCGTCAGCTCCAGTGTGTCAGTTAGCAGGCGCACTCCTTTCAGCTCCTGAAACAGCTGCTGGCGCACATCGGTGCGGAGTGCCGTTAGCAGGAAGAGGAGCCGCAAGTCAAAGAACTGGACATCGTGGGGGAAGCTCCTCTCACGGTACAGCCCCACACGCTCTGTGAGCTTCACCACTAGGCGGGCCTCTGCTGCCAGCATCTGTGCCACAGGGCTGCTGAGCACGAGGTTGCACAGGCACTTGAGGGACTCCAGTACAACATCCATGTCTGCGGACTCTGGGACGGACCCCTCAGAGACAGAGATGTCAGCATAGCAGGCTAGTGCCTGCAGGCTCTGGCGGCTGGTGAACGGGTCCAGGCAGTTGCGGTCCCGGGACAGGATTCGGACACTCTGCAGCCAGATGACACGGTGGGAGGGTGGCAAGCCCTGTTCCAGGACGGAGACCAGCAGCTCCGCCAGTCTCTGTGGGCAGGGAGAAGAGCGGCTCCACCAGGCCCTTCTTCCTGGGGCCACCCGTCCCTGCCCCTTTACCCCTTGGGCCAGCACCCACCTTCCGGTCCTCCTGTTGGGCATCATCAAACGTGAAGCTCTGGGAGTGCTGCAGAGAGAACTAGTGAATTCAAATCCACAGAGGGGTAGGATCCGCGTCCGCTGATGCGGGCGGCCTATTGGCCTCTAACTCAGGCAGCAGCCACTGCTCAGAACGGATGGCAGGGTCGGCACTCGCCCCCATCCCTACACGCCTGCCACCCAACGGGTGCACCCCCACTCTCCCCGCAACACTGCATCCCAGACCTGCCCCCCGCACCCCGCCGCGTCCCCTACGCTTGCTGACACAGCCTCTGCCTCACCCACGCCCTCCCTGCTACCCGCGCACGACCCTGCCCCACCCCCTCCGTGCCCGCCCCCCGGCCTCAGGCGGCCGCTTACCTCCTGGTTGTATGACCGCAGAGCTTCCATAATCACATCCTCCTCACCCGTCTCCACGGCTTCTGCAACCGCCCGGGGCTCCATGGCGCGCCGGGGAAGGCGGGACGGGCCCTTCCTCAGCCGTTCCGGGCCGCAGTTCGCCGGCCCCGCCCTGGCCCAGAAAGCCCCGCGCCAGCGCGCGGGGGAGGCCGGGACGGGGCGCGGCGTCTGGTGGCGCTTTAACGGGGCGCAGCGTCTGGTGGCGCTTTAAGGGGGCGCGGCCTGAGGCAGAACTGGCGGCTCGGAGGTTTTAAGACCCGAGTCGAGGGGCTGAGTCGCTCTGAACCGAACTGACCCCTCTCCTTGTGACCCGCGCTTCTTGGGCCAGAAGTTCCAACAGGAAACGATCTCAGCCCCCACCGTGCCCTGCCACACACACAGTGACGCCCCTCGAGCTCCACAGAACCGATGGGATGTAGAGGGGAAAGCCGAAGTGGAAAGGAATTTTCAGTCCTGGGCCATTGGGTTCGTTAGGCGTTTGCTGGGGAATGCAGGCGAACGGGATTCCCAGGTCCCTGCCTTTGTGGAGCTTATGTTCCAGAGGGGAAGGGGGACAAGGAAAAACAAAAGGACACGAGGCGGTCACAGGGCTGTGCTTCAAAAGAAGCAAAAGGCGACTGCTGGGCTGCAACGGGCTGTGAGGAAGTGCTGTTTTTGCTGACACCGGACGGTGGGAAGTGAGCCGGGAAAAGACTGGAGGAGCCACTCCAGGCAGAAGGAGCAGCACTTGCAAAGGTGGAGGGGCCGAGAGAAAGGGGAGCAACCCAGTCTGGCCTGGACTCAGTTCCCTCTTGAAAAGCAAAGATCCTGCGTGTCCGTTTCAGTGGCCGTCATGAGGATTCAGTGACGCACAGGAAGCGCGATCCACTCGCTCTTCTAACAAGTGCCCGGGAGCAAAGGCGTCTACGGCCCCCAGTCCCCGCGCCGCCTCCCAGTCTCTCTCCCGGCTTCACTTTCCTGTAGTGCGTTCTGTACGGCTGTATTCGACGCGGCGCGCACTCGCAGGCACGAGCGAGGCGCCGATCTCCACTTGACAGAGGAGGCACCCCTGCCCCCACCACACCCAGTGCTCCTCGCGGGCTTCTGCCCGAGGGGTCTGCTCCTTCCTCATGACCCGCCTGTGAATCCTTCCTAACCGTTAGGACCTAACCCACAGAAGCGTCTTTCCACCACCATCGTCTAGGCACTGAGCAAGCAAACGGCCCCGCCCCGCCCCACGTTCACAGGAACACCAAACGTCACATCCGCGGTGCTGCTGTAATCCCAGCACCTTGGGAGCCCGGCAGGCGGGGGCTGCAGTGAGCTGAGATCGCGCCACTGTCTGCGCGACAGTGCTGAAAATAAGCCACAGATATGCCCATCGCTTCCGCGCCCGGCAGTTCCCCACCCTCGGCCCTAAGCCGGAAGTCAGCGAGCCCGAAGCGGAAGGGGCTGGGCTATCTAGGGGCGTGGTCGGTGCGGAGGCGGGGCCATCGCTAGCTGGGGGCGGGGCCGGAAGCTCTTTCCCCGCGACTGCGCCACGTCTGAGGCGGCTGTGGCCGCGTCGGTGTCCGCGTCGAGGAGCCGGGGCAGGGCACGATGGCGGACTGGGCTCGGGGTGAGCGCGGGAGAGCGGAGCCGTTGGGGGCAGGGCCGGGCCGAAACCGACGCCGCTGCCTGTAGAGCCGCGTGCGCCTGCCTCTGGCCCAGCTGGGGTGACCTCGGCCGAGAGGACCCTGTCAGGGGGGCGGATTCGGATCCTTCCGGGTCCGAGCAGGGCCGGGTTTCGGCCGGCACTGCCGTTAGGACCGAAGGCGCGCGTGGCGGCCCAGCAGCTCCAGCGAGGGGTCGCGCAGCAGCGGGGTCTCCCCACTCCCCGCCGCCCCCTGTGAGATCGTTCTGCATGGGTTCGGGGTGAGCGGGAGTCGGCATTCGACAGGTCCCGAGGCCAGGCCCTAGGAGTAGAGGCTGTGCTCCGCTGGTGTCCAAGCAGGACTCTTACTTTGGCCTCGGTGGCCCCATTTCCCCTCCTGGAGCCCGTGTTCTTGTCTGCAAAGTGGGATATTGATGCCTGTCTCTGTGAGGTGTTATGATGATTAAAGGAATTTATAAATATGAAGTGGCTGGAAGGACGCTGGCATCCCTTCCTGACACTGAAGCTAGGGAGGAGGTGGTTCTCACGCACCTGATGTGACAGAACTTCCTTATCCCCTGGCCCAGCCTGTCACAGGCCAGGCCTCTGCGAGCACTCTGCCCTGGGTGTTGCAGGAAGCCCCATGCGGGATGCAGACCAAGGATCCCGCTCCTGGTCGACCTCAGCTCCCGTCTCGGGGAAATTGGGAACTTTGCTCAGCCATTTTCTGTGCGGTAAAGGGCCTTCCCAATGTTCTGTCCTGGTTCCTTGCCACCTCTTCAGGACCTAGCTCAAAGGTCGTCTCTGCAGGAGCCTTTCTGCTGCCTTGCTGGGTACTTTTCCCAAGTCTTTTCTATGCTCTTAGCAGAGTTTACTCTTTTTCTATAAGAATGGGCTCCACATACACAGATGGTGACCTCCCTGGATGCAAGTGTCACATCATACTAGCACCCCAGGGCTGGGTCCAGTTTTTGCTACACAGTCTCAGAAGGTGCTGGTTGGACCGAACCCATTGTGGGTGCTTGCCCATCCCCACCTTGATGTGTACACAGGACATGTGTTCACATGACAGGCCCTTACACACATCGTCCTTTATGCAGCCTGTCTCATGTGCAAGATTCACCTGCTGGAACCTTGGTTAGGGCCCCCTAGATTTCTGACTCACCCAGATGTGGTTGGAGTGAGAGGGGTCAGGGGCCGTGCTCACCGATGGATGCAACCCTTCAGCCCCTCTCTTTTCTCAGCTCAGAGCCCGGGCGCTGTGGAAGAGATTCTAGACCGGGAGAACAAGCGAATGGCTGACAGCCTGGCCTCCAAAGTCACCAGGCTCAAATCGGTCAGTGGTGGTCTGTCCTCTTACCTCCACCTGGTGCCTTTGGGGAATGGGGATCAGAGGGAAGGCAGAGGGCCCAGAGGAGTTTCAGGCAGTTTTCCATCCTCATCCAATTCGTGGCTGTGCTCACCTGCATGAGGCCCCAGCTGACACCTGGACCTTTCTGTCTGCTGCAGCCCCACTGTGTCTGGCAGAGTTGTTGGCAGGGTTTATCTGGTCTGGGGAGGGTGAGTGCTGTATTATGTGTCTGCTCTGGCCCAACCCTGCCCTCTCTGTCTGCTGAACAGCTCGCCCTGGACATCGATAGGGATGCAGAGGATCAGAACCGGTACCTGGATGGCATGGTAAGGGCCCACGGTGTGCGTGTATCAGTGCCCTGCCCTAGCACTACCTGCTGCAGAGCCTGCAGTGTCTCCTTCAGCACTGGTGCGGGTGGGTGGTCAAATCACCACTTCTGTGTGATCTTGCTGGGATTCCTCCCTTAGGACTCGGATTTCACAAGCATGACCAGCCTGCTTACAGGGAGCGTGAAGCGCTTTTCCACAATGGCAAGGTCCGGACAAGACAACCGGAAGCTTCTATGTGGCATGGCCGTGGGTCTAATTGTGGCCTTCTTCATCCTCTCCTACTTCTTGTCCAGGGCAAGGACGTGAGCCAGTGGGAGCTGGTGTCTGTGGGTGCCAAGGGCAGCCAGGGTCTTCCCTGCCTGGTGTTTTGGGCTCCAGAGGACTTACCTACAAAATACTCCTTTGCAATGATAATTGTGGGTCAGGAATCTTCTTCCTGTGTGGCAGGAGGCTGCGGCTGCCTGTGACCTGATGAGCTCATGTTGGCTGGTCCCATGTGTGAAAGGGACTCTCTCGGGGAAACCAAGGCCCAGCCCCTCCCCCCTCCCCCAGGTGCTAGAGAGCCAGGCAGAGCTGGGGCCACAGCGTGTCTGGAGAAGCCAGGTCTGAGCAGAGCAGCTGGTGAATCCCAGACGTGGCCACCTGTGGCTTGCAGCCCTTCTCCCCGCGCTTGGGACTCTGACATCTTAAGGCTGCACGGTCGTGTCCTTGTCTGGGTGAGGCCATGTCTGTGATCCAAGGTTCCTGGAACTGACACAGGAAGGGGCTGTGAACCCTAAGTGGGTGTCATCTCCTCCGACCGAGGCTTCTCACCCTGGAGATGGCAGTTACTCCTGGCCATGGTTGCTGAGCATGGGCAGACCAGTGGAGGCCACCCTACTGTGTTATCTGCGCCTTCGATGAAGTGAGACCCTTGGGGAGAACGGGCTGTGGATGAAGGAGTGGACTGCAGCCTTGGCCTAGCCACTGGGCTGGGATCTTCTGGGTCATGTGACTGTGTATCCAGGAGCAGAAACTTGTATTCTCAGGATTCAGGATCTACCCAGCACCAAAGATGTATTTTCAGGAGAACAGACCTAGAAATGGGCCTGTCTGGCATTTCAGAGTCAGGCAAAGCAGGCAGGGCCAGGGAGCTTCTGTGGGTCTACACAAGAAGGTTCCTGTGAGGGCTATCAGTTGTTGCCTTCTAGCTTGCTGGTAACTTTGGCGCCTCCGCCAAGCCCTGCCAGACTCCCCTGGCTGTGATGGCATTCTGTGCCATCCTCCTTGTCCCCAGCCTCTGCAGGATGCCCTCCCTACCCACCTCTCCCTGGGCCTTCCCTGTCCACTGGGCTGGATTCATGTTCAAACCACTGGACTGGCAGGGCAACGACTTCTTCCCACCTCAAGATGAGGTCCTCGCCCCCTTGTCTTGGCATAAAAACACCTTTAAAGCATGAGCCATGTGCTTCTTTGCCCTTCTCTGTCCTGTTCCAATCTTCTGCCTCCCAGTCACTCCCTGGGGACTATGGGATCACTGTCCCCCCACCTGTGTGGCCACACCATATGTCCTGTCAATCCAGAACTGCCTCTGAGCTCCAGGCTGACCACAGATCAGCCACAGCCTGATGCCTGCAGCCCCACTTTGCTCACCCTTCCCCTCCCCTCCTCCTTCCTTCCACACAGCAAGCCTACCTTTCTCCATCCATGCTCACCATAGCCCCCTTCCTTGTGACCTGGACCCTCCATTGTACCTGGCTGAGACTGTCAGCCTCCTGGAGGAGTGGGGTCCACCTTCTTCTTGCCCTATGCAGTGCAAGCTCACTTCTCACCCAGCAAGGTTGACTCATCTGCCTCCATGTCTCTGGGGCTTTGCTGTTGCCCTGAAACCTAGCTGGGCTGGTCTTGCTCCCAGCTTGCTTCCCCCTCCTCGGATGTCCCTTTGCAGGCCCCTGTCGTTCCTCCGGCACCAGTGTCCTTGGCTGCCATGGCAAGCTCATCAGGGGCTTGTACCCTGGTCACCAAGCATGGTAGCAGCTGCCTGCATTGTATCTCCATCTGGTCACTGCAGGTGCCAACCCTTCATCCCCCATGTTTTCCTGGGCCATGGAGGGCTGACCTCCGTTTCTGGGGAATGTGGCTGAGCTGTGGTAACCAGCTACACCCCAGGTGCTCTTTCCATGGTGGTGCCTGCTCATCTTGCTGATGCAAACTAGGAAGTTAGGCTGCATCTCGGAGTGGCTTTCGCTGGAGAGGTGCTTTGCTGTCTCTCAGACTCAGTCACTGTGTTCCCTCCCCGCCTCTCTTATCTCCATGGCTGTTTGCAGCTCTCCCAGGTACTTTGGGGTCTGAGCTGGAATTCCTTTGTGGTTTGCTCTTCTGCTTCTCACTCTTGTATTAAGAAGGATTCCACAAAGGGAGAGTGGCATCCCTGCTGCTGCTGTGCCAGACCAGAGTTTCCTGAGGGGCCCTGACCCTAACCCTCCAGCTCAGCCCTGTACACCTGACCCTGTAAATGAGTGGGGTTTGCTGACTGTAATCCCTGACACCAGTAAAACCAAAAGGACTCTTGGGGGCTCAGTGTGAGAGCCAGGGTTACCTACTCTGCCAAGTGAGGACAAACTGCTAGGCTGTATCCCATAATTTCAGGATGAGAAACATTAACAATAAAAATTTGTAGTAAACATAACCTCATGAAGAACTAATCATATGGTCTCTGTCGTCCTCATTTCCTTGGGATTTGAGGGAATTTTGTTTGGAGCTCACCCTGGTCCACAGGCTGGCCATGAGCACTGGTGCTGTAAACCCTGTCCCTTCCCTCATTCACCCCGTGGCTGGCCATGAGCACAGGTGCTGTAAACCCTGCCCCTTCCCTCATTCACCCCATCAGGGTTGACTTTGGGCAGAGCAGCCACAGACTCACCTGAAAGGGGCCTGCCTCTCCACACCTGTGGGTATTTCTCGTCAGGTGGGACGAGAGACTGAGGAAAGAAGACACAGAGACAAAGTATAGAGAAAGAACAGTGGGCCCAGGGGACCGGCACACTAAGCGTGGGAGGACCCGCACTGGTGCCGGTCTCCGGGTTCCCTCAGTATTTATTGATGATTATTTTCACTATCTTGGCAAGGGGAGTGCAGCAGGAGAACAGGGAGAACGGTGATGGTGGGGAGAAGGTCAGAAGGAAAACGTGAGTAAAGGAATCTGTGTCATAAATAAGTTCAAGGGAAGGTACTGTGCCCGGATGTGCACGTAGGCTAGATTTAGGTTTCTCTTTACCCAAACATTTTAGTATAGCAAAGAGTAACAGAGCAGTATCATCGCTAGCATATTTCGCCTCTAGCCACAGGGTGGTTTTCTCCTATCTTAGAATAGAACGAATAATCGAATAATCGGCTTTACACCAAGACATTCCGTTCCCAGGGACATGCGGGAAACAGAGGGCTTCCTCTTATCTCAGCTGCAAAGAGGCCTTCCTCTTTTACGAATCCTCCTCAGCACAGACCCTTTACGGTTGTCGGGCTGGGGGACGGTCAGGTCTTTCCCTTCCCACGAGGCCGTATCTCAGGCTGTCTCAGTTGGGGGAAACCTTGGACAATACCCAGGCTTCCTCGGACAGAGGTCCCTGCAGCTTTCCGCAGTGCATTGTGTCCCTGGTTAATAGAGAATGGAGAATGGTGATGACTTTTACCAAGCATACTGTCTGCAAACATATTGTTAAGAAGGCACACCCTGCATAGCCCTAAATCCCTTAAACCTTGATTTAATACAGCACATGTTTCCGTGAGCACAGGATTAGGGCTAACGTTACAGGTTAACAGCATCTCAAAGCAGAACAATTTTTCTTTGTACAGATCAAGATGGAGTTTCTTTTGTCTTCCTTTTCTAGGTAGGCACAGTAACAGTCTGATCTTTGCCCCACACTCACCCACTTCCTGCTGTGTTACCCTTCCCTGCCCAAGTTCCTGAAACGCAGATGGGGATCCTGATAGCATCACCACTTAGGGAATAAGTGAGTTGGCCGGGCGCGGTGGCTCATGCCTGTAATCTCAACACTTTGGGAAGTCAAGGTGAGTGAATCACAAGGTCAGGAGTTCGAGACCATCCTGACCAACATGGTGAAACCCCGTCTCTACTAAAAATACAAAAATTAGCTGGGTGTGGTGGCACGTGCCTATAATCCCAGCTACTCAGGAGGCTGAGGCAGCAGAATTGCTTGAACCTGGCAGACGGAGGTTGCAGCGAGCTGAGATTGTGCCATTGCACTCCAGCCTGGGCGACAGAGCGAGACTCTGTCTCAGAAAAAAAAAGAAAAAAAAGAGAGTAAACATGAAGTGCTTCGAATACACAGCCTGGCACGATCACAGCGAAGTGAAGGTCAGCAGTTGTACTGTGCTTTATACAGGTGCAGGTGATGGTCCTACCAGTGTGTCTGTTGAGGTCACCCGTCCTAAAGTGACCTCCCTGAAAGCCTGAGTTGAAATCCAGACTCCACTTCTTGAGGCCTGGCCTTGGACTCTTGGGCAGCCTCTGGAAATCCTCCTCTTCAGGCCCAGCGGATACCCCACCTTCCCTGTCCATGTCTTCCTTGTACTCCCTGTATGACCCATTGATGTGTAACAGGTCACCCTAAAACTTCACCTAAAATAGCAATGATTTATCATGTCTCATTGAATTTGAGACGGGGCACGCTTCAGGGTTGGCTGTCTTTGCTCTACAGTGTCGAGGCCTCACTGGGAGATGTGGTCCTGGGGCTGCCTTCACTTGAAGGCTCACTCACAGGTCCAGAGGTCAGTGCTGGTGAGTGGAGGGCCTGGCCGGGCTGACTGCCTGTGGCCGGGCTGACGACTGCCTGTGGCCGGGCCGACTGCCTGGGATGGTGCATTCAGTCTCGCCATGGTTGAGCTTCCTCACAACATGATGGCTGGTGCTGGAGCAAACATGGACACGTGGCAGAAGGGTGGGGGTGGGGTGGGCTCTGGTGTCCAGGCGGAAGCTGTTTCCTTGGTATGTTGTGTGCGTGGCCTCAGGAGCCTGGTGGCATCACTTCTGCCATACCTCATTACTCAGGACACCCACAGGCTATAGTCCAGATTCAAGGGAAGGGACCCAGCATTGCTCAGAGGTGATGAGCACAGGTGTGGCCATCTTTGGGTTCAAGGCAGAAAGCATCAGGAGGGACAGTGTGGAGCAGGGTGTCTGAGGTACTCAGGCCCTACCATCTCTCCCCACACAGACCCTGGGCCCTCCCATCTCACCAAGCTGACCCTGGGCCCTAGAAGGCAGGATGGGACCCCTTGTGGGCAAGTGCTGACAGCCTACGGGGGCTCCTTTCTGGAAATGCTTGATCCTTCCACCAAGACAAACCCTTATTAATGCAATCTGATTTATTAATAATTTGGGCACAGCAGAAAACAAGATTAAAAAATGGTAAAATAGCATAGAAAAAAAGTAACTGATTACAATTGCCCAAACAAGCGTGCTCTGCCCTGCAGGGCCAGGCTGGCCCAGCCCAGCTGGTGAAGACAGCCTCGAGCTCTGTGGCCCGGCGGATCTTGTGTAGATGCCGGGTGTGATGGGGCACAGCAGGGCTGGCGTTATTCCACATCAACCAGCAGGGGAGTCATGTAATCAGAGTGTTTGATGCCGAAGGTGACAACTGGGGCGCAGGGCTTGGTCAGGGTCACCTGGGAGAGGAGGGGCTATGATAGGAACCAGCACCCCTGCCCCCACCTGCAGGTCTCTGCCCTGGCTGGGGCTGGGCTGCTGTCCTTCCTGAACCTGGGGCCAAGGTGGCCAGAAGCTATGCTCCCAGGTTTGAACACAGAGCACTCAGCAGTAGTAGCTGTCACAGTGTCTAGGGAAAAGGGCAGGGTCTCTGCTTCCATGTCCCTGAAGGGTTACCTGTGGGCCTAGTGCTGGAAATGTACAGGGTCCTCAGGGTGCAGGTGCCTCCCATCCCCACCCCACCCCTCCACCCCTTCTTGGCTGTGTCCTTCCATAGCCTGACCCTGTTTCCCCTCGTCTGTGTCCCAGCCCCCCTCCCTGCTCTTTCCTACACATCCCTCTGGGCCAGGACCCTGCCCCACCCTGACCCCTCTGAGCTGTGCTCTTCCTGGACCTTCTCAGGGCTGTGGGCGCCTGGTCCTGGCTTGAGGGTCTTGTCCCCTGGGGGCTCCACACGGGCAGCCATGGTGTACTGCGGAGCCTTGAACTTGGTCACCCGCACATCAGTTTGGCGGTAGGCTGCGGGACCTGGGGTCTGAGAGGTAAAGGAGGCTCAGACCAACTCGGCCTACCCAGGGCGTGTGGCCCTAGAGGACAGGGAGCAAACTCAGGCTCTGAGTCAACAGGGTCAGCTACAAGTTGGTGCCCGTGCATCAAGGTCCCCTTCTGTCTTCTGTCACACTGTGGAGATCACACCCCACTGCTTGTGGGGTACCTCATGTGGGGGTCACTTCCTCCATTTCAGCCTCACGCTGGCAATGGCATCCCCAGTGTGTGCCAGTCCTGGGAACATCGCTGAGCGTGTGTGAGAGAGGCTGTTGCTGCCCTGTTGGACCTGAGGGCCTGGGGCTGGCAAAATCAACATGGACGAGGGCTGTTGGGTGCCATGATGCTGCTTCCCCATCTCAGGCCCCTCAAGCTCTCAGGCATGTGCCACCCAGGGGCTTTGCACTGGCTGTTTCTGAAACCAGGACCCTCCTCCCCCAAATAGCTCATGGTTTATTTTTTCCTCCTCCTCTTCTTTCCATGCTACCCTATCTAAGATTGCCTCTCTCTCTCCAGACAGTGCTTCCTAAACCCCATCTCTTGTCCTCAGCACGGTCCATGCTGGGGCCAGGGCGTCTCCCTTCTGGCCTGTTGCCTGCCCCTCCTCACCACTGCAGTGTAACCCCAGCACGTGGCAGGTGCCCAGAGGGTGAAGGGCTGAGGGGGCTGAGGGGCATTGGCAAGGCAGGGCCGAACTGGTGGGTCCTGGGTTCCGGGGGAGGGTTCAGATGGTTGGGGGTGATTCTCTGTTCTCAGTTGGGGTGGCCCTTGCCTTGTGTAGGTCGTCGCTGAAGCCGCCCAGCTTGCTGCGGCCCTTGATGGAAAAGGAGGGCTGGGAGGCCTTGCCGACGGTATTGGGCCCCATTACCATGGGCAGCATGTACGCAGCGGGGCCTGCAGGGTGGACGTGGAGCCTCAGGCCGGAACAGGGCCCACTGCTCCTTCCCTGGGGCTCTCCCCCAACTCTGGAGATCAGCCGTCGGGCTGCCCCATGTCACACACCCCACCCAGGATCCCCAGGTCCATTTGGCTGAGGATGGTTGGGGCTGCTGCGGACCTGGGGTGCTGTCCACTCGGAATGCCTTTGTCCGGGCAGAGATGGAGTGGCTGGGTGCTGAGTCGAACACGTACTTGGTGGATTTCTCTGGAAAGTAGTCACCTGGACAAGGAGCCAAGGGGGCTGCTGGGACAAGCAGGTGGGTATGCAGCCCAGTTTGGGGGCTCAAGGAGGACTCCCCAACATTCTAGGCGTGGGGCCTCTGGGCTCCAACACAGGTGGTGACCAAGTCGGGTCAGGGGGTGTCCAGGATGGAAATGCTGACTTCAGGGCTGGTGAGACAAAGGCTATTTTTGAGCAGGGAGAGTGGGGTCTGACGTCGGCCTGGCAGAGAAAGGTCCAGGTCGGAGCTGGACTCTTGGGCCAGAGTCTTCTCTGCCCAGGCACGATGGTGACCCCTCAAGAGAGAAAGATGGGACGGGAGGGGCCAGGATGGCTGAGCTCTCCCACACCCTTGCTGACATGAGGTTAGGGGCACCCAGCAGGGAGGGGCAGGCCTGAGGCTGCGCAGGGCAGGAGCCTGAGACAGGGTCACTAACCTGGACCAGGAGTCAGCATGGTCTTGGTTTGGTAGCGCCCCAGGATGGAGTAGGCAGGGCCAAGGTCCTTGCCAGTCCTCAGTATCTTGGGGTTTACATTGTAACGGGGCCCTGGGGAGCAGTTCTCTGCCAGGAGCATGGGGGCCCCACGGAAGCTGTAGGCCGGTGCACGCAGCTTGGTGGGCGTGTGCTTCATGAAGCCTGTGGACGCAATGGGCCCTGAGCAGCCCGGAGCCTGACCTGCCCTTCTCCCCGCTGGGAGTCAGGGATTGAGCCCCAGGCCCTTCCCGGGACCCCCACCTGCCCGCCTGGCTCCTGACCCTCTCCCACAGTCTCTCAGGCTCTTACCTGTTGTTGGTGGAATCAGGTACTTGGGTCCAGGGCTGCTGTAGAGGGCCATGATGGGTCCCCGGGGGCGATGGGGCCTCCAGGTACCCATCCATACCTCCTCCGTCATGGCCAGCTCTGTCCGTAAGTGAGAGGGTTACCAGGTGCTGGGAGGCCCGGCCCTGTCCCATGCCGGCCCCTGATGTCCCCGACCCTGCTCTTGCTGACACTGAAGGGTAAGACCTGCGGAACCTGCTGCAGCATCAGTGGGGATCTCCAGCTGGGAGCCAGGAGTCAGGGACAGTAGGAGCTTTCTGCATGGGTCTGTGAGCTCCTCACCAGCTTAACTGTAACCCAGAGTTGCTGTCCATGCTGGCCCTTAACTCACCACTGTTCTCGGCTCTAAGGGAGCCCTGGGCCGGTTTCTCCTACTTGGAGTGGTCAAAGATGGGGAACTTCTTGATTGAGGCTGAGCTGAGGGGCAGGGAGGGGGCCGCCTGGGAGGGAACTATAACTTCTTCAGTGCAGGGACAGCACTCAGAGCAGCCTAGAGACCCATCCTCATCAGAGACTGTCCTTTCCCCCCTGGCCTTGGTGCCAGGGAGTTCCCGCAAAAGGAGCATGGAGAGAAAGGCCTTCCTCTCTCCTCATGGGCTTACAGAATTGGGGAGAGGTCCCCCACTCTAAACTCTAGAATGTGGCTCTGTGGGATGACAGGTTCTAGATTCTGTCTATGTGACCAAGACAATGGCTTCTGCCTTTGATCCCCTCACCAGATCTCACCACCAGGTCCCCCCAACAGGACACCCCTATAAGTCCCCCTGACCATGTTCCCCTCACCATGTTCCCCTCACCAGGTCCTCCTCACCAGGTCCCCTCACCAAGGCTCCCCACCCATGTCCTCCTCACCAGGTCCCCTCACCAGGTCCCCTCACCAAGGTCCCCCCCATGTCCCCTCACCAGGTCCCCTCACCAAGGTCCCCCCCATGTCCCCTCACCAGGTCCCCTCACCAAGGTCCCCCCCATGTCCCCTCACCAGGTCCCCTCACCAAGGTCCCCCCCATGTCCCCTCACCAGGTCCTCCTCACCAAGGTCCCCCCCATGTCCCCTCACCAGGTCCCCTCACCAAGGTCCCCCCCATGTCCTCCTCACCAGGTCCCCTCACCAAGGTCCCCCTCATGTCCCCTCACCAGGTCCCCTCACCAAGGTCCCCCCCATGTCCCCTCACCAGGTCCTCCTCACCAAGGTCCCCCCCATGTCCCCTCACCAGGTCCCCTCACCAAGGTCCCCCCCTATGTCCCCTCACCAGGTCCCCTCACCAGGTCCCCTCACCAAGGTCCCCCCCATGTCCCCTCACCAGGTCCCCTCACCAAGGTCCCCCCCATGTCCTCCTCACCAGGTCCCCTCACCAAGGTCCCCCCCATGTCCCCTCACCAGGTCCGCTCACCAAGGTCCCCCTATGTCCCCTCACCAGGTCCCCTCACCAAGGTCCCCCCCATGTCCCCTCACCAGGTCCTCCTCACCAGGTTTCCCTAAGTTCCCTCACCAGACCACCCCTCACCAGGCCCCCTCACCATGTTTCTTTCACCAGGTCCCCTCAACCAGGCACCCACCCATGAAGTCCCCCTCACTGGGTCCCCTCACCAGGTCCCCTGTAACCAAGTCCTCCAGGGCCCCCTCCCTAGGGCTCCCTCAGCCAAATGGAAATCCAGGCAGATACCATGTAGGCAGGTGGGACAGAGCACAGAGCCGACAGCACCGCATGGCCCCCTTGCCAGGCTCAGACAGGACAGAGGTGTGGAGAGGAGGGCCGGGGCAGTGAAGTGTCAGGGCTCAGCACCCAGGGTGGCCAAGGATGGGGCGGTTCCACTCAGCTGTGCCCCCAGAAGAGACCATAGATTGGGCAGCTGAAATGCTGGAAGGTTCTGGCTGTGGGAGAGTCTGGGATCCAGGGTCAGGATCAGGGTCTGTGCTGGTTGTGGTGGGTGTGAGTCAGTGTGGGCGCTGGGGCTGCCCTGGCTGACCTCAGAGGCTGCTCACCTGCGGCTCCCAACCCCCTTGGACATGGGTGTACCTTTTTCTTGGCCTTGTCAGGGGTCCTCTTGGGGCTCGACACCAGCTTTCAGATGCTGAGCACCCCCGCCCTGACCTAGCCCATGGGCGACATGGGGTCTGTGTCCACCCAGTCCTGGACACTTCCTCTTTCTGGGGCTCCCACCTCATACCGCTGCCTCTGCCGCCCGTCTCCCTCCGGACGCCCCCTCCAGACGCCCCCTCCGGACGACCACGCAGTGTTGTCTGGCTCTGTGCTCTGTCCACCTGCCTACGTGGCGTCTGCCTGGATTTCCATTTTGGGTCTTGCCTGTGGTGTGCCTGCTCCTGTGTGGACCCTGTGTGTACCTCTGTGGGGACTTTCACACGTGTGTTCCTTGAGTGGGATCCTCTGTATGTGGGTCTGTGTGTGTGGCTGTGGCCCTGTGTTCCTGATGTCCCCATTTGTGTGTACCTCTGTGGGGACTTTCACACGTGTGTTCCTTGAGTGGGATCCTCTGTATGTGGGTCTGTGTGTGTGGCTGTGGCCCTGTGTTCCTGATGTCCCCATTTGTGTGTCCCTCTGTGGGGGACTTTCGCACGTGTGCTCCTTGAGTAGGATCCTCTGTATGTGGGTCTGTGTGTGTGGCTGTGGCCCTGTGTTCCTGATGTCCCCATTTGTGTGTCCCTCTGTGGGGACTTTCGCACGTGTGCTCCTTGAGTGGGATCCTCTGTATGTGGGTCTGTGTGTGTGGCTGTGGCCCCGAGTGTGTTCCTGATGTCCCCATTTGTGTGCCCCTCTGTGGGGGCAGAGACAGGAGCCTGAGCTGCGGAAGAGGCTTTATTGATTAAACGGTTTGAGGATACATTTCCATGTGGGAGGTGGTAGTGGGCGTTGTGTCCACGGCTGCTTGTGTGGCAGGTCCTATGGCTGAGCCATGTCTGAGGTCCACTTAGGCACCGTCCTGACTGCCCAGCACTTGCACCTGGAAGGCAGACACATGTGGACTAAGAGGGCTGTGCTCAATAAGTGGAGAGCCACAGCTCCATCAGGCAAGCAAGGCCCTCAGTGGGGGGGGGTCTGGCATATTGCTGCCTATCTCCTCCCAGCAGCTGGGAGGTGTGTGTGCACATGTGATGGTGTGCACACATGTATGTGTGTGCATATCCCAGTGTGAGCATGTGGGTGTGAACGTGTTTATACATGTGTGCACGCAGTGTACATTTCATGTCTGCACCTGTGTTTGGATCTCTGTGTATGTTCACATGTGTGCATGGAGGAGTATCCCACAGACTGGGGAGGAGGTCTATGGAGTCTGGGGGCTGCTCGGTGGACAGGAGGTCTGGGGTGTCCACCTGAGCTGGCTGATGCGGGTGCAATGTCTGTGGGTGGTGGATGTCTGTGGGTGGGGTAGGCTGTGTGGGTGCTGTGTTGGGTGGTCTTGGTAAGGCTGCAGATCTTTAGAAAATGGGGTGCCCGCCGCCCTCATACCAGCAGCTTGACCAGCTCCGCCTTGTGCATTGGCTGCAGGCCATCTATACAGGACTTGAGTTCAGTCATTGCTGCCTTGGCATCTTCGTTGACATTGTACTTGCCCAAGGTCCCCTCATAGAGCTCCTCTGGGGTCCCCACCAGTAGTGTTTGCAGGAAGTCCATGAAAAACTCATCGTTGTCCTCCCCTGTGGCCATCCCTGCATCACGAGCGAGATGATGCCAGGACAGGACAGGGTGACTCTGGTGCAACCACAGCCCTGGACCTGCCCCAGGGCTCCAACCTCCATGGTCTCCAGACCTTCCCCTTCAATGCCCACCTCTCCTCCCCAGGGCTTCCTCCACAACACCTCCAACTCCACCTTGCCCGAAGACCCCTCCACATCCCCCTTAATCTTAGCTGCTCCAATTTCCACTCAGCATTCCCTGGGATCACCAGGGAAGGAAAGTTAAGCTCCTGGTGTGGGGGAAATTTCCCCTGATGAGAGGCTATTATGACCAGAGGCTTGAAGGGTCAGGTCAGGCTGGACTGGGCTGGGGTAGGAGACACTGGGCTGGTGTTGGGTCAGCTGGGCTTTGTCCTTGGTTGGGGTGGAGTAGGGTGGGCGCGGGTTCTGCAGGGTCCTTGCCCACTTCTGTGACAGAAGCAGGTGGAGTGTTCACTGCAGAGGCCCGATGCCAGGATTTTACCTTCTCAGGTACCCCCCACTCCCCCCCACCCCTGAATGTTCTGGAAACCCCAGTGGCACAGACTCACGGCAGATGCAGAACAGGGTGAGGGCCACCAGCAGGAGGGCACGGCTCCCCTTCATGCCAGCAGTCTCAGGAGCTGCCTCCAGCCAGAATCCCGGGATTTTATGCCTCACCGGACAGCACCTCTCCTAGAGGGCGGACCGGACCTGCCCATTAGGACCCGGCAGCCAGCTTAGATGAGGTTTGTTCACATCCCTGGCCCCCAGTGGGTGCCAAGCAGCAACAGGCATGGAGTGGCTGTGTGACAGGTGGTTGGCAAGCGGCTTTAGGGTGTGTGAGAGAGAGAACAGGTGTGTTAGGAGGGAACACTGGTGAGAGGCCATGCCAACTGATCGGTGAAGAAGGCAGTGGGTCCTGGCCACCAAGGGCCTCTAGTCATGCCTGCCCTTGAGGCCGAGAGTGGTGGGATCTGGGGTTGGTCCCACGCCTTTCTTTTAAGGTGCGAATCCCTCCTCTTATCAGTGTGCTGTGTGATCTGGGTCTGCATCTGGGGGTCTCCAATCAGGCAGGGGCCCCTTACTACTCAGATGGGGTGGCCGAGTAGGGGAAGGGGGTGCAGGCTGCACGAGTGGACACAGCTGTAGGACTACCTGGGGGCTGTGGATCTATGGGGTGGGGAGAAGCCCAGTGACAGTGCCTAGAAGAGAGAAGGTGGCCTGAGAGGGTCTGAGGAACATAGAGCTGGCCATGTTGGGGCCAGGTCTCAGCAGGAAGTGAGGAATGGGACAGGCTTGAGGTACATCTTCCATCAGTAGCCAGGATAGCAAGGAGGGCTTGGGGTTGCTATCCTGGGGTTCAACCCCCCAGGTTGAAGGCCCTGGGGGAGATGGTCCCAGGACATATTACAATGGACACAGGAGGTTGGGACACCTGGAGTCACCAAACAAAACCATGCCAAGAGAGACCATGAGTAGGGGTGTCCCAGTCCAGCCCTCTGACTGAGCTGCATTGTTCAAATCCAAAGGGCCCCTGCTGCCACCTAGTGGCTGATGGCATCCACATGGCCCTGGGCCACACGCGTTTAGGGTCTCTGTGAAGACCAAGATCCTTGTTACATTGAACGACTCCTAAATGAGCAGAGATTTCCACCTATTCGAAACAATCACATAAAATCCCATCCTGGAAAAAGCCTGGGGGATGGCACTAAGGCTAGGGATAGGGTGGGATGAAGATTATAGTTACAGTAAGGGGTTTAGGGTTAGGGATCAACGTTGGTTAGGAGTCAGGGATACAGTAGGGTCACCGGTAAGGGTTAGGGGTTAGGGGTAGGGGTTAGGGTTAGGGTTAGGGTTAGGGGTTAGGGGTTAGGGTTAGGGTTAGGGTTAGGGTTAGGGGTTAGGGGTTAGGGTTAGGGTTAGGTTTTGGGGTGGCGTATTTTGGTCTTATACGCTGTGTTCCACTGGCAATGAAAAGAGTTCTTGTTTTTCCTTCAGCAATTTGTCATTTTTAAAAGAGTTTAGCAATTCTAACAGATATAGACCAGCTGTGCTATCTCATTGTGGTTTTCAATTGTAACCACATTGTGGTTTCAATGTGTTTACTTGCCATCTGTAGATCTTCTTTGGTGAGGTGTCTGTTCAGATGTGTGTGCATTTTTAGTTGGGCTGTTTAACTTATTGTTTAGTTTTAATAATTTTTTATATATTTTGAAGACAAATTCTTTCTCAGATGTGTATTTTGCAAATATTTTCTTCAATATGTGGCTTGTCTTTTTGTTCTCTTAACAAGGTCTCTTCCAGAGTATAAACTTTAAATATTAAGAAATCCACACTGTCACTTCTTTTGTGTATATCTACCTTTTGTGTCATTTGTTAAAATTCATTACCAAACCCAAAGGCAGATAGCTTTTCTTCTATTGTTTCTTCTAGAAATTGTATAGTTTTGCATTTTTAGTGTAAGGATGATTTTGAGTGATTATTTGTGTAAGTTGTAAAGTTTTCGTCTATATCCATATCATTTCTTATGGTTTCCAATTAATCGTTCCCTCACTATTTTTGGGAAAGACACAGGATAGTGGGCTTTGTTAGAGTAGATAGGTAGCTAGACATGAACAGGAGGGGGCCTCCTGGAAAAGGGAAAGTCTGGGAAGGCTCACCTGGAGGGACCACCAAAAATTCACATATTAGTAGCATCTCTAGTGCTGGAGTGGATGGGCACTTGTCAATTGTGGGTAGGAGGGAAAAGAGGTACCTATGCAGAAAGAAACACCCTAGAACTCCTCTGAAGATGCCCCAATCATTCACTCTGCAATAAAAATGTCAGAATATTGCTAGCTACATGCTGATAAGGCCAAAGGGGACATTCTTAAGAGAAACCTGGCACCATAAGTACAGATTAGGGCAGAGAAGGACATTCAAAAGAGGCAGGCGCAGTAGGTACAAACGTGATCGCTGTCAGTGTGCCTGGGATGGCGGGAAGGAGGCTGGTGCCAGAGTGGATTCGTATTGATCACCACACATGTACCTCAACCAACAGTGAGGAGGTCCCACAAGCCTAAGTGGGGCAAGTTGGGGAGCTAAGGCAGTAGCAGGAAAACCAGACAAAGAAAACAGGTGGAGACTTGAGACAGAGGCAGGAATGTGAAGAAATCCAAAATAAAATTCCCTGCACAGGACTCTTAGGCTGTTTTAATGCACGCTCAGCCCACTCCTCCCTATTTTTCTACAATAAACTCTTTACACTGTGTTTCTTTTCAATGAAGTTATCTGCCATCTTTGTATTGCCTCTTGGTGAAAATGTTTCTTCCAAGTTAAACAAGAACTGGGACATCAGCTCTCCCCAATAATAGCTCCGTTTCAGTTTGAATTTACAGAACTGATGGGGCTTAATAACTGGCGCTCTGACTTTAGTGGTGCAGGAGGCCGTCACACCGGGACCAAGAGTGCCCTGCCTAGTCCCCATCTGCCCGCAGGTGGCGTGCTGCCACGACACCGACAGCAATAGGGTCCGGCAGTGTCCCCAGCTGCCAGCAGGGGGCGTACGACGACTACACTGTGAGCAAGAGGGCCCTGCAGTGTCCTCAGCTGCCAGCAGGCGGCGTACGGGCACCACACCATGAGCAAGAGGACCATGCAGTGCCCTGGTTGCCAGCAGGGGTCGTGCTGCCACTACACTGTGAGCAAGAGGATCCTGTCGTGCCCCCAGCGGCCAGAAGAGGGCGTGCCCCGACTACACTGCAAGCAAGAGGGCCTGGCAGTGTCCCCATCTGCCAGCAGGCGGGCGTGCTGCCACTACACTGTGAGCAAGAGGGCCCTGCAACGTCCCTAGCTGCCTGCAGGCGGCGTGCCGCCACTATATTGCGAGCAAGAGAGCCCTGCAGTGCCCCGGCGCCAGCAGGGGGCGCTGGCCACCACTGTAAGCAAGAGGGCCCTGCAGTTGCCCTAGTCGCTAGCAGGGGGCGCACTGGGACAGCACCGCGGGCAAGCGGGTCCTGTAGTGCCCGGCTGCAAGCAGGGGGCGCCCGAGCCCGGCTTTTTGGATTACTGAGGTTCAACCCGTCTCTGCGCCGCGCCCCCGAGGACGTGCGTCTCTGCGCCTACAACGCTCCACCCCCGCGCTCTCGTCCCGGTGGCGCGTGACTCTGCGTCTGCACCACCCACCTCCCCCCAAACCCACAGCCTAACGACGTGCGTCTCTGCGCCTGCGCCGCGCCTCCCCCCGCCCCCCAGGGGACGCGCCACTGTGCGCCGGCGCCCGCGCGCCGCGCCTCTGTGCGCCTGCGCCGGCGCGCCGCGTCTCTGTCAATTTAGAAAGCTTATTTTGCCAAGATTAAGGACACGACCATGACACAGCCTCAGGAGGTCCTGACGACGTGTGTCCAAGGTGGCCAGGGTAGAGCTTGCTTTTGTACATTTTAGGGATACATGAGACGTGTAAGATGTACAGTCATTTGGCCCAGTAAGGCGGGACAACTGGAAGCAGGAAGTGGGGGTGCTTCCAGGTCAGAAGTAGGTTAGAGACAAAAGGTTGCATTCTTTTGAATCCTTCATCAGCCTTCCACTGAATACACAATTTAGTCTGGCTCAATGAATCTGCATTTTTACATAAATAATAGGGCAGAGGAAGCAATCAGATATGCATCTGTCTCAGGTGAGGGATGACTTTGAGTGCTGTCTGTCCTTTGTCCAAAAGGAAATTCTTTGTGGGCAAATTGTGAGTGAGGTATGTAGCTTTTTATCTTTGTAGCTATCTTAGTTAGGAATAGAATGAGGGCAGGTTTGCCTGACATAGCTCCCAGCTTGACTTTTCCCTTGGCTTAGTGATTTGGGGGTCCTGAGATTTATTTTCCTTTCATGGTATCAGAACAGAGAAAAGGTAATGCGTTGAGCCATGAGCTTATGACAAGATGGCTAGGAAGGAATTTTTCAGCTCCATTTTTATGTCATGGGACCACCATCATATGTATGCAATGCACGAGTGTAAAATCACATTTAGTTAAGTCAGCTTACACTAAGCTATGGACCCAGATGGTCCTGGGGCCTTTTTCCACTGGGAGATCTTTAAGGACCTTTCTTAGCTTTTCTATGCTAATTGGTATATTCATAGTTGCCTTATTTCAGGGCCCATTTTGTTAATGTGTATTTTTACTAGGAAATCACCCATTTTTTCTAGGTTTCCAGTTTGATGCAATTATTTGACTTTTAATTTCTCCTCTGTTTTTAGTTTTGTACATAATTTTCCTATCTACTTTTGCACTCTTTTTTCCATCAACAATATTTTTAAAATATACTTTTTAGCTTTTTTTGAAGAATTGTTATGTTTGACAATTTTTTATGACCTAATCATGACCGTAAATGATTTTTAATTAATTTCAGCTTAATGTCTTTTGTAGGGCACAACTGTTAAAATACAGAATTACAACAAATGTGGGTTTGCAGATCTTAATTGGCTTTTTTTTGTGGTTCTAGAATCAGGCAGCAGTCCAGACCAAAAATGGTTCAGAATGATCTGCCACACAACATGTGCGGGTTATATTTATAGCCAGAGGAAAAAAGTGACATACAGAAAACAGAAGTGAGGTATAGAGGTGGCTGGATTGGTTACAGACCTGGTTACAGCCCGGATTTGCCTTCTTGGAACTTGTTTTGAACAGCTGGCTGCCGGCCATTGACTGACACTCGGCTGATGTGATTGGCTGAACCGCCGCTATTTGTTACCATGATACATTCCCAAGTCAGATTTTCAGTTTGTTTCTATACTAAATTAGGTTGCGATTCTTCTTGTTCTTCTTCTTTTTTCTTTTTTGAGGCGGAGTCTCGCTCTGTCGCCCAGGCTGGAGTGCAGTGGCGCGATCTCAGCTCACAGCAAGCTCCGCCTCCCAGGTTCACGCCATTCTCCTGTCCCGGCCTCCCGAGTAGCTGGGACTGCAGGCTGCCGCCACCAAGCCCGGCTAATTTTTTTGTATTTTTTTTTTTTAGTAGAGACTGGGTTTCACCTTGTAAGCCATGATGGTCTCGATTTCCTGACCTCATGAGCCACCCGTCTCGGCCTCCCAAAGTGCTGGGATTACAGGCGTGAGCCACGGCGCCCGGCCGCGACTCTTTACAAGGACTCCTCGGGAGGCTTCCAGAGCCCAAATGTTGTTTGATGTAAGAATTCCTCCCTTTTGGTCAGCCTCTCAATTTTGAGATATTGATCAAAACTTTGGGCATTGGTGTCACTCTTTGTTGTCGTTGTAAATTGAGTTATTAGGACTTATTTGCTTTCAGTGTGGCATTTTCAAGTTTTATTTGGTCTCAGTGCCCTCTGGGCAATAGCAGAACACTGTGTTGTGTAAGGCGGAAATAGAGCAATAGAAAATAACAACTGATTTGTTAATATCAGATTACTTCAAGTTACTTGTTTTGGTAAGAATTAAAGCAGAGGGGACTTCTTTATGCTGACTCAGGTAGACTGGAATCTCTTCAGGGAAAAAGGGAGCTCTTTTGGGATCTATCTACTTCCTTAGAGTTTCAGCTTCGTTGTGTGTCATTCAGCGTGAGTGTCTCCATTCTGATTTTGCCTGCTCAGTGTGGCCTAGTGCGGGAGTGGTGACCGAAACAATGACCTCCCGTAGTTTGTTCCACAGTTCTCCCCTTTTGGTTGGGTTCCTGCCTAGGTGAGGGTGTGACTAAAACCTTAGGGCATTAGCGGTATTCTCAGTAACTATCATTTTAGGTTTCCGGTCTTAGGGCATTAGCACTATTCTCAGTAACTATCATTTTAGGGTTCCGGTCTTAGGGCATTAGCACTATTCTCAGTGACTATCATTTTAGGGTTCCGGTCTTAGGACATTAGCGGTATTCTCAGTAACTATCATTTTAGGGTTCCGGTCTTAGGGCATTAGCGGTATTCTCAGTAACTATCATTTTAGGGTTCCGGTCTTAGGGCATTAGCGGTATTCTCAGTAACTATCATTTTAGGGTTCCGGTCTTAGGGCATTAGCACTATTCTCAGTAACTATCATTTTAGGGTTCCGGTCTTAGGGCATTAGCGGTATTCTCAGTAACTATCATTTTAGGGTTCCGGTCTTAGGGCATTAGCGGTATTCTCAGTAACTATCATTTTAGGGTTCCAGTCTTAGGGCATTAGCAGTATTCTCAGTGACTATCATTTTAGGGTTCCGGTCTTAGGGCATTAGCACTATTCTCAGTAACTATCATTTTAGGGTTCTGGTCTTAGGGCATTAGCAGTATTCTCAGTGACTATCATTTTAGGTTTCCGGTCTTACGGCATTAGCGGTATTCTCAGTAACTATCATTTTAGGGTTCCGGTGTTAGGGCATTAGCACTATTCTCAGTAACTATCATTTTAGGGTTCCGGTCTTAGGGCATTAGCAGTATTCTCAGTAACTACCATTTTAGGGTTCCGGTCTTAGGGCATTAGCACTATTCTCAGTAACTATCATTTTAGGGTTCCGGTCTTAGGGCATTAGCAGTATTCTCAGTAACTATCATTTTAGGTTTCCGGTCTCAACACATCATTTAAGAAGTCAGTAAAGCTTTCTTCTACTGTGACAGCATATTTAATACTGAGAAAGAAAAGAAAATTTTTATCTTGCGAATGTGAGCTTCCTCTAAATTATCAGGTCCAGAGAGGCGTGGGAATGAGGCAGCAGTCACGTCCCATTTCCCTCTTAGCTAAGTAATCATATCTTGAAGCTGCTTGCTATGTAGACTAGACTGACTGTCATCAGCTATAGATTAACCTAAGAGTGTCTTTGAATATTTTTTCCAGTGGCAAATATTTGCTTCTGTTGTATCGTAGCTGAAAGGAATGCTGGGAAACAAAATAAAGACAAGCATTCATTAGAATAAGTGATCCAGTCACAATGAATCAATTTGAACTTTTTTTTTTTTCACAAAGTCATACTTTGAAAACTTCCAGCCGTAAATTGAAATAGTCTCCAAAATGTGAATTTTTTTCCCTGGTTCTAAGATGACCAGCTTTCTTAGAGAGTGAACTACACCATAAGAAAAATGATATGACCATGTTTACACATATATGTTATCTTAACATAAAACATGTAAAAGGGGCATTTCTTTGAAAGTATATATTAGTCTGTATAATTTACTTTGCAGTATCATGAATGCTCTTATTTTTAAAAGTAGGAGTAGTTACTGTCAATTACTAATTTTTAGTACAAATAATTTAGCAGATATCTGAAAAAATTACAATTTTTAAATAGAGGTTTTATTTTAAATTAGTTTTAGATTCATACAGAAATTGGGAAGAAAATGCAGATTTCCCATGTAGACGCAACCTAGTTTCCCCTCTTTTTAACATATCAACATGTATCAGATAGGTTTAACATCTTTTTTTTTTTTTTTTTCCAGACCAGGTTTTTTTTTTTTTCAACCAGGCTGGAGTGCAGTGGCGTGATCTCGGCTCACTGCAACCTCCGCCTCCCAGGTTCAAGCGATTCTCCTGCCTCAGCCTCCTGAGTAGCTGGTATTACAGGCGCCTGCCATCATGCCCGGCTAATTTTTGTATTTTTAGTAGAGATGAGGTTTCACCACGTTGGCCAGGCTGGTCTCGAACTCCTGATCTCAGGTGATCTGCCCGCCTCAGCCTCCCAAAGTGCTGGGATTACAGGCATGAGCCACCACTCCTGACCAACATCTTACATCATTTCTTGTCATACTTAATGACTGGATATTACTATATTATTAAATAAGCTCACATCTTATTTGGTTTCCCTTAGTTCTGCCTTTTTCTCTCCCAGGATCCTATCTAGGATCCCATAGGACATTTAGTCATCATGTCAGGCTCTTCTTGGCTGTGACAGTCTCTCAGACTTTACTTCTGAGGACCTGGAACAGTGTTAGGAGGATTGGTCAGGTATTGTGTAGAATGTCCTCCATTGTGGTTTACTTGGGGTTTTTCTCATAATCAGCCTGGGTTTAGGGGTTTGGGGGAAGCAGAGCAGATGTGTAGTGTGTCCACAAAAAGAGTCAAAGACTGTAAAATATTTGAAGAGATGTATTCTGAGCCAAATATGAGTGACCATGGCCCTTGACACAGCCCTCAGGAGACCCTGAGAACATGTGCCCAAAGTCGTTGGGGTGCAGGTTGGTTCTATACATTTTAGGGAGATAGGAGACATCAATCAAGTGTATTTAAGATATATATTGGTTCGGTCCAGAAAGGTGGGACAACCCAATGGATTAGGGTTGGGGGGTGGGGCTTCCAGGTTATAGGTACATTTAAAATTTTTCTGATTGGCAGTTTGTTGAAAGACTTACTATCAATAGAAAGGAGTGTCTGGGTTATGATAAGGGGTTATGGAGGCCAAGGTTTTATCATGGAGATGAAGCTTCCAGGTAGCAGGCTTCAGAGAGAATAGATTGTAAATGTTTCTTATCAGATTTAAGGTTGTGTTGATGTTAAATGCTGATTGGCTTTTCCTGAATTCCAAAAGGGAGGAGGGCATAATGAGGCATGTCTGACCACCTCTTTCCCATCATAGCCTGAACCAGTCTTCCAGGTTAACTTTGGTGTCCCCTGGTGGAGAGGTGGTTGTGGGAAAGATCTTTGAATTTTATTTTTGGTTTGCAAGTGCTAGTCTAGTCACTTCATGCTCTCAAGATGTGTTATCACCATTAATGTTAACTTTTATCACTTGGTTGAGGCAGTGTTTTCAGGTTTTTCACTGTGAAGTTACTTTTTTCCCATGTCTATATTGTATGTATGCTTTTGGAGGAAGTCATCATGCAGAGCTCATACTTAAAGGAGTGGGGAGTTAGCCCCACCTCCTTGATGGCTGTCTATATCAGGTATTTGGAATTCTTCTGTGTAAGAGATTTCTATTCAGTCCATTTGCATATCTGTTTAATCATTTATTTATACCAGTATGGGTCCACAGATAGTTACTTTAATCTTTTGGTTGTTATCTAATTGTACAGTATTTTGTTGCTCTTTGTTCATACCTGTGGCCATTGGTAGCTCTTTCCACTGGCTCCTTTTACATAATTTCATGTTTTTTTTTTATAATTTATTTCTGTTACTTCAAAAGTACCCTGGCTCATATATTTTCTGTCCCAGTCCTAGTTTCAGCTATTTCTTCTAATAGCCCTGATTTCTTTTGTTAGAGAATGGTATGAAAAACTTACATCTGGCCACTAAATGTGGTCATTGCATCATGACACTTAGAGCTGACAGTGCAAAGAAATATATGTGTGTCTTCTAACTTATATGTACCCACTTAATTATAAAGGTTTCTATGTGGAACCATCTATGTATATGTTAAGCTAAATGTGAGTTTATACTTACGTTGTATATATATATTCTGACTCATTATGACAGAGATCATTCTAGGCTTCCCTATTTTTTATCTGTAACTTCTCGCTGTAATAGTGAGGAACCTGGCTCCTACTATCTGCCATTTATTTCATCCCCTGTACCATTGGGAACAAGGAATTCATTCTTGATCAAGATTCCAGGTTGGGACTTAATAAGAAATATATGTTTGGTCTGTGTCTGCAGTTCCTGGTACAGAGCTTCTAAAACTATTATAATTTCCTGAACAGTAGGGGTGCTAGGAGCATCTTGTGTTCTAATATTTGGTCTTTGGCCCTGGTTCCTGACGCAGAGTTCCTAAATCTCTTGGAATCTCCTGTATAATAGGAATGGCTTCTGTTCTAATAAGGACACTCTGTGGGTTCCTGGATGGTTTCAGGATGGGGATGGTCACCAGAAAGACCAAGCCATGATAAGAAGGTTCTGACTTTTAGCTTAACATGCAATCCTTTGAGGGTGTGAAGGGACTGGAAATTGAGTTAATAATCCGTCATGTCTACATGATGAAGCTTCCATAAAAATTCCTAAAATATGGAATTTGGTAAGTTCCAGATCAAGGCTGACAGATTTGATGTCTAGTGAGGGCTCATCTATCATAGATAGTGCCTTCTAGCATGTCGTGACATGGCAGAATGGGGAAACGGGCTCCTAGATGCTTTTATAAGGGCACTGGTTTCATTCATGAGGACAGCACTCTCATGATCCGATCACCTCTCGGTTACCTCTGAATACCATCCCTTTGGGGATTACATTTCAAAATAGGAATTTGGGGTGGGGGTGTACACACATTGAGACCATAATAACTAGTAAACATAAGTAAGTATTTCCTAGTTCCATAAGCCATCATAGCAAATTGTCAAACCTGAAGAGGGGGTGTAGGAATGCCTAGTTTCTAGCCAAGTCATATAGAAGTTTGGGTAAACTGGGGATTCACAACTTGTGATTGGCATCTGAGGTTGTGGACAGTCTGGTGTTACTAAGCCCTTAACCTGTAGGGTGTATACTAACTCCAGGTAATCAGTGTCACAGTTGAATTACAGGATACCCAATTGTTTTCCAGAGAGTTGGAATATTGGTTGGTATGGGAAACACCCCCCACCCCCCACAATTTGCTGTTAAAAGTGGAGTGTTGATAGTATAGAGGAAAATCATGGTTATTTTTCTTTTTACAGATATAGTAGTTTCAAAATTAACTATTATCCCTATGGGAAATAACTTTATAAAATAGAGTCCACTGTTCGTGTATATAGTACGTTTTGTTTTTAGTCTATGGATTCTACTCATTTCCAGCTCAGCACCTTTGGCCCACCACTTGCAACATACATTGGTAATACAGTTAGATTCTTGGTTGCACTCTGTATTTTGTCCTTATATACTTCCACATCCTAAATAATTTAATTTGTGTAGCTTGTGATTTGTTCTTTGTGCATTAAAATTCTGTGGGTTTTATCAAATGCATAGTGTCAGATATCCACTACTGAAGTAGCATACAGAATACTTCAAATCCCCACCCCAGACAGTCACTGATCTGACTATCATCTCTTTGGTTGTGCTTTTTCCAGAATGTTATATGAATGGAGTCATATAATGTATAGCATCTTCATACTGCCACCGTTTACTTAGCAACATAGATGCAAGATTCATTCATTTGTTTTCATGGATTGACAGTTCATTCCTTTCTGTTGGTGAATGGTATTCCATTGCATGGTTGTACTTCAAATTGATTATGCATTCAGCTATTGAAGAACGTTCTGATTACTTCAAGTTTTGGCCATGATGAGTAGAGTGGCTCGTATATAATTACATGCTAGTTTTTGTTTGAACATAATTTTTCAAAGCAGCTGTCTAAACATACACAATTTAGGGGTGCATTTGTTGGATTGTAAGGTAAGACTTGTTTATCTTTGGGAAAAACTGTCAAACTATTTCCCAAAGTGGCTGTACCCATTCATGCATTCTGCCATTAATGAATGGCCGTACCTATTGTTCTTCAACCTCCAATTGTTACTGTTGAGCTTTTTTAAGAGTCCCACAGTTGTACTAGGTGTGCAGTGATATCTCAGCATTATTTTAATTTGCAGTCTCCTAATGAGATATATTGAGCATCCTTTTGTGTGATTATGTGCTATCTGTATATTTTCTTTTTTTTCTTTTTTCTTTTTTTTTTATTGAGATAGAGTCTCATTCTGTCACTCAGGCTGGAGTGCAGTGGTGTGATCCTGGGTCACTGCAACCTCCACCTCCGATGTTCAAGCAATTCTCTTGCATCAGCCTCCCAAGTAGCTGGGATTACAGGCACTCACCACCATGCCTGGCTAATTTTTTTGTATTTTTAGTAGAGAGGGGGTATCACTATGTTGGCCAGGCTGATCTCAAATTCCTGACCTCAGGTGACTCACCCACCTCAGCCTCCCAAAGTGCTGGGGTTATAGGCATGAGCCACCACACCTGGCCTGCTATCTATATATTTTATTTGGCTGGATGTCTGTTCAGATATTTACCCAGTTTTATGTGGGTTTTTAGTTTTCTTAGTGTTCGTTTGAAGAGTTCTTTGTGTATTTTCAATACAGTTTTTAAAATCATGTTTGTATTTTGTAAATATCTTCTCACAGTGTGTCTTGTCTTTTTGTTCTCTGAATAGGGTTTTTCATAGTAGAAAATTTAGTTTTATAAAGTCTGTTCTCAGTATTTTCGCGAATTGGCACTTGATGCTGTGTGTTAAAACTCAACACCAGATCGAATGTCTCTTAGGTTTTCTTTTAGATTATTTATAGTTTTGCATTTGAAGTTGTAGTCTCTGGACTATTTTGAGTACGTTTTTGTGTTTTAATTTGTGTATAGAGTCATTTCATTCTATATGGCTTCCAAATAATTCTTCCATCACCATTTATGGGAAGGTTATGGATATACTGGCCTTTATTTCGGTTTGAATTTCCAAAATTATGACACTGAATAAACTGAATATTGAATTTTATAGGTATTTCAGGACAGCCAGGAGGGGGCGCACATCCGCCGAGAAACTGTGAGCAAGAGCGTCTGTGCTGAACCATGGCGCCACCAGAGGGCGCGCGATCCCGCCCCAACCAACTTCCCGCTGAAGTGCCAGAAGCAGCGAGGAGCTTCAACTTCCTCAGGGCAGCACGGGGGTCGTGTTAATTTGGTGTTCTTCATTGGTGAGTAAAAAGCTCCTGTCCACGGCCCTGAGTGCCAAGGAGTGAGTCTTTAGAGTAGTCAGCAGAGGAAGAAATTCATCTAGAAAAATAAAGCCCCCAAATCTCACTGTTTGGACTACACCCTAATATCATTGTCAACGTCCAAGACACAGTGGCTGCTAATATATATTCTTACAGTGGCCTCTAATATAATAATCACACTGTGCCCTACATTACTATGATATCCACACCGTGTCCTAACACCTATATAATATTCACACCATGCGCTAACACTGATGTAATCCACAACATCGCTTCCAATACTAATGTAATAAAATCCACACCATGCCCTATCACTGATCTACTCCACACCATCGCTTCTAATACTAATATAATAATATCCACACCATGCCCTAAGACTAATGTAATATCTGCACCATTCCCCAACACCAATACAATATCCACACCATTCCCTAACACTAATCTAAACATCCATACCATGCCCTAACACTAATATATTGACACAATGGCCTCTAATACTAATAAATATAATAATATCTACTACGTGGACTCTGTTGACATTGAGACTTTTTTAAGGGTTTTACAGCTTTGGCTGAACTATAGCCTCTGTAATGGATTTTGATGATGTGTCTGCTTTCCTGGCATGGTACTGACATGGTTGTTTTAAAAAGTAACTTATTTTCCAATAATGTCATATTTCTAGGCAACTTCCAGTAGTAGTACAAAGTACAACTTGTTTCTTCCCTTAGATTCCCCAACAGTTATTGCTGTACCAGATTTGCAGTGTCCCACAAAATACTCCGGTATATTGTACTGAAAGCATGGACACTCTCCCAGGTAACTACCACATAACCCCTAGATCAGGAAATCAGCATTGTTCCTACATGATAATTCGGTCCACAAACTCACTTCACTTTTACCTCATGCCACACTTGGGAGTATAATGTGTTTTTTTTTTTTTTCATTACGATCCAGTTTTCTTTTCCTGGAACTGTTCCCCAGACTTTCCTGCATATTTATGACCTGGACACATTTAAAGAGCATACAGGTTTTTGTTTGAACAGTTGTTTTCAGGTCTTTGGGGTATATACCTAGGAATGGAATCATTGACTCATATGGTAAATCTATTTGTAACTTCATGAGGAAACATCAAATTATTTTACACGTAGGCTGCACCATTTCATATTGTCACAAGCAGTGTTTAAGAGTTCAAGTTTCTGCACATCTTTGTCAACACTTGTTATTTTTTAGTATAACTATTCTTGTGTGAGTTAAGGGTTATCTCTTTATGGTTTTAATTATGGTAATGATGTTAAGCATCTTTTCATGTGCTTGTTGGTGAAGTGTGTATTAAAGTCTTTTGTCAATTTTTAGATTGGGTTGTCTTTGCTATGGAGTTGTAAAAGTTCTTTATACATTCTGGATAACAGACACTGATGAAGTATCTAATGTGCAGACATTTTCTTCCATTTTATAGGTTGTTGGAACGTAATAAGAGTTAATGTGTGGTCTCTGCTGCAGTGTCCTGAAACAGAGCGCTAAGCCTTGGGAATGTACGAAGTAATGTGTGTTTCGTATGCTAATGAAATGATTGATGGCTGGGGGCACCTGGACAGCCTCAGTGGGGCTGGCTGCCAAGGGAAGCAACCTTGTCATGAGAGAATTTGAAATTTCTTCCCCCGTCCCGTCTCTGTGAAGGGGAGAGGTGCTGATGGTTGAGTTGATCACCTATGGCCACAGACGTAACCAATCTGCCTGTGTAATAAAGGACAGGGTTGGGAGAGCATCTGTGTTGCTCTCCCAACACAGGAGATACTGGGAGGATCATATCTGGCGAGGGCATGGGAGGCCTGCATTCCTTCCATATACCTCACCTTGTGCATCTCTTCATCTGGCTTTTCATTTGTAGTGTTTAAAAGATCCTTGGTAATGAGTCAGGAATAGTAAGTACACTGCTTTCATGGGTTGTGTAATGTGATGTAGCAAATTGCTGAACCCAATAAGGGTGTTGTGGGAGCCTCCAATCTGTAGCAAAGTCAGACAGAAGGTAACCTGGGAACCTACTGTTTGTGGTTGGCATCTTAAGTGGTTACAGTCTTGTAACTGAGTACCCATATTTTCTTAAAGAAGAAATGAATTAGTTTTACCATTTTGCTGTTCCTGCATTTAGCTCTTTAGGAATGCAATTATAAGCTTTACTGTCTCTCCACCAGACACTTCCTATACTGCAAACTTTTCCAACTGTGTGATTACTTGTAAGTTCCAGGGACCAAACCTTGAAACAAACTGGCACTTCCATATCTCTCCCCCACCAGGAGATTGGCAGCAGACAACAGTCAATTTACAACCTGGCTCTGCCCGTGGTGGTGCTAGCAAGACCACCTAATGGAGAAAACATCAGAGCATGTCCCATAGACCCCGCACCTCCTCACCTCATCCCCTGCATGCCATTCTGGCAAGTCCGAAGGCCCCGCTTTCTGCCCAGAAAGTGGAAGCGCTTCCCTTAAGGCAAGAGCCTGTATGTTCCCTTCAGCTAAGCTCTGGCATAAAGTCACTTTCTTTTTACCATCCTTGTGTTTGTCATTTAAATTTGCAAGCGACAAGGGGCATGGCGTGTATTCCTAGGACTGAGCCCTTAGCCTGTGGGGTCTGATGCTTTCTCCATTTACTGTCACAATTGGATTGCACTGTAGGACACGCAGCTGGTACCCAAGATTTGGTCTGTGTGGGGAAAAAACCCATGTATCTGGTAACAGAAGTGTTCTGTGTTGAGTGTTGAGAGTATACTATAAGACAGTTGTTTTTCCTATTATAACATTTTGTCTTTCAACTTTTTTCTTCATGTCTTCTGAGACATAAAAGTTGTGAATTTTGAGGAAATAAATTGATTTATTTTTCCTTTTGTGGTCTGTGCTTTTGGTGTCAGATGTAGGAAACTATTGCTGCGTGTAAGGTCATGAATGCTTAACTGTACGTTTTCTTCCAGAGTTTTTAGTTTTCACCTGTTTTGGTCTTTGATCCATTGTAAGTTAATTTTTTATGTGGTATGAGGTAAGGATACAATTTCATTTCCCTTTATGTGGATAGCAAGTTGCCTTACATCACTTGTTGAGGACAGGATTCTTTCCCCAATTTACTGGTAATGGACCTTGTCTAAAATCAGTTGAGCATAGAGGTATTGTTTTCTGTCTGGACTCCCAATTCAATTCAGTTGATCTTTCTGTTTATTCCTGTGCAAGGATCCCACTGTTTTTATTACTGTTCCTTTGTAATAAAATTTGAAATTGGGATGTGATCAGGATCAGCTTATCCACTTCTGTCCCAAGGCCTTTGGGATTTTTGTAGGAATAACATCGAATCCACGGATTGCTTTGTGTACTTTGGGAAACTTAACAATGTGGTCTACAAATCCACAAATAAGATACATTTTTACATTTACTGGAAGTTTAATTTCCTTAAGTAATGTCTTATAATTTCCCTCATCTAAGTCTTGTCGTTTCATTCCATTTATTCCTAAGTATAATATTGCTATTGGTATTGTTTAAGGTAGAATTTTCATAATTTGGTGTAGAGATTATTCATTCCTAGCATATACATATAAAATGGAATGTTTGGCCAGGCACCCAGGCTCATACCTATAACCCAAGCAGGTTGAGAGGCTGAGGAAGGGTTAGGGTTAGGGTTAGGGTTGGGGTTGGGGTTGGGGTTAGGCTTAGGGCTTAGGGCTTAGGGCTAGGGCTAGGGCTAGAGTTAGGGTTGGGTTAGGGTTGGGTTAGGGTAGGGTTAGGGTTAGGGGTTAGGGGTTAGGGTTTGGGTTCGGGTTATGGTTAGGGTTCGGGTTCGGGTTCGGGTTTAGGGTTCAGGTTTATGGTTCGGGTTAGGGTTCAGGTTAGGGTTCTGGTTGGGTTTAGTGTTAGGGTTTAGGGTTTGGGTTTGGGTTAGGGCTTAGGGGTTAGGGTTAGGGGTGAGGGTGAGGGTGAGGATGAAGGTTAAGGGTTAGGGTTAGTGGTTAGGGTTAGGGTTAAGGGTTAAGGGTCAGGGTTAGGGGTTTGGGTCAAGGGTTAGGGTCAAGGGTTAGGGTTAGGGGTTAAGAGTTAGGGGTTAGGGATTATGGTTTGGGTGAGGGGTGAGGGGTGAGGGTGAGGGTTAGGGTTAGCGTTTTAGGGTTATGGTTCGGGTTAAGGGTTAGGGTTAGGGGTTAGGGGTTAAGGGTTAGGGTTAGGGTTAGGGTCAGGGTAAGGGTAAGGGTAAGGATTAGGGTTAGGATTAGGGTAAGGGTTAGGGTTAGGGTTTTAGGGTTAGGGTTTTAGGGTTAGGATTAGGGGTTAGGGTTAGGGTTAGGGTTAGGGTTAGCGTTAGCGTTAGGGTTAGGGTTAGTGTTAGGGGTTAGGGGTTAGGGTTAGGATTAGGGGCTAGGGTTAGGGTTGGGTTAGGGTTAGGGTTAGGGTTAGGGTTAGGGTTAGCGTTAGGGTTAGGGTTAGTGTTAGGGGTTAGGGGTTAGGGTTAGGATTAGGGGCTAGGGTTAGGGTTGGGTTAGGGTTAGGGTTGGGTTAGGGTTAGGGTTTGGGTTAGGATTAGGGGTTAGGGGTTAGGGTTAGGATTAGGGGCTAGGGTTAGGGTTAGGGTTAGGGTTAGGGTTAGGATTAGGGTTAGGGTTAGGGTTAGCGTTAGCGTTAGGGTTAGGGTTAGTGTTAGGGGTTAGGGTTAGGATTAGGGGCTAGGGTTAGGGTTGGGTTAGGGTTAGGGTTGGGTTAGGGTTAGGGTTTGGGTTAGGATTAGGGGTTAGGGGTTAGGGTTAGGAGTAGGGTTAGGGTTAGGGTTAGGGTAGGGTTAGGTTTAGGGTTAGGGTTAGGGTTGGGTTAGGGTTAGGGTTTGGGTTAGGATTAGGGGTTAGGGGTTAGGGTTAGGATTAGGGGTTAGGGTTAGGGTACTGTAAATAATTTCACATTATTACTAATAATAAATTAGTATTTGTATTACACTATTACATAATGTAAAGGCTATTAAGACATGTTTGTCTTCAAAGAATGGCCTTGGTTTCTGTGGGCAGTGCCTCCTCATGGAAGGGTAATGCATTCCTGCTAAATCATGGACTAAACCGGCTTCCAGGAGCTACAGGCTGCAGCAGCAGCTTCTCCTCTACGTCCTTCACTGCCTCAAACTGTTGTTGACTTTGAAAGCGTCTTTCAGTCTAGTTTTATCAACAGAGCTAGTATTTCATGAGGTTCTACTACATACCAGGTTCCAGAAAGCTAAATGCCTTTTGTTTGTTATTATTCTCTAAATACAAATCACAACTCCTCATTACTCACACAACAAAATTTAGCTGCGGGAGATTGAGTGACTTTCCCAGGGTCACATAGCTACTAAGAGCAGAGTCGTGTTTAGATTCATGTGGGAATATTGAACACAGAAATGAACCAGTGGAAACATCCTGTGTTCCAAAAGCCTACTCAAGCCATTTGTTCTTATTTTAAGGAAAATCTTTATGCTAATTTTAAACTCCAAATACTTACGAATGGCAGAGATCTACAGATTTGATTCTGATGTAAGAAATGATGGTCACCAGCTGGTTACTGCTACCACCCCACAACCCCGAGCATACTGGACGAATGTCTAAGCCTTGTGGTTAGTGGGGACAATGCTGGTGGAGTCTGAAGTTGTCATGCAGTGACTCATGCAAGCTTAGGCAGATTTGGTGATATATGACACAGAGATGCAAAGAAATGTTGTAGCTGACACACACAGGCTGGCTCTGGGAGATGCAGAAGGAGCACGTCACCCAAAATAGAGCCAGACAGACATCCTTAAGGAAGGAGCAAAGGGGCTGCATCTTAAAGAATGTAGAAAGGATTTGTCATGAGAGATGGGGCAGGAAGTTCTTGAGAGGCAGAGGGAGAGCATGAGAATGTTGGGAAGGGAGGAGAGATTCTTGCACATCTGGGAAGCTGACAATCCATCAGCATGGCCAGAAGGAAAATAAGGAGGAGGAGCAGAAATAGATGAGGCTGGATATAGAAGCAGGGCTGAAGCTGTGTCAATTGTGGTAAAGAGTTGTGATTCTATCCAGAACGCAATAGGTAGCATTCTAAACAGAGATCTTTTAAAACAAGAGTCAGCAAGTATTTTCTGCAAGGGGCTAAATGTTAAATATTTTAAGTTTTCCAAGCCATATGGTCTCTCTCTCAATGACTCAGCTCTTCCATTATACCATGAAAGTAGCCAGAGACATTATGTAACACATGTATTGGCTGTGTCCCATTACAACTTTACTTACAAACGCAGACTGTGTCAGACATGGTCCATGCATGGTAGTTTGCCACACTCTGTTTTAGAAAGCTCAGGTTTATGATGTGATGGAGAATGCCCACAAGAGCTCTTGTTTTAAACGGTAGAGTGAACATACACTGGAATTCTATCCTGCTTGACACAAGCTCTTGATAGCGAAAGGTAGAAAAGATAGATGGTAAATAGATAGATAGATGATAGATAAAGAAAATACATAGCTGTTCCAGAAAACAGAAATGGATAACTTCATGAACCAAAAGCAGAGTAATATACTTTAGAAAGGAAGCAGGCCGGAAAACCCACAGTTGCAAAACAAATAGAATTTCCAACTGCCTCTTGTAGCCCCTTCCTGGAAGTAGTCACAGCCCGGGGTGTTCAACTTCTTCCTCTGTTTTTTGTTTGTTTGTTGTTTGCTTTTCTGTGGGGTTTTTGTTGTTGTTGTTTGCTTTTAAAAAAAAAATTCCCTTTCCCTGCTTTTTTGTCACAGCAGCCTTTGTCACTTCAAACACCGCAAGTGTTCTTTAAAAAAAATTATATCAACCTTTCAATTAAAATGCAACATGTCTGAAAGTTGGTATCTGGAGAGGTGAGTTGGACAAAGGAGCCCTTGTTACTGCACGTTTTCATTCTTCAAATTTCACCTTGCACGCAGTAACAGACAGTGCACAAAGCCACTTCCTTATGGACGGAAATTCTGAAATCCTTTTATGCCTGGCCTTTCCATCCTTCAACTTCCCCTCTCCCACGCTGTGAATGATTGTATTGGACATTTTTGTTTTAATGTCAGTGACAGGGGAACACAGGTAGCTCTAATATAGCTGTGACCCAGATGCTTCTGTTTCTAGCATGTATTTATTTTGTAGCAAACATTTACATCCATGATGTTTCACTGTCTTTTGAAAATAATTAGGCAATATCTCATCTGAGGTAGGATGTTTCTAGGGGTTGTGTTCTGAGGGAGGAAAACTAATCTGTTCTCTTTCCACTGCATTCTAGGAACAGTAAGAGGACCTTGTGCATGAATAATTTGTTTCCACACTACAGAGTGGGTAATAAGCAGATTAGTAAAAACAATTCTGCTTCACTTCAATAACAGCCTCCTCCAACTCATTTTTTCTCAACAAACTTATTTTTCCAGCAGAAGAATCCCAGACTTCTTAGAGAACCCAGTGACTTTTTGCACCTTAAATCTGTGAAATCCTTATGTTTTCTTCTGCCGTATCCATAGTTCAAACAAAGATGAGGCAAAGCTAGACGCATTCCTGAAGGAACCCAAGAAATTCCTCTCTTTCTTTCTCTGGAATGAAATGAATTCTCTAGACCACCAGTTCTAACCTTCAAAAACCAAACCTGTTTGTGAGATCTCCTTCAAATACTACTGTAGACCCCAGTGTTTATTCATTAAATTTTTTAAATATTTGTTTTATTTGGAATCCATGTATTTGTAATTTTAGTGTTTGTATTAATATCAGGGAGAAATGTTTAAATCTGTCTTATGCCATATGTGCCTCTGGCTTATTGCCCAATTAATTGTAGTCTCAGGCTAAACTTTGGTTTCTGTCTTTAATTTTTGTCAGAAGAAATATAACTGATCTCAAAACATCTGCTTTTATTGTAGGGGCTTGTGCTGCCGTCTCCATTCTTCTCTCTTTTCTTGCAATCTGGGTGGAAGTTCTTTAATATGAACATTTCAACCACCTTCATTCTACCATGTCCACTATCAGCACATTCAAACTGATCCAGCCAAGGCTGTCATCTTAGGCCAGGGATTTTTTAGGAATCTATTTTGCTGTGATGCGGCTGGCACCCCTTTGACTCACTGTATCACCCCAGGGTTCTTTTCATTTCAGAAGCCCAAGAGGGCAGAAAAAGAAGTAGGTGAGCAATTAAACACTCTGAGTCAGGAGCGTCTCCCCTTGCGTTAAGCAATGTTGTAGAACATCGATGTTCTACATCGATGTTGGCGACCTTGGTACCATTTTGTCCACTTGATTGGAAAAGCCAGTCAATAATTTCAGGTCACTGTTGGCCTTAGAAGAAGAGCCCAAAGGCAACAAGCAAAGGCGCTGGTGTCCAGTCGCCTTCTAGAAGCATTTTCACTTTCCCTTAAGGTTTCCCTTGATGAACATAGAAGTACTGTATGTAGAATTGACCCAGTGCTGCCCTGGCAACTTTGTATATTAGGCCAAATTTACATTTCTTACCTTTATGAGAGGCACCCTGGTAGGCTAGTGGAGTTACACACAAAGTCTGATCTCAGCTGCACTGTCCAGAAATGCAACACGGTCCAATCAAATAACATTCTCTGAGCCTGTTTCTTTAGCTGTGAAAGAAGAATAACATACCCATCTAAAAAGGCAGCTTATTGTATTTGATTGGTCTTTTATTTTCTATGAAACTGTGTTTAACACAGTAATTATTTTCATTTGTGTACTACATTTGTGTTGTGTTTTTGGTTTTAGTTTTGTTTTTGAAATGGAGTCTTTTTTTTAGTGGTTTTTTGTTTTGTTTTGTTTTGTTTTGTTTTTGAGATGGAGTCTTTCTATTGTCACCCAGGCTAGAGTGCAGTGGCGTGATCTCCGCTCACTGCAACCTCCACCTCCCAGGTTCAAGTGGTTCTCCTGCCTCAGCCTCCTGAGAAGCTGGGATTACAGGTGCCCACCACCATGCCCAGCTAATTTTTAAAATATATTTTTAGTAGAGATGGGGTTACAACATGTTGCCCGGGCTGGTCTCAAACTACTGACGTCAAGTGATCCACCTGCCTTGGCTTCCCAAAGTGCTGGGATTATAGGCATGAGCCACCACGCCTGGCTTGTTTTAAAATAAGGGTTTCTTGGCTAGGCATGGTGGCTCACACCTGTAATCCCAGCACTTTGGGAGGCCAAGGTCAGTGGATCACCTGAGGTCAGGAGTTCGAGACCAGCCTGACCAATATGGAGAAACCCTGTCTCAACTGAAAATACAAAATTAGCCAGGCGTGGTGGTGCATGCCTGTAATCCCAGCTACTCAGGAGGCTGAGGAAGGAGAATTGCTTGAACCCAGGGGGCAGAGATTGCAGTGAGCTGAGATCGCACCATTGCACTCCAGCCTGGGCAACGAGCAAAACTCTGTCTCAAAATAAAAAAAAGATTTCTTAAAATGATATTTTCAGTATTTTATAGATGATGTGTAAGCAGCAAGCTTAATAGGATGTTACCCGACACTTTGCGAGACTGGCAGCTGATTTGATCCAGATGCCTCTAATTCTTTTTTCTTTTTCTTTTTCTGTTTTTTTTTTTTTTTTGACAGAGCCTTGCTCCGTCCCCCATGCTGGAGTGCAGTGGCACGATCTCGGCTCACTGCAACCTCCACCTCCCGGGTTCAAGCGATTCTCCTGCCTCAGGCTCCCGAGTAGCTGGGATTACAGGCGCGCGCCACCATGCCCAGCTAATTTTTTGTATTTTTGGTAGAGACGGCATTTCACCATGTTGGCCAGGCTGGTCTCGAACTCCTGACCTTAGGTGATCTGCCTGCCTCGGCTTCCCAAAGTGTTAGGATTACAGGCGTCAGCCACTGTGCCTGGCCCAGATGTCTCTAATTCTAACATGAGATGTATTGCAGGATCATAGCAGAGTGAGTTGCTGATGTATCCAGAAGGAAACGAGCATGGAACACTCACGACAGCTGTCCTGAGAAGTGTGTGTGTGCTGTGCTTGAATATCTCACTGCTCATTTATACACAGGCTTTCTGGTGACTGAGTTAACAGTATCTGTTTCATAAATAATGTAGCCCTCTTTCTTTCTTTCTCTCTCTCTCTCTCTTTTTTTTTTTTTTTTTTTTTTTTGAGACAGGGTCTTGCTCTGCTACCCAGGCTGGAGTGCAATGGTGCAGTCTCAGCTCACTGCAACTTCACCATGCCTGGCTAATTTTTTCTTTTTTTTTTTTTTGAGACGGAGTTTCGCTGTTTTTGCCCAGGCTGGAGTGCAATGGCACAATCTCGGCTCACCACAATCTTTGCCTTTTGGGTTCAAGGGATTCTCCTGCCTCAGCCTCCCGAGTAGCTGGGATTACAGGCATGTGCCACCACACCCGGCTAATGTTGTAGTTTTAGTAGAGACGGGGTTTCCCTATGTTGGTTAGGCTGGTCTCAAACTCCTGACCTCAGGTGATCTACCCGCCTCGGCCTCTCAAAGTGCTGGGATCACAGGCATGAGCCATCACTCCTGGCCTAATTTTTGTATTTTTAGTAGAGAGAGGGTTTCACTCTGTTGGCCAGGCTGGTCTCGAATTCCTGACCTCAAGTTATCTGCCTGCCTCGGCCTCCCAAACTGTTGGAGTTACAGGCGTGAACCACCATGCCTGGCCAGCTCTATTTCTTTAAGCCTACATGTTTTGCACTTGTTAAAAGTATTTGAACATACAATTACTCAGCTTCCCTTGTTTACGCGTGAATTTTGTAGAATCTTAAATATTTTTTCCAATCTAAGCTTTATTTTATCCCGTTTCTTCTATATTTGTATAACTTTAGGCGGCTATCTTCATTGAAAGTTTTTTCTCAAAAGCCTTAAGATAGAACATAGTTCTTGGCAGCAATTTGAAAGTTATTTGAGGAGAAGGGGAGACTTACAATGATGATTCAAATGAAGGAAACTAAAAAGTAATGAAGCAAGGCAGAGGAAAAAGCAGTACTCACTTGAGCACATCCCAAAAGAATAACATTTCAAATGTAACTAGAAAAAAGTATGCTGAAGTTCGCAATACAGAAATAATTATTAATAAGATAGCTTTAAAGCCCTGCTCAGCTTTTGAATGTTGGGAATTGACCCAGAGGTGGCTGTAACCTAAGATGGTTCCTTCAGTAATGACCATTTTTTCTTTTTCAAGATGATGATTATTCCCCACCTTCTAAGAGACAAAGACCAACGAGCCACCACAGCCACCAGTCCCAGAACCCGCCAATGCTGGGGAACGGAAAATGAGGGAGTTCAACTCTGGTAAGTTCTCAGCGAAATCCATGACCTTTTCCTTTATCTTCTGGACTCTCAGTGTGATTGATGAAAGTTACCACATGCTCTGCAGGGGGAAATGGTTTAGCATGTGTTACTACATCTTAATCACATCTTTGTAAAGCCAGGAGCATT
Organism: Homo sapiens; assembly: GCF_000001405.40. Taxonomy (NCBI): domain Eukaryota; kingdom Metazoa; phylum Chordata; class Mammalia; order Primates; family Hominidae; genus Homo; species Homo sapiens. The sequence goes on along the minus strand of NC_000011.10, from coordinate 168,795 downwards.
TTACAAGTCACGTTACAGACATTGTTTAAACATAGTCTGTATTTACCAAAGTATAGGACATTGTATCATCTCATATTAATTAGTTAGTTGGCTCAAAATTAGTGCTAATGACTTAGTAATTCAGTGATTTCTGTTAGCTTTAAAACCTTTATTTCAGAACTATTTCACCTCTTGGTTTTCATTTTTGCGGTGTGTCACTGCCTGCCGGCTGCTAATTTATTAACTCCCAGTGAATCATGTCCTGTGAAGGGACTGAATATTAGTGGCAATTTATGTTGATGATTTGTATTTTGAATAGTTTGAATACATAGAACATTAAGCTTGTATACATTTTGAAAATAGTATTTTAATATTCTACTGTGTCATAGTTACAATGATTGGATATATGTTGAATTTATATGTACTTTGAGTTGTTCTATGTTTATGGTCTTTAGCATTCTAACGTGCAATTGTATATCTGTTAAGTCTTTTTTTTTTCGAGATTAGACTGATTTATTGAGGCGTCTGTTTGATGCCACATTAAGTGGCCCAGGCTTTGTGTAGGGTTGAGGTTAAAGCAGGAAGAAGGGTGGTGAGAGGCGGGGCACCAGGGTTAGGTTGGAATACCTGGGGGTGCTCTGAGGCTCCCCAAGTTTCCCTGGTCTTGGCCGGCTGTGCTGCTGGCCTGGGCATCTGATGGGCTTGCAAGGGTGGTCCAGGGGCTAGGGCAGGGACTTTGGAGTGACGCCGTTGGCTTTGAATCCAGACTCCTACACTTGGTAGCTGTGAACTCTCCATGCCTCAGGGACCTGCAGAACTGAGCTCTGTCTGAGCCAGGTTCCATCCAGGCACTGCGCATCCATCCAGAGGGGCACTGCCTCAGGCTGCTCGCTGTTCACTGCCTTCTCAAGCAGACCCTTGTCTCCTTCTAGGCCCTCACAATCCAGTGGAGGAGACGAAACTCATCTGCCTCTGTCCCTCTGGGCACGCCTCGTGCCAGGTGCATCTGTGGACAGGGGCCATGCTCCTGGGCTTCCAAAGTTGGAGAAAGCTGCCAGGCTCAGGTGGGTACATCACAGCAGCTGCTGCCCTCTGAACACAGTGACAAAAGAACACTCTGGGCCTGGAGCCCTGGTCTGGGGCATTGGGCAAGGCTGTTGCACTTCTCTGATCCCATTTCCCCATCTGGAAAGTGCGCTGATTGTATCTCCCTGTGGGCACTGAGGGCTCAGTGTTAGTTTGAGAGCCAGCATCTGGGGTTTGGGCTGTAATTCCCCATCAGCCCCATAGCTGCGGGGAACCAGGGACTTTGTTGGGATTACCCTAGGCATCAGTTTAGCTTCCTGCCCCTGGCTTGGGCTCAGCACCTGAAGTAGTCTAGGGGGTAGGTGGTGCTGGTGGGGGCTGGGGCTTTTACCCAGACTGAGGTCACACCCAGAGCCAGAAGTCTTGGTGCCTGCTCTGGGCAAAGGTGCCAGCCTGTGTGACAAGAGCGAAACTCCGTCTCCAAAACAAAAACAAAAAACCTTGCATCATTTCAAGGGGCTCACACCTCCCTAAGGGCCTGGTAATTGGCTGGCTCTGGCCTGCATCTGGCCCCGAGGGTGTAGGTAACACCCCACCTTACCTGGTTTCTTCCTGCCAGGGCCAATCTTCAGACCTCAGGACTTTACAGCCTATCCCACCTCCCCTCTGGCCAGCCTTGAGCCCTTGTGGGTCCAGCACTTTTTCCAGGCTGTCTCCTGGTTGTCCTTCTGCCTCGAGGCCTGGCTCATGCTGCTCCCCCTCCCACTCTCCAAGACCCACAAGGACCACTCCACACCCAGCTCAGCCCCATCCCCTCAGATAGTCCTTTCTCTTTCCTCAGGTGGCCAGGTGCATATCTTGGTGTGAGGACCTTTGCTGTATCTGGGAATGCCTACTGGTTACCTTGGTAACAGAGAACAAGGCATTTACCTGATATGAGTGTCTTGGTTCACTGTCTACATGGCTAGAGAGGGAATCAATAATAGGCTTTTCACTTGCTGCAAGGGCCGGTTCTCCTGGCCCTATGGCTCTAGGGATGGAGGACGCTGCAGGAGATGCAGCGCTCACTTCCTAGCTGAGGACTGTGGGTCATCTCAGGGCGATTTCACAGTCCCCACATGCCCCACCCCCTCAGCTCTGCAAATACCAAGCAGTGCAGCCTGCCTAGGGGATGATGGGCTCGAGAGTGCCCAGGTAGTGCCCAGAGTGCCCTTGGCAGGCCCCTCACCTGGCTGCTTCCACAGCTCTGTAGCAAGAGTTCTAACCTTTTTTCACCGTGAAGCCTGCTGAGAATAAGAGCTGTGGACTGTTTTCCCAGAAAGGCATGTACATGCTCTCCACACAAAACCTTTCATCGTGGCCAAGCACAGTGGCTGATGTGATCCCAGAACTTTGGGAGGCGGAGCCAGTCGGATCACCTGAGGTCAGGAGTTCAAGACCAGCCTGCCCAACATGGCGAAACCCTGTCTCTACTAAAAATACAAAAAATTAGCCAGGCGTGGTGGCAGCCACCTGTAATCCCAGCTACTCCAGAGGCTGAGGCAGGAGAATCACTTGAACCTGGGAGGCGCAGGTTGTAGTGTGGTGAGATCACGCCACTGCACTCCAGCCTGGGCGACAGGAGCGAAACTCTGTCTCAAAAAACAAAACAAAACAAAACCTTGCATCCTTTCAGGGGGCTCACACCTCCCTAAGGGCCCAGTAATTAAACCCTTTGGGCCTGAGGGTGAGAAACTTTGTCTCAGTTCTTCCCCAAGTGATCAGCCCAGGGGTAAGGAAGGAGAAGCCAGAAAGCAGGACCCATGAGAAGGGCCCCCTCCTGGAGTTTGAGGCCCACTCCCTCCTGCCCCTTCCTCTCCTCTGTCCAGGACTCCTCCCTGCTCTGCCCCACTCCTGGGGCCATAACCATGGGGAGCTGTGGTTTTCTACAGGCCCCTGGGCACAAAGTGGGCAGGCTCACCTGGAGGCGATCAGAGTAACATGGCAGGAAGTGAGGGGGAAAGCCGCCCTGGAACTGCGCCTCTCTGCCCCCTGACGTCACTGGCGTGCACTCCTCCCTCCCCTCAGGCAGTGGCATGAGTTCCATGTGAGCGCTGTCCTGCTCCCTCTGCTGCCTCTTTTTTTTCTTGGGGCTGCCATAACACTTTCCCTTCCCCAGCCCTGCCAACCTGGTGGGACATTGGGCTTCCCTCTCACAGGGTCCTGGGGACAGGCCCATCCTTTATCATACCCACAGAGAGACCGTTTTTTTCTTCAGAACCTGGGGAGCAGCCAGGTTCCATGAGTTAAATGCAGATCTGAACCAAGCTGGGATTGGGGTACACACTCTCCTCTACTGAAAAGTAGCTAGGGATTCCAACTAGGTGAGAAGGAGAGTGGGGCAGAGCCAGACCAGACAAGGACTGATCACCTGGAAAAAGCCTGCCATCAAAGGTCTTGGCAAATGCTGGGTGCAGTGGCTCACTCCTGTAATACCAGCACTTTGCGGGGCTGAGACAGGTGGACTACTTGAGGCAAGGAGTTCGAGTCCAGCCTGGGCAACATGGCAAAACCGCATCTCTACTAGAAATACAAAAATTAGCTAGGCATGCTACACTCCTGTCATCCCAGCTACTCAGGAGACTGAGGCAGGAGAATCACTTGAACTGGGGAGGCAGAGGTCGAAGTGAGCCGAGATTGTGCCCCTGCACTCCAGTCTGGGAGACAGAGTGAAACTGGCCTCAAAAAAAAAAAAAGAATATGGCCTTGGCAGAGAGGGGCCAGCCCAGTAGTGCCTTCCCTTGGGTTTCTCCTGGGTAGGCCTCTGCCATGAGGAGGTGCTTCCTTCTGCCTGTCCATGGCCCACAGCAATGGAATGTCTGTTTCTGGGGGTTGGGTGGGAGAGTGCTGGCAGAACTGGAAACCTTCAGGTGGGGTTTTTTTGTTTTGTTTTGTTTTCGAGATGGAGCGTCGCTCTGTCACCCAGGCTGGAGTGCAGTGGTGGAATCTCAGTTCACTGCAACCTCTGCCCCCCTGGGTTCAAACAATTCTCCTGTCTCAGCCTCCTGAGTAGCTGAGATTACAGGCATGTGCCACCATGCCCGGCTAGTTTTTGTATTTTTTGTATAGATGGCATTTCACCATGTTGGCTGGGCTGGTCTCGAACTCCTGACCTCAAGTGATCCACCCATCTCGGCCTCCCAAAGTGCTGGGATTACAGGCATGAGCCACTGAGCCCAGCCCCTTCAGGGGGGTTTTGAGGCTTCACTACAATACTAGTTTCCTGTGGCTGCTGCAACAAATTACCACACACTTAGTGACTTAAAACAACCAAAATGTATTCCCTTACAGGTCTGAAGGCCAGAATTCTACAGTAAGTCCTACTGAGTCAAGGTGGGAGCAGGGTCGGTAGCTTCCGAGGCTCTGCGGGAGAATCCGTTTCCTGGCCGTAGAGGTGGCCTGCACTCCTCAGCTTGTGCTGTCCGTCTCGAATGACTGGAGTTTCCTGCTTCTGTCACTACACCTCCCACCCTCTCCATCACCTGCTCTGCTCTTACAAGGATCCGAGTGAGTACATCAACCCCAAAAGCCAAAGACCCTTAACTTCATTATATCTGCAAAGCTCCTTTTGCCATATAAGGTCATGTTCACCAGTTCCCGGGATTAGGATATGGGCATCTTGGGGGCATCAGCCTGCTACAGCTAGGCTGCAAAACTGTTACACCCTCCTGGTGTTTCAATGATTGGGAGAAAAAGGGTTGGCATTTTTTGCTTAGGGGTCCCTCTTAAACTTGTATCTGTAAGGTCGGGGGTCCCTCTTAACCTTGTGTTTTTGTTTTTGTTTTTTTTGAGGTGGAGTCTTGCTCTGTCATCCAGGCTGGCAGTGGCGTGATCTTGGCTCACTGCAATGTCTGCCTCCTGGGTTCAGGTGATTCTCCTGCCTCAGCCTCCTGAGTAGCTGGGACTACAGGCGCCCGCCACCATGCCCTGCTGTTTTGTATTTTTGGTAGGGACGGGGTGGGGGTGGGGCTAGGGAGGGGGGTTTTGGCTATGTTGCCCTGAGCTCAAAGTGATCCGCCTGCCTCTGCTGCCAAAGTGCTGGGATTACAGGCCTGCACCACTGCACCCGGCTGCTGTAAAGTCTTATTTCACACAGCTGAGACATGTTTTAGGAAGTTTGCTAAAAGACCCCTGGAGACCGCCTCATTGTGACCTCCCTGTTATTGTGTTTAATTTGATTGAACTTTTCTGCCCTCCTGCTTTTCAGCTTCTCTAATAGTCTCCCATTAAACCAATTCTAAGAACCACCAAGAAGGGGAAATTTTTTCTTGAAAGCAGTAAAATGATATGGACTGTTAGAATGTAAAATATATGAAATCAGTCATTATACGTTAGTGCTGCTCTGACATAGGGATGTGTTATTGAGAAGCAACTTTTGCTTGGTTTTCAGAGAAATGGAATCATCGTATCGCTGATCTACGTAAACAAACTGAAGAATTGTCTGAAAGAAAATATGGTATGTCTAAACTGGAAAAGTCTTGTAATCTTATGTTCATGGGCGTTTACACAGTGGAGTTACTGTTCATCATGGGGGTACCGTGGACAAGCCCAGGGCTGCCGGCGAGTCATGCCATCCTTACATGTTTCTCCTTGTAAGGTGCTTTGTAGTGTCTACACACTTTGTTTCTAGATTGCTGCAAAGCTGAGGAAAAGTTGTATTTCTTTAGTTATTAGTTAGCATTTCTTTTAAACTTTCAGTATGGAGATTGGAAATTTATTTACATATTTATTGCAAAGCCCTGGATCTTAGGAATTTCATTGAATTATTTATTTATTTTTTTTGAGACGGAGCCTCACTCTGTCGCCCAGGCTGGAGTGCAGTGGCACGATCTCGGCTCACTGCAACCTCCGCCTCCCGGGTTCAAGCAGTTCTCTGCCTCAGCCTCCCGAGCAGCTAGGATTACAGGCACCAGCCACCATGCCTGGCTGATTTTTGTATTTTTAGTAGAGACGGGGTTTCATGATCTTGGCTAGGCTGGTCTTGAACTGCTGACCTCCTCATCCACTCACCTCAGCCTCCCAAAGTGCTGGGATTATAGGTGTGAGCCACCATGCCTGGCCAAATATTATTTTTTTAAATGAATTGTTTCTCTTAGTCTGCTTTGTTAAATTTGGAATTCATCTGGGCGCGGTGGCTCACACCTGTAATCCCAGCACTTTGGGAGGCCAAGGCAGGCAGATATCTAGGTCGGGAGTTCGAGACCAGCCTGACCAACATGGAGAAACCCCGTCTCTACTAAAAATACAAAATTAGACAGGTGTGGTGGCGCATGTCTGTAATCCCAGCTATTCGGGAGGCCAAGGCAGGAGAATCGCTTGAACCCAGGAGGCAGAGGTTGCAGTGAGGTGAGGTTGGCACCATTGCACTGTAGCCTGGGCAAAAAGAGCAAAACTCCATCTCAAAATAAATAAATAAATAAAATGTTCAGTACTCACCAAGGTGCCCCTGTTGTCTCTACTTTTATCTTGATGCATCACTGAATTGATGTTAGATTTCAAATTCATCATTGCCCTGATACTATTCTATCCTGAAGCCACCTTTATATAGTGATGAAAGAAATTAGCGATTTGTTATTATCCTCTCTCTGTTGGTATACATCAAATACTCACCTAAAAAAGAGCAACAACCAGTGGAAAACATGATGTTTTTATTTGGGTGACTATTTACTTGTAACCTACTAGCAAACTATAAAATTGTATGATATGCAGAATTTTAACTGAATTGCTTTAAGTGAACATTTAAACATGATAAACAATATTGATGGTATTTATGTTAATATACTTAAAATGAACATTTTTCTTCATCATGAGTAATATAACCTACTCCTCAATGAAAACCTAGCACTAAATTTGCTAATGAATTCAATAACATTTCCATAATATTTTTAGTTACATGCTTAAGGTTCTCTTAGTGTTTCTCCCACTTTTTAATAGCTTATGCCTTTTTCACCTTTGGTTTTTTTTTGGTTCATTTTAAAGCAAAAATCTCACAACATGTGATATCTGGAAACACTGTAACCTAGTGGTAAGACCATAGGCCCTGGGGACACAGGCTGGCCACGTCTCTTCTCCTGTCTGAGCTTTAATATCCTCTTTTGTGGTCATGAGAACTGAAGATCTGTCCCGAAGATTTGATAAGATAGTAAAGTGCTTCACATAATACCAGACATATAAATACACAGTAAATGCTTCCTCCTTATATTTTTATTGATTGATTGATGGAGACAGAATCTTGCTCTCTTGCCCAGGCTGGAATGCAGTGGCATGATAATGGTTTCTGCAACCTCCACCTCCTGGGTTCAGGCAATTCTCCTGCCTCAGCCTCCCGAGTAGCTGGGATTACAGGTGCCTGCCACCATGCCCAGCTAATTATTGTACTTTTAGTACAGACGGGGTTTTACCATGTTGGCCAGGCTGGTCTCGAACTCCTGACCTCATGATCTGCCTGCCTCGGCCTCCCAAACTGCTGGGATTACAGGTGTGAGCCACTGTGCCCAGCCTGTCTTTTCTCTTCACACCCGCAGTTCATGATGAAATATTAAATATGTACTAGTGGATATTACTTTGCTGAATATTGCCTAATGAATATTAAGTATTTATTCTCACCTTTCAGACATGAACTTATGAATTCAACAGGTGAAGATTTACAACTTGATAAATCAACTTTGTCAGGTACGTCTTCAGTCAAGTCAGATTAGAAGATTATGTGAGGTAATTAACACTTAACATTGATTTAATGGTAGCTTCCACATGAAATAGTATGCCTCTAAGTATTAATTATGTCCTAGGACAGGAGAATTCATGTTGTCAAAATTCTCATACTCTCTAGAACAATAAACTCATTTTCTTTTTATTAGTAAATATTGCATTTATGGGTAGACAAAACTGAAAGAACAATATTTGTTCTACTTTTGAGATGCAAGATTCATCTGGCATAATGCATTGAACAGGTTATTACTGAAGTCTACACCAGTCAACTGAATAAGCATTCATCAAATGTCCATGATATGCAGGACATAAGTTTTCTTTTAGAGTATGGAACCATGCATATTATCTTTTAATTAGATGATTTAGTTAGATATGTTTTTAAAGAACTAGAAATATAATTGATTTTCTTGTTTTGGCTCTGGAGTGGAGTGGGGACGAAACAGAATGGATTCACACTGTTTAGATTTACTAAAATGGAAAGATTGCAGCAAGATCATATCCCTAGTCTCCCTACTCCCTATAGCAAATGTCACCTGCTAGCTGTTTTTTTTTTTTTTTTTTTTTTTTGGAGGTTGAAGTTTTGTTCTGTCACCCACGCTGGAGTGCAGTGGTATGATCTCAGCTCATGGCAAGCTCACCTCCTGGGTTCAAGCAATTCTCCCTGCCTCAGCCTCCTAAGTAGCTGGGATTACAGGCGTCTGCCACCACGCCTGCCTAATTTTTGTATTTGTAGTAGAGTTGGGGTTTCATCATGTTGGCCAGGCTGGCCTTGAACTCCTGACTTCAGGAGATTCACCCGCCTCAGCCTCCCAAAGTGCTTGGGATTATGGGTGTGTCACTGCACTTGGATTTAATGGGATATTTCACTACAGACTTCGGTAAACAGAATATTAGCATTTTTGGTGTTCTTTTTATTTTACTCATACTGTTTTTCTTTGGACTCAATCACAATAACAGAATTAAAGATCAAAGTGTAAAAGTTAAAGACCAGTACAGATTCAATAATTATTCTTTTCTACATACCGTGTTTAAATGATATCCCTTTTTCTTTTTGTTCTTATAGCTCGAGCTGTAAAAGCCAAAGGTCCGGTGATGATCCCATACCCTTTTTTCCAGTCTCATGTTGAAGATTTTTATGTAGAAGGCCTTCCCAAAGGAATTTTTTTTTTTTTTTTTTTGAGATGGAGTTTTCACTCTTATCGCCCAGGCTGGGGTGCAATGGCGCAACCTTGCTGGTCACTGCAACCTCTGCCTCCTGGGTTCAAGAAATTCTCCTGCCTTAGCCTCCCAAGTCACTGGGATTACAGGTGCCCACCACCATACCAGGCTAATTTTTGTATTTTTAGTGGAGATGCGGTTTCACCATGTTGGCCGGGCCAGTCTCGAACTCCTGACGTCAAGTGATCTTCCCGCCTCGACTCCTGATATCAAGTGATCTTCCCGCCTCGGCCTCCCAGAGTGCTGAGATTACAGACGTGAACCCATGCCTGGCCAGGAATTTTGTTTTTTAGGAAGGCTTTCTACTAATGGAATTCCTGGCCTTGAGAGGATGTTACTTTAGAAGGAAAGGATTTTTTTGTTATTAAAAGGTAAGATTCCTGGATTCTTATTGGACTGTTGTCTCTGTTATGAGTAATCCATCTTTAGTCATTCACCACTAGGGTTGTATTTAAGTCTGAGTTATTTTATGGTGGTTTTGTTTTGTTTTTACCGAATTTTGTTCTCATTGCCGTGGCTTGAGGGCAATGACGTGATCTCAGGTCACCACATTCTCTGCCTTCCAGGTTCAAGCAATTCTCCTGCCTCAGCCTCCTTAGTAGCTGGATTTACAGGCATGCGCCACCATGCCTGGCTAATTTTTTGTATTTTTAGTAGAGATGGTGTTTCACCATGTTGACCAGGCTGGTCTAGAACTCCTGACCTTGGGTGATCCACCCGCCTCGGCCTCCCAAAGTGCTGGGATTACAGGCATGAGCCACTGCGCCCAGCCTGGGCCTGCTTCTTTCTCTTTTTCTTTTTTTTTCATTAGCAGCTTAAAATTGGTGCCTTATTCAGACACAAGCAAAAGGACATTAGCCCAGCTTTGGAAATAGGTGAGAGCCCATATATGATTTTCCTAGTTTCTCCTCCCCTTTTGCTTTTTGCTCTCTTGTTAGTATATTAATTGTTTTCACTCTCTGAATCTTTTTTCCCCATTTCTTTGGCAGACATTTTTACTTGTCTTGGAAGAGTAGGTGAAGAGCTGTTTTTAGGACTCTTTGAAAGGGTACAGTATGGGTGACAGTCTTGGCTAATGGTAACATCCAGGGAGCTGGGGTCAGCGTGAGCTGGAATCAGTTCAAATTAGCAAAGCACTGGCACTCAGTAGCAGGAATACAAGTGACTGCAAAGTGTTAAACACATCTGGAGAGGGATACTGACATCATCCTCAGAATCTGTGGGGAGTTCACATAGCCAGTTAAGACCCATTCTTCTTTGACCCTGTAAAGATTCTTTAAAGAATAAATACCCTTAGTGGTTTTCTAGCCAGCTTGCCTGCTCATTTATCTTTGAGGACGATATGCCTTGTGGAGCTCCACAGGCCCCAGAGGGGTATGGATTCTGCATTTAAAAGTGCTGAAGCTGAGAGACTGGGTCTTGGTGGACCCCGAGAGGTCTGTTTCTCCTCTACTCATTGTTCCTTTTTTTCCCAACAGCTGGCATTGCTGTTTAAATGGGTTGTTCTTTGCTGTTTTAAGTTGTTTCATAGTGGTGTGTCAGGATTTGGGTTTTCTTAATACTTTCCAAGCTGGTGACTTGAGTGGTGGTTAGGGAGGAAATGTTTTAGGGCTGTTCTGGAGCTATTGAGGTCGGGTGTCTAGATACTCCCAGCTTGTCTGTTGAGGAGAATGCTGTTCTCATTGTGCTGCCTTTGGTGGTGCTGTGTGTGGCTCTTTAGATGTGCGTGGAGGTGAGCTGGGGGAGTTAATGAGATCTTTTTTAGGTGCTTTTGATAAAGTAGCCTGCACTACAGGATTCACTGTGACTTTTTTCCTTAACCTATGCATTTCTCTCTGCTAGCTTTTGCTGTCTTTCTCATGCCTTTGATTTTCCCAGCTCCTCTTAGTTGAATTAACCTAAGTGCTCTGCTATGGTTTAAATGTGTCCCCCAAAGTTTATGTGCTGGAAACTCAATCCTCAATGCAACAGTTGGGATGTGGGGCCTAATAAAATAGCCTTCATGAATGAGTTAATGTTGTTATTGTGGTAATAGATTAGTAATCACAGAGTGGGCTTATTATAAAACAGAGTTCAGCCCCTTTTGCCCTCTTGCTTTCTTGCACTCTCTTTTCCTTCTGCCTTCTGTAGTGGGATGATGCAGCAAGAAGACCCTTACCAGATGCAGGCCCCTCAACCTTGGACTTCCTAACATCCAGAACTGTTAAGAAATAAAATTTATTCCTTTCCTTTCCTTTTCTTCCTCCTTTCCCTTCTCTTCCCTTTTCTTCCCTTCCCCTCCCTCCCTCTCTCTCTCCCTCCCTCCCTCCTTCCCTCCCTTCCTCCTTCCCTCTTTCTCTCTTTCCCTTCCTTCCTTTCCTTCCCTCCTTCCCTTTTTCCCTCCTTCCCTCCTCCCTTCCTTTTTTCTTTCCTTCCTTTTTTCCTTTTTATAAATTATGCAGTCTGTGGTATTCTTTTATAGAAGCATGAAATGGACAAAGACTCCATTTTCAAGAGCAAGCACTTTTGTAGTTTCTGAGCGAACTATGACTGCAAAGGAAGTTCTATAGGTAGCCTCAGATCCACTACCTAGGAAGCATGCTACCAAGCAGACCTAGGATCTAGGATTTGATCAAGTGCTGGGCAACATGATACCTCTGCAATTTAGCACTTCCCTATATACCTCCAGTTGGCTCAGCCCATTAGGGCTAAAACTACCCCTCATATCCTAGTGTCTCTTGTAGGCAGAAGCCTTGCCTAAACCCTAAGCTGCTTGGCTCACATTCTGTCTTGTGCTTTTTTTGTAGGGGGTTCAAATATACACAAAAGAAATATGTTGCACCTCCATGCACCCAACCCGCAGATTAAGCAGTTACCTCCATTTTTCCAGATTTGTTTCATCTGCTTCAATCTCCCTAAAAATTTATGTTTGTACAGGAAAGACTGAATAAATAGCTAATTCTCCACCCTACCTCTCATCTTAAGTCACTTTTCAGAGTAGTAAGTTAGTGACCTAGTAACCTTCCCTCTAATGACCAGTAGTTTTTTTTTCTGAATACCATTATGAACTCATAGATTATTGTTTGCATTTGATGTATTTCAGGCCATTGCAGTCTTTATTGTTTTGGATGCTTACATTGTCTCATCTAGGTTAATAATTATCTCTTCAAGTTGACTTTCATGTCTTTTTGACGTGATCCTGTTGGACTTTGATGGCTTCCTTGCTTTCTGGCAAAACAGATGTTCCAGGATCAATATACTGCACCATACATGGAGTCAGCCATTTCTCTAGGGAACCTTGATTCCTTTTAGTAGAGAACACAGTTTGAGGTCTTGGACTGAATGACTTTTGTGAACCTCCTCTCCTGAGACTACAGCCTGCATCCCTGCATATAGCCCGTTTGGAGCTCTTGCTGGGCACCAACAGATCTCCTAAAACTGCTATATAGTTCTGCCTCACTCTTACAAAGATTCATCTCTTGAGAGTTTTGTGCTCTACCCCCAGATGTGGTCTTTCTGGTTATGAAGCTTTTGCTTCAGTCACCCTGAATTTTGCCAGCCCTATGCATGCTATACCTTGGATTGCCAACTTGCCCTCACTGAAGCCAGTTTCTCTGGTTAGAATAGTTGCCCAAACCCATGCCTAATACTCTAGTAAACAAGGTTCTACCTGGGCTTAGGTTAACTTTTGCTCCTTTGGGCCCTGTGTTCTACCAGCATTCCATTTATCTGAAACTCTCCCTCACCTTAAGAACTTATCTGTTCTTTAATGATTTACTGCTGCTTCCTGGGCTCGAAAGAACCCAGTTCAGGAGTTTCTGTTTTAGTTTGAGATCTTATAGGCCTGTCTCATCAGGTTGGTGTCAGCCCAGCTAGGATTAGGCAGAATTGGGTGGGGGCTGTAGTGCATTTTTGGCACAGCATGTACCTGTCTGACTAATTCTCTGTCTTTTCTTTCCTGTTGCAATTCATGGGTCTTAGCATCTTCTGAATGGTGTTTAGTAGGTCATCCTGTTGATTTCCTGCTAGGGAGTAGCATACTCTGGCCCTGTACCATTGGCCAAGGGACTTAAGGATAGATGAAGGGCTGCAGTTTTGTTAAATGGAACAATATGAAGAGATGGCATTGCTAAAAAAAAAAAAAAAGGCTTGGCAGCAGGGCCCATTTGAATGGTTGGTCCTTGGCTCCTTTGTTGATATAGGCAGATCCTTGATGGGAATTTGGAATGATCCCAAATATTGTAGATCACTGGTACATCAAGTCATCCTCAAGGTTGTCTGTGTAACAGTCTTGAATGATATTTTGTCAGTCTTTGGAGATTCTCTGTATAGGGTTTAATCATTTAGTTATTTCAGTTGAGCCTGTTTAGTTTCTTTGCAAGGAGATAAGAAATGTGAAAGAGATGCAGACATTAGGGAAAAAAAGTCAGGAGCCTTGTTTCCCCATCCTCTACTTGGGTTCTGGAACTAGACTCATAGGTGAGTAGTGAGGAGCTGGGCCCAAGCACATTAATCCTAGATCTAGCTCTGCTTTGCCCTCGCTCCAGTTCTTGTATCAAATTCACTTCAAGCCACCCAGAGTAGTATGTAGAGGAGTCATTCAGGACCATGCTCATACTTCATTGTATCAAATGGGAGATCCAGTAATTTATAGCCTATTGTTTCTAGAGCCTGGAGATGGCTCTGCATAAGATTTGCCGAAGCAAATTTTATTACATTAGAAGAGAACCTAGCTGGCTGCATCCTACACTGGAAGCTTTTAGATGCTAATAAGGAGGTCATGTAAAGGTCACAGAATGACTCTGGAATCCATTCCCCGCCAAGAAAGAATAATGACATTCTATGTTGGCCTCTTTTCATTTCCCTTTGGTTTTGAGTAATAAATTCTCTCCTCACTTCCCAGTCGAACTGTTTGGGAGTCTCTATTCCCTAGAAAGACTCTGGTCACATACCCATCAGATTAAATTAGGTGAAAACTCTTTGGCCTTCATGAATGTTGAAGGATTTCAAAGGGCTAATGGAAATTCTTCTAGAAGTAACTGCAACCTCCGCCTTCCGGGTTCAAGCGATTTTCCTGCCTCAGCCTCCCAAGTAGCTGGGATTACAGGTGTCCACCACCATGCCCAACTAATTTTTGTATTTTTAGTAGAGACGGGGTTTCACCATGTTGGCCAGGCTGATCTAGAACTTTTGACCTCAGGTGATCCGCCCGCCTCAGCCTCCCAAAGTGCTGGGATTACAGGCGTGATCCACCGCGCCCAGTTAAACTTCAGTTTTTCATGTTCCATGCATTGGTCAGGGTCTTAGGGAGTGATTCATTCTAGCAGAACTCCCTGGATTTTAAGGCAGATGTTCCATTTATTAATTGACAAAGGAGGCATATTTCTCCCCTGGTAACCCAAAGATTTAGGTCATTTTCCCAGAGACTCCATTTCCACTGTGAGGGTTCTTGGAAAACTAAGCAGAGGATGAGGAAAAGTCTGTGAACAAGCTTGCTGGTCTCTCCCTGTCCTACAAAAGAGCATACCTCTTCTGTAACCAGAAGGCCCTTTTGATTAGTCAAGGCTGGACAGAGTGAGATTGGGTGTGTGTGTGTGTGTGTGTGTGTGTGTGTGTGTGTGTGTTTGTGTGTGTCTTGAGACAGGGTCTCACTCTGTCACCAAGGCTAGAGTGCAGTGGTGAGATCAGAGCTCACTGCAGCTTCCACTTCCTGGGCTCAAGCGATCCTCCTATTTCAGCCTCCAGAGTAGCTGGGACTATACGAATGTTTTACCGCACCCAGTTCATTTTCTAATTTTTTGTAGAGATGAGGTTTCACTGTGTTGCTCAGGCTGGTCTTGAACTCCTGGCCTCACGGAATCCTCCTGCCTTAGTCTCCCAGTGGGCTGGGATTATAGGTATGAGCCACCTCACCTGACCTGCGACGATTTTTCAATGATGTAATTTCTCTTTTACAGAGCCACCTAAGCTGAAGATTCCCTTGAGAACAAGTACTGTCCCTAGTTTCCCAGTGCTGGAATATAGAAAATGGATGGACAAGTAAATCCCACTCAGCACCCATAGTCCAGGCATGGGGACCTCAACACACCTGAGCCCCAGACATCACCTTTCATTGTGAGTAGCTCTGAGATGACATTTCTGCTGTTCCCAATTCCAGCATTAATTGGATTAGATAGTTATTTTATGAAGAATTTTCATATGCCACAATCCTGACCATATCTTCAAGTGAACAGAAAAATTCTATTAAAAAGTCAACCTTCTGTCTCACTCTGTTGCCCAGACTGGAGTGCAGTGGTGCAATTATGGCTCACTGCAGCCTCAACCTCCTGGGCTCAAGCAATCCTCCTGCCTCAGCCTCACAAGTAGCTGGGACTACAGGTGCTTGTCACCACATCTCACTAATTTTCCCATTTGTGTTATATGTGGATTCCACAGGACTGACTTCGAAAACTTGAGTATGCGTGGATTTTGGTATACACAGAAATGGGAGAGCTGGAACTAATCCCCCCATATACCAAGGGACAAATTGTATCTGTTTCTACAATTATACAGTAGGAGACATTATGTTCCATGACAATGGTAATTTTTAACGACAGTTTTTAATTGAGTGAAATTACCATAAAAATAATAATAGTAGCAGCTAATATTTACTGAGCTGTTACTAGGTGCCTATAAATAGCATAGATTTTTAAATTCTCCATAATTCTTCCTTATTTCACTTAACCACTCTATCTTAAATTGCTCATGCTTGCCTCAGTAGCACACATACTTAAGTTGGAACAATAGAGAGATTGGCACGGCCTCTGTGAAAGAATGACATGCAAATTTGTGAAGCATTCCATATTTTTTTAAAAAAAGAGAAAAAAATTACTCCCAGATTTTCACTGTGTTTGTGCATATGACCTTTTGTTTAGGTTGAATTATATCCAAAGGTGAAATTTCCAGAAGTGAGATTACTGTGAGTCACAGGGCATGAGCATTCTTATTACCCTCGATGTAAATTGCAAAGCTTTCAGGCATGGTGGCTGTCAGCCTGTAATTCCAGCACTTTGGGAGGCTGAGGTGGGAGGATTGCTTGAGGCCAGGAGTTGGAGGAGGCAGTATAATGAGTCACTGTCTGTATGATTTAAAAAAAATTTCCAAGCTTTATGCTGGAAGGCTTATATACATTTTAAACACCACTAATACTACAAGAAAATGGCCATTTCACTGCACCTTCGCCCACACAGGTATTATAATTTAACAAGTTATTTTCTGTGTGATAAATGAAAGACCTCCTATTATTACTTTGTCACCCATTCTTTTTTCTTTTTTGAGACACAGTCTCGCTCTGTCGACCAGGCTGGAGTGCAGTGGTGTGATCTCGGCTCACTGCAACCTGTGCCTCCCAGGTTCAAGCGATTCTCCTGCCTCAGCCTCCTGAGTAGCTGGGATTACAGGCATATGCCACCATGCCTGGTTAATTTTTGTATTTTTAGTAGAAACGTGGTTTCACCATGTTGATCAGGCTGGTCTCGAACTCCTGATCTCGTGATCTACCCGCCTTGGCCTCCCAAAGTGCTTGATTACAGCTGTGAGCCATGTGCCCAGCCTATTTGTCACATATTTTATCTTTCCTTATGTTAGCTTATTAGCTTTATTTCTTTATTGTCCTTTTTTTTTTTTTGAGATGAAGTCTCGCTCTGTCTCCTAGGCTTCAGTGTAGTGGCACAGTCTCAACTCACTGCAGCCTTGACCTCCTAGGCTCAGGTGATCCTTCCACCTCAGTAGTTGGGACTATAGGCACATGCCACTATGCCTGGCCAATTATTTTTATTTTTTTATTTTTACTAGAGAGGAGGTCTTGCTTTGTTTCTTAGGCTGGTCTGGAACTGCTGGCCTCAAGCAATCCCCCCACCACCCCCTCCCAAAGTACTGGTATTATAAGCATGAGCCACCATGCCTGGGGTATCTGTGTCTTTTCCATTTATTTATAGAGTTACTTTGTCTTTTACTAATTCAATGATCTGTTTAATCTTTTATTAAATTATAAAAATGATAAATACTTTTAAATAAGTGAAAAATGTCCTTCACTCTTTAGACCCATAATCTTATCTCAGGAAATAATTGCAGTTGAGAAAATGGGCCATATCCTTCAAGATACGTACATGGTGATTGAACATCACTTCATATTTTCATATTTCGTGGACATTTGTGCCAATACCTATTGATCTATCTTAATCCTTTTCATGGTTGCATAATATTTTATTATATGGATGTATCACAATTTACCAGTACCAGTCAACTGCTGGAGGCATTTAGGCTCCTTCTAATATTTGCTTTGAGCTCTTTATATAATTAAAAATTAACCCCCTCAGCCAGGTGTGGCAGCTCACACCTGTAATCCCAGCATTTTGGAAGGCTGAGGTGAGAGAACTGCCTGAGTGTAGGAGATCACCACCAACCTGGTCAACATAGTGACACTTTGTCTCTACTACAAATTAAAAAAAAAAAAAATGAGCTACACGTTGCAGTGCACACCTGTAGTCCGAGCTACTGGGGAGGCTAAGACTGGAGGATCACTTGAGTCTAGAAGGTTGAGGCTGCAGTAAGCTATGATCACACCATTGCACTTTAGCTTTGCTAAGAGCAAGACTGCATTTCTTAAACAAAATAAAAATTAGATGGGAATATTGCTCAAGCCCTGGAGGTTGAGGCTGCAGTTAACTGTGATTGCACCACTGCAGTCCAGCCTAGGTGATAGAGCAAGACCCTTTCTCTAAAAATAAAATAAAATAAAAATTAACCTTCTATCATATTTCCCAGTAACACCTTCCCTCCTACATTTCTCCTAGAAGCCCTTAAATTTTGTTTTTCACATATCGTTTAAAACTTTTAAGTGCTGATGTCTGTCTGTGTCATCCCTCTTTTTTTTTTTTTTTTTAAATGTCTTTTTGTCACTTCTAGCTGGACCTACCATGAAAGACTTCTGAATCCAGGAAGAGAAACTGACTGGGCAACATGTTATTCAGGTACAAAAAGACTTGGACTGTAACTCAAAAATGATCAAATAATAGTGCATGCATCAAGTGCAATCGGAAGCTCTTCTGGAGAGGGAGAGAAGCTTCCAGTTAAGGTGACATTGAAGCCAAGTCCTGTAAGATAAGGAAGAGTTGTATGAGAGTGGGGAGGGAAGGGGGAGGTGGAGGGATGGGGATTGGGCTGGGATGGGATGGAGTGAGCTGCCCAGGCAGGGAAACCAGCACTATACAGACCTGAACAATGAAGATGGCACATTTTGTTCAGGGAATGGTGAATTAAGTGTGGCAGAAATGCTTTGTAGAGACAGTAATTTGCTTGTATGGAATTTTGCCCAAGAGACCTCATTACAGTTTCTAATTTTTTGATGTTATCATGCATCACTGCCCTTGTCAGATAGTATCATGATCACAATAACATCAAGCATAATATTTCATTGATTCTCACAAAAACAGGTGGGTGCCACAGTTATCCCCATTATATGCACAAAATGATGAAGACTTGGGGTTAATGAGCGATTTGCCCAAGCTCTCCTGAATATTAGGACTGAGTCAAATGTTAGTCTGGTCTGACTTTAATGCTTGCCTTGTTCATGAGCACCATGCATTGCCTCTCCTATTAAGTTAAGCAGGTAGACAGGTGAGAGAAGAGCCAGTGTGATATCGGGGGAAATTCACCCCTGATATTTCATGTAGGTTCTTTTCTATTTTCCCTGAGTGTCAGCCAGTCTGAGAAATAAAGGGAAAGAGTACAAAAGAGAGAAATTTTAAAGCTGGATGTCCAGGGGAGACATCACACGTCGGCAGGTTCCGTGATGCCCCCCAAGCCGCAAAACCAACAAGTTTTTATTAGTGATTTTCAAAAGGTGAGGGAGTGTACGAATGGGGTGTGGGTCACAGAGATCACATGCTTCACAAGGTAATAAAATATCACAAGGCAAATGGAGGCAGGGCAAGATCACAGGACCACAGGACTGGGGCGAAATTAAAATTGCTAATGAAGTTTCGGGCGCGCATTGTCATTGATAACATCTTATCAGGAGAAAGGGTTTGAGAGCAGACAACCCATCTGACCAACATTTATTAGGCGGGAATTTCCTTGTCCTGATAAGCCTGGGAGCGCCACGCGAACCCAGGGCTTATTTCATCCCTTATCTATGACTGTAAAAGACAGCCGTCCCCAAAGCGGCCATTTCAGAGGCCTCCCCTTAGGGATGCATTCTCTTTCTCAGGGATGTTCTTTGCTGAGAAAAAGAATTCAGCAATACTTCTCCTATTTGCTTTTGAAAGAAGAGAAATATGGCTCTGTTCAACCCGGCCCACAGGCAGCCAGAGTTTAAGGTTATCTCCCTTGTTCCCTGAAATTGCTGTTATCCTGTTCTTTTTTCAAGGTGCCCAGGTTTCATATTGTTTAAACAACTTGTGCAGTTAACGCAATTATCACAGGGTCCTGCGGGGACATTCATCCTCAGCTTACGAAGATGACCGGATTAAGAGATTAAAGACAGGCATAGAAAATCACAAGGGTATTGATTGGGGAAGTGATAAGTGTCCATGAAATCTTCACAATTTATGTTCAGAGATTGCAGTAATGACAGGCCTAAGAAATTATAGAAGTATTAATTTGGGGAACTAATAAATGTCCATGAAATCTTCACAATTTATGTTCTTCTGCTGTGGCTTCAGCCAGTCCCTCCGTTTGGGGTCCCTGACTTCCTGCAACATGTTTCTCTCTACTCACAGACTTCTGACCAAATGTGTGTGCAGAGTTTCTACACCAGTTCTCCAACTCTCTGGATACCAACCGCGTATCCCACAATTCCATTCTGACACTACCTAGAGTTAGCACAGAACCCACAGGTTAGGGGCTCAGTCCCACAAGACCACCCTCACTTCAGATGCCAGTTGCAAGTCCTAGGTTGTCACCTGTATTTTGACCAACCAGTTAGAAATCAGGGTTTCCCATGACCCTCTTGTTGAGTTTAATTATTTACTAGAACAACTCACAGAACTTAGAAAAACAAGTTTTTTTTCTTTTCTTGTTAAGAGACAGGGCCTCGCTCTGTTGTCCAAGCTGGTGTGCAGTGGTGCAATCATAGCTTATTGAAGCCTCAACATCCAGGGCTCAAGTGATTCTCCTGCTTCAGCCTCTCAAGTAGCTGGAATTACAGGGTTCCCACCACCACATTTGGCTAATTTCTTTTATTTTTTGTATAGATGGGGTCTTCTTATGTTGCCGAGGTTGGTCTCAAATTCCTAGGCTCAAGTGATTCCGCCCACCTCTGCCTCCCAAAGTGCTGGGATTACGGGCATGAGCCAGTGCATCTGGCCACCTTATTTTCTATTACTGGCTCAATGTAATGGCTCCATCTCAGGAACAGCCAATGAAAGAGATGCACAGGACAAGGTAAGTGGGGAGGGGCACAGAGCTTCCATGCCCTCTGTTGGGCACACTACCCTCCCAGGACCTCCTTGTGTTTAGCAACACAGAAGCTCTCCAAACCCTGCTGTTTGGGTGTTTATGGAGGCATGATTGATAAAATCACTGGCCATTGGTAGTTAAGTCAATCTCCAGTTCCTTTTGCCTCCTGGAGTTCAGCAGGTGAGGCTGAAAGTTCCAAGCCTCAAAAAATGTGGTTGGGGCCAGGTGCGGTGGCTCACTCCTGTAATCCTAGCAGTTTGGAAGGCTGAGGCACATGGACCACTTGAGGTCAAGAGTTTGAGACCAGCCTGACCAACATGGTGAAACCCCGTTTCTACTAAAAATAACAACAGTTAGCTAGGCGTTGTGGCACATCCCTATAATTCCAGCTACTCGGGAGGCCGAGGCAGGAGAATTGCTTGAACCCGGGAGGTGGAGGTTGTAGTGAGCTGAGATTGTGCCATTGCACTCCAGCCTGGGCTACAAGAGCCAAACTCCATTTTAAAAAAAAAATGTGGTTGCTTTCTCTGGCAGCTAGCCCTCCTCCTGAAGCAGTCTCGGAGCTTGCAGCCACCCTGTTAGCTCAACAGCATCCCACATGCATTCTTACCATGCTGCAGATCTGAAAGACCTTAGAGGCCCTTGTGTCAGGAACCTGGGACTAAGACTAAATATCAAAACAGAAAATACTCCTATTACCTCTGTCACGAAGGGCTTTATAAGAGCTTTGGAAGCTCTATGCCAGGAACCAGGGGCAGAGACCAAATGTATATTTCTTTTCTTATATTGGAGACAGAGTCTCACTCTGCCACTGAGGCTGGAGTGCAGTGATGTGATCATAGCTCACTGCAGCCTTGACCTCCTAGGCTAAAGCAATCCTCCCACCTTAGCCTCTCCAGTAGCTGGAACTACAGGCATGCATCACCATGTCCAGCTGATTTTAATTTTGTAAAGGCAGGATCTTCCTATTTTCCCCAGGCTGATCTCTAACTCTTAGCCTCAAGCAATCCTTCCTCTTTGGCCTCCCAAAATGTTGGGATTACAGATGGGAGCCCCCATACCCACCAATCACAAGGATTTTTATAAGAGAATGAGGTAGGAGAGTCAGAATTAGAGAAAGTGATGTGGTAATGGAAGAAGAGGTCAGAGAGGGAGATTTGAAGATGCTGCACTTCTGGCCTTGAATATGGAGTCACGAGGTAAGTCCAGGAATGGAGGTGGCTTCTAGAAGCTGGAAAAGGCAAAGGAGCACATTCTGTCTAGAGCCTCCCCCAGAAGGAATGCAGCCTCTCTGACACCTTGACTTTAGCCTTAATAGACCTAGTTGGGCTTCTGGCCCCCAGAACTGTAAGATGGTAGATTTCTGGTGTTTGATGCCACTAAATGTAGGGTACTTTGTTGTAGCAACAACAAAAAATGAACATGAAGCTGGGACCTCATGTTACGGTTGCTCACGCCTGTAATCCCAGAACTTTAGGAGGCTGAGGTGGGAGGATCGCTTAAGCCCAGGAGCTTAAGACCAGCCTGGGCAACATAATGAGACCTCATGTCTAAAAAAAAAATTTTTTAAAGGCCAGGCGCAGTGGCTCACGCCTGTAATCCCAGCACTTTGGGAGGCCGAGGAGGGTGGATCACGAGGTCTGAAGTTCAAGACCAGCCTAGCCAAGATGGTGAAACCCCATCTCTACTAAAAATACAAACATTAGCCAGGTGTGGTGGTGGGTGCCTGTAATCCCAGCTACTTGGGAGGCAGAGAATCACTTGAACCCAAAAGGCAGACATTGCAGTGAGCCAAGATCGCACCCTTACACTTCAGCCTGGGCGACCGAGACTCCGTCTCAAAAAAAAAAAAAAAAAGCCATGTGTTGTGGCATGCAGCTGTAGTCTCAGTTCCTAGGGTGGCTGAGGCGGGAGGATTGTTTAAGCCTGGGAGGTTGAAGTTGCTGTGAGCTGTGATTGCACCAGTGTACTCCAGCCTGGGCAATAAAGCAAGACCTTGTTTCAAAAAGAAAGAAAGAAATGAGCATGGTGGGAATGGGGACAGATGGCAGTGTTAAGTAGAGTGGTCAGGGTTGGCCTCATAAGTGAATATTGAGCAAAAGTTTGAAGCAGGTGATGGAGCTGGCCAAGGTGCTGAGGGAAGAGCATTGTAGGCTGAGTCAACAGGATAAAGGCATTAGGAGGAAACTCTCTGGTGTGTCTGAGGCTCTGGAAGGAGGCCAGTGGAGCAAAGAGATAGAGGGAGCGAAGTCAGCGAGGAGGCCAGGGAGTTGCTGGGCTGGGATCGGTACAGATCGTGTAAGCCCTGGGACGCTATTGCTGGGGCTTTGGCTTTTACTCTGACTAAAATGGGAACCACCGAGGGCTTCTGAGCAGAGAGGCGACATGATCCGTCTCCTGATTTAAAAGCACGACCTGGCTGCCGAGTTGAGAAAGACTATGGGAAGATTTGGGTAGAAGCATGGGAGCCAAGCTGTGGCAACATCCCAGTGGGAGATGATAGTGATCCTGACGGGGTTCATGGTGGTGGTGAGAGATGGTTAGAGCCTGGATACATGTTGAAGTCAGTCAGTAGGATTTCCTGACAGACTGGATGTGAGCTGTGAGAGAAGGCAGTGGTCAAGGTTGAGTTTGATTCTGATTGAATTATTAAGTAATTTTAAAAAACACTACTGCTTTTCCCAATCCTACCAAGTAAAGGATGCTAGATAAAAGAAATCCCAAGTCAGGCCAGGTACAGTGGCTCACACCTATAGTTCCAACAGTTTGAGAGGCAGAGATGGGAGTATGTTTTAAGGCCATGAGTTTGAGAGCAGCCTGGGCAACACAGCAAGACCTCCTCTCTACAAAAATAAAAAAAAATAAATTTAATAAAATAAAATAAATATAGCCAGGCATGATGGTATGTACCTATGGCCCCAGTTACTCATGTGGCTGAGATGGGCAGATCTCTTGATTCTAGGAGTTTGAGGCCAGCTTGGGCAACATAGCAAGTCTTCTCTCTCTACAAAAATGAAAAAAATGCCTGACATGGTGGTACTTGCCTGTATTCCCAGGTATGGGGGCAGCTGAGGCAGGAGCATCTCTTGAGCCCAGTTGGTCAAGATTGCAGTGAGCTATGATTATACCACTGCACTCCATCCTGGGTGACAGAGTGGGACCCTGTCTCAAAATACAAATACAAATGAAATCTCAAGTCAGACCAGTCCCTTCTAGGCTATGTAGGCCTTGTAACCACATAGCTGCATGATCGGGTTTGTGTGGCTGTGGATGAGGAGACCCCTGTCCAATTGTTGGCTATGTAATCAGTTTATTTTTCAATATAGTAATCAAATATATTTCATCATACTTGATGGTCTCAGATATGTGTGGATTTTGGAATTCCCCTTGGAACAGGTTGTAACATCTTATTGGCTCCATAATTCCATAATTTTTTTAATCTGATCAGTTTTTAATAAGATCGCAATTTATATTAGACTACTTAATCGGTTTTGTTAATGAGAAAATGAAATTGTGTTGTTTGCATTTTATCCAAGATGGGTGTCATATTGGGTAAATCTCATCAATACTTGAACAAATGCAAAATTAGAGCTTCTTTATCATGAAACACGATGTAATTCTTGAAGAAGATGCCATTTCTTTTTTTTCTTTTTTTTTTTAAGATAAGAGTCTTTTTCTTGTCACCCAGGCTGGAGTGCAATGGTGCGATTTTGGCTCACTGCAACCTTCACCTTCTGGGTTCAAGCAATTCTCCTGCCTCAGCCTCCCGAGTAGCTGGGATTACAGGTGCCCGCCACCATACCCAGCTAATTTTTGTATTTTTAGTAGAGATGGGATTTCACCATGTTGGCCAGGCTCCTCTGGAGCTCCTGACCTCAGGCAATCTGCCTGCCTCAGCCTCCCAAAATTCAAGGAGTACAGATGTGAACAACCACGCCCGGCCTCCATTTCTTTTTTGTAGTCTTTAATAAACAGCTGCTATCATTGCAGACTTGCTGTTTAGGCACTTAGGAATTTTTCACTAGAAGGCATGTAAATAAAGACCATGGGCAATTGTAATGAATTTCGCCTTCATTCTTTGACTACATGACTGTCCCCAGAGCTGTAACTTTATTGAATTTTTTAGAAGCCATTTAGCTAGCAACTGAGCCTAACCAGCCACTCACCGTCATTATTCAGTGCTCTTTTATTATTGTCTATTTCTCCTCCAACTTGGCTACACTCACAAAGTGATAAAAACTTGCATTTGTTTTCTTTCCTTTTCAGAGACAGCGTCTTGCTCTGTTGCTTAGGCTACAGTACAGTGACATGATCATGGTTCACTGTAGCCTCAAACTCCTGGGCTCAAGTGGTTCTCTCACTTCAGTCTCCCAAGTAGCTGGGACTACAGACATGTGCCACCATGTCCAGCTAATTTTTTATCATAGAGACGGGATCTTGCCATGTTGCTCCGACTGGGCTCAAAACTCCTGACCTCAAGTGATCCTCCTGCCTCAGCCTCCCAAAGTGCTGGGATTACAGGCAGGCATGACCACCTGTGCCCAGCCCCCTATTATTATTATTTTAAATAATAGCTTTATTAAAATATTCACATACCATTCACTTTATTTATTGAAATCTGCAATTCAGTAGGTTTTAGAATATTCACAGAGCTGTGCATCGATCACCACAGTCACTTTTAGAACCTTTCATTACCCTATAGAGAAATCCATACCCCTTAGCTACTACCTCCTACTCTCCCCACCTACCTTTGCCCCCAGCCTTAGGCAACCATTGATTAATTTTTTGTCACTATAGATTTGCCTAATCTGGACAAATAGAATTGTACAATATGTGATCTTTTGTGGCTTTTCTTCCCTCTTAGCACAGTGTTTTCAAAGTTCCTTTATGTCATAGTGTGTATCAATATTTCATTCCTTCTATGGCAGTATTCCATGGTAGAGACACACTGCATTTTGTTTATCTGTTCATCAGTTGGTGGATATTTGGGTTGTTTCCATGTATTCCATGTATTGGTCATTATGAATAATGCTGCTATGAAGATTGTTGTACAAGTTTTTGTGTGGACATATATTTTTATTTTTCTGGGATATATGCCTAGGAGTGAAATTGTTGCATTATAGGATGACTGTACATTTAGCCTTTTGAGAAACTGCCAGACTGTTTTCTAACGTGGCTATACCAGTTGGGTGCAATGGCTCACACCTGTAATCCCAGCTACTCAGGAGGCTCAGCTAGGAGGATGGCTTGGGCCCGTGAATTCAAGACCAGCCTGGGCAAGACAGTGAAACCCCGTCTTGATTTTTTAAAAATCCAATTAAAATGACAAGAAAAGAAATACCCAAACAAAATGGTTACACAATTTTATGTTCCCACCAGTAATGTATGTGGGTTCCAATTCCTCCACATCTTCACTGACATTTTTTTTTTCTAGATAGGGGCTTGCTCTGTCTCTCAGGCCGCAGTGCAATGATGCCATCACAGTTCACTGCAGCCGTGACCTCCCAGGCACAAGTGATTCTCTCATCTCAGCCTCCTGGGTAGCTGAAAATTACAGGTGTACGCCACCATGCCTGGCTAATTTTTAGATTTTTCTGTAGTGGTGGGATTTTACCATGTTGCCCAGGCTGGTCTCATACTCCTGGCCTCAAGTGATCTGCCCACCTCAGCCTCCCTAAGTTCTGGAATTACAGGCTGCCACCATGCCCGGCCTTCACCAACATTTGCCATTATCTGTTTTTTTTTTCTTCCTTTATACCTTAAAGCAGTATAAGAACAAGTGTCTTCAATTATAGGAAACAGTATAATCCCAGGGCTTTGGGAGGCTAAGACAGGAAGATGTCTTGATGCCAGGAGTTTTTTTTTGTTGTTGTTGTTTTTGTTTTTGTTATTGTTCTTGTTGTTTTTGACAGTCTCGCTCTGTCACCCAGGGTGGAGTGCAGTGATGGGGTCCACTGCAACCTCCACCTCCCAGGTTCAAGTGATTCTCCTGCCTCAGCCTCCCGAGTAGGTGAGACTACAGGTACACGCCACTACTGCCCAGCTAATTTTTGTATTTTTGATAGAGTCAGAGTTTCACCGTGTTGGCCAGGCTGGTCTTGAACTCCAGACTTCAGGTGATTTGCCTGCCTTAGCTTCCCAAAGTGCTGCGATTACAAGCATGAGCCACCATGCCCAGCCTGATGCCAGGAGTTTTAGACTAGCCTGGGCAACCTAGCAAGACCTTGTCTCTACAGAATATTTAAAAATTAGCCAAATGTGGTGGTGCCTGTGTATAGTCTCTCTCCCTCTCTCTTTTTTTTTCTAACTTTTTGTGACATGGTCTGGCTCTGTCACCCAGGCTGAAGTGCAGTGGTGTGATCATGGCTCACTGCAGCCTGAAACTCCTGGGATCAAGTGATCAATCCTCCCACCTCATCCTACCAAGTAGTAGGGACCACAGGTGTATGCCACCCAGGTCTTGCTATGTTGTCCAGGCTGGTCTTGAGCTCCTGGCCTCAAGCAATCCTCTCACCTTGGCCCCCCACAGTGCAAGGATTACAGGTATGAGCCACCATGCCTGGCCCCTACCCTGCCTACTGAGAACCAAAGGAAGGATCCAAATTCTCCTTAGCTCAACTCGAGCCATTTCCTGATTGCTTCATCAGCGAGGAGCTGGTTATTGGGCTGTCCAGGCCTCCCAAGCAGCACAGAAATGAGGTGAAGGAGTTTTCCTGTTGCTCCACTCTGTAAGGAGTTGGAGGGTGATGTTTACTCGTTTGCAGAGAGAGATGCCTTGTAGGCACCTCAGGATGGAGAGGGCCCTGATTCCAATGTCCTTTTTTTCTTCAGAAACAGGACCTTGCCCTGTCACTCAGGATGGAGTTCAGTGGTCCTATCATGGCTCATTATAGCCTCAAACTCCCAGGCTCAAGCAATCCTACCATGTCAGCCTTCCCAGTAGCTGGGACTACAGGTAAGCATCGTGACACTCAGTGAATTTTGTTTTTATTTTGTTGTAGAGATGGGACCTCAGTATGTTGCCATGGCTGACCTTGAACTCCTGCACTCAAGGGATTTTCCTACCCTGGCCTCCCAAAGTATTGGTATTACAGGCATGAGCCATTGTGCCCACCGTCTCTGGTTCTTAACCTTCTGCCTCCCTCTTCCAGTTTTAAAGAATGCTTGTAATTACATGGGCTCTCCTAGATACTCCAGGATAATCTTGTTTAAGGTCAGCTGATGAGCAACATTAATTTTATCTGCACTCTTAATTCCCCCTTCCTATGTAATTGTGCTGTGTAACATAGGACATGAGCAATTGGTGGCGGTGGGGGTTATTACTTTGGCCACCACAGTAACTATTTTATGCCAGGTACTCAGCTAAGCACTGGTGAATTAAGCATGAATAACACACACTCCCTAATCTCCATCCATTCATGGGAGGAGCACTTCACCTGCCATGCTCCTGAGAATCTCGGGAGTCATAGAAGTCTTCTATGAGGAGGTGATGCCAAAGCGGACAAGTGACAGAGGAGTCAAAGCTAGCTAGGAAGAGAGTAGAGGTTTAAGGGGAAGCATATTATAAGCAGAGGATATTACCCACTTCAGAGACTCCCAGAGGAGAAAGAGTGTGCGTTCAAGGGGCAGATGAGGCTCAGTTGGACTCCATAGCAGATGAAATGGAGAGGGGCAAGCAGTGAGGCTGCCTTGCAAGGCAGGGCAGAGCAGGGGCTGTTAAGGAGTTTGGACTTAATCCCTGAGGCAAGGAGAAGTGATGTAAATGGGGGAGTAACATGATGAGATTCATAGATTAGAGACATGGCTCAGGCTGCTGTAGAGAAGGCACCAGGAAGAGCAGATGGCTCAATGTGTGTGCAGAAGACCTCTCCCTGAGTTTAGGGAGAGGTTTTTAAAACAGAAGAAGTTTGAGTAATTTAAATGATGATGGGAAGGAGCTAAAAGTGGGGGATAGGTTAAAGATACAGGAAAGTGGGAGGAAGAACTGACAAGTGAGGTTCCAGAGAGGGCAGGAGAAGAGGAGATTCCCATAGGGGGATTAACACTTTCTTTTCTTTTTTCTTTCTAAGACAGGGTCTCACTCTGTCGCCCAGGCTGGAGTGCAGTGGCACAATCTTGGCTCACTGTAGTGTAGACTTCCCAGGCTCAAGGGATTTCTCCCACCCCAGACTCCCAAGTAGCTGGAACTACGGGTGTGCACCACCACCACACCTGGCTAATGTCTCTTTTTTTTGGTAGACACAGAGTCTCACTATGTAGCACTGATTGGTCTCCAACTCCTGGCCTCAAGCGATCCTCCTGCCTAGGCTTCCCAAATTGCTGGGATTACAGGCATGAGCCACAATGCCTGGCCTCTGCTAGTTCCGTATTCTCTAGAGTTGTCTTTACTTTGTGCTAGTGTGTCCCTCATTGTGCTGATCCTCTGTAAAAATTAATACCTTTTTTTTTTTTTTTGAGATGGAGTTTCACTCTTGTTGCCCAGGCTGGAGTGCAATGGTGCTATCTCGGCTCAGCACAACCTCCACCTTCTGGGTTCAAGCAATTCTCCTGCCTCAGCCTCCCGAGTAGTTGGGATTACAGGCATGTGCCACCATGCCCAGCTAATTTTGTATTTTTAGTAGAGATGGGGTTTCTCTGTGCTGGTCAGGCTGGTCTCGAACTCCTGACCTCAGGTGATCTGTCTGCCTTGGCCTCCCAAAGTGCTGGGATTACAGGCATGAGCCATTTTGCCTGGCCAAAATTAATACTTTTTATATTAAATTTACATATATATAGATATACGTTTTTTCTTTTTGATACCGGGTCTCACACTGTCACCGAGGCTGGAGTACAGTGGCACAACCTCTGCTCACTGCAGCCTCCACCTGCCAGGCTCAAGCAATTCTCCTGCCTCAGCCTCCCGAGTAGCTGGGATTACAGGTAAGTGCCACCACACCCAGCTGATTTTTGTGTTTTTTGTAGAGACGAGGTTTCGCCATGTTTCCCAGACTGTTCTCAAACTCCTGAGCTCAAAGCAGTCCACCCACCTTGGCCTCCCAGAGTTCTGGGATTACAGGTGTGAGCCATCTTGCTCATTCTAGTTTAAACTTTTGAGTGGTTTGTGTCTCCTGATTGGACTCCTACAAATACAGAATTGATGCTAGGAAGGGTACCAGGAGATAGACGCACACAGATGGGATTTGGGAATAGGTTTGGTTATCCAAGGAGCAGTGCTGAGCTCCTTGCAATGGGATATGGGATGCTGGTGATTTCCAGGAAGTGAGCTCACAATGACTCAAGCTGCCACATACTGTTGATTGTGAAATGCCAGTTGAAGCATATGTCCTGCGAGCTTAGGGGTGCTACAAGTTGACCACTGCAGCAGTAAAGATGACTCTGAAGAATGGCGTGGGATGGTTCCTTTCAAATGCACTTGAGCAGCGGTCTCCAACCACAGGGCCACAGAGCTGGAGGTGAGCAGCAGGCGAGTGAAGGGAAACTTCATCTGTATTTCTAGCCCCTCCCATCGCTTGCATGACCACCTGAGCTCCATGTCCTGTCAGATCAGCAGCAGCATTAGATTGTCATAGGAGCACAAACTCTGTTGTGAAGTGTGCATGCGAGGGATCTAGGTTGTGTACTCCTTATGAGAATCTAATGCCTGATATTCTGTTACTGTCTCCCATCACCCCAGGTGGACAGTCTAGTTGCAGGAAAACAAGCTCAGAGATCCCACTGAGTCTACGTTATAGTGAGTTGTAGAATCATTTCATTATATATTACTATGTAGTAATAATAGAAATAAAGTGCACAATATATGTAATGCACTTTAATCATCCTGAAATTATTCCCTCATTCCCAGTCTGTGGAAAAATTGTCTTCCACACATTCACTCTGTTTTTTGGTAGAGGCAGGGTCTTAATATATTGCCCAGTCTGATCTCAAACTCCTGGCCTCAAGTAATATACCTCTGTCAGCCTCCCAAAGTGCTGAGATTACAGGCATAAGCCACCACCCTCAACCAAGACTTTCTTAAACCAAATAAAAATTAAGTGAGATTACTTGAGCCCAGGTGGTCAAGGCTGCAGTGAGCCTGATTGCACCACTGCACTCCAGCCTAGGTGACAGAATGAGACTGTCTCAAAAAATAAAATAAAATACAAATTAACCCTTCATGACATTCCCAGTAACTTCCTAAGTGCTCCCCACAAGTCTTTGAATTCTGTTTAATTTTCACATAACATTTAAGACATTTAAGAATTTATGTCTGTCTGTGTCATCCCTTTATGTCAAAAGATGTCTTTTTGTCACTTCCAGCTGGATCTACCATGAAAGACTTGTGAATCCAGGAAGAGAGACTGACTGGGCAACATGTTATTCAGGTACAAAAAGATTTGGACTGTAACTTAAAAATGATCAAATTATGTTTCCCATGCATCAGGTGCAATGGGAAGCTCTTCTGGAGAGTGAGAGAAGCTTCCAGTTAAGGTGACATTGAAGCCAAGTCCTGAAAGATGAGGAAGAGTTGTATGAGAGTTGGGAGGGAAGGGGGAGGTGGAGGGATGGGGAATGGGCCGGGATGGGATAGCGCAAACTGCCCGGGAAGGGAAACCAGCACTGTACAGACCTGAACAACGAAGATGGCATATTTTGTTCAGGGAATGGTGAATTAAGTGTGGCAGGAATGCTTTGTAGACACAGTAATTTGCTTGTATGGAATTTTGCCTGAGAGACCTCATTGCAGTTTCTGATTTTTTGATGTCTTCATCCATCACTGTCCTTGTCAAATAGTTTGGAACAGGTATAATGATCACAATAACCCCAAGCATAATATTTCGTTAATTCTCACAGAATCACATGTAGGTGCCACAGTTATCCCCATTTTATGAATGGAGTGATGAAAACCTTAGGAATAATGAATGATTTGCGCAGGCTCACCTGGATATTAAGACTGAGTCAAATGTTGGGTCTGGTCTGACTTTAATGTTTGCTTTGTTCATGAACACCACATATTGCCTCTCCTATGCAGTTAAGCAGGTAGGTGACAGAAAAGCCCATGTTTGTCTCTACTCACACACTTCCGACTGAATGTATGTATGGAGTTTCTACACCAGATTCTTCAGTGCTCTGGATATTAACTGGGTATCCCATGACTTTATTCTGACACTACCTGGAGTTAGCACAGACCCCACAAGTTAGGGGCTCAGTCCCACGAGGCCATCCTCACTTCAGATGACAATGGCAAGTCCTAAGTTGTCACCATACTTTTGACCAACCTGTTACCAATCGGGCGTTCCCGTAACTGTCTTCTTGGGTTTAATAATTTGCTAGAACAGTTTACGGAACTCAGAAAAACAGTTTATTTTCTTTTTTTCTGAGAGAGAGGGTCTTATTTTGTTGCCCAGGCTGGTGTGCAATGGTGCAGTCATAGCTCATTGCAGCCTTGATTGTCTGGGTTCCAGTGGTTCTCCCACCTCAGCCTCCCTAGTAGCTGAGACTACATGCCTGCACCACCACATCTGGCTAGTTTCTTTTATTTTTTGTATAGATGGGGTCTTGTTGTGTTGGCCAGGCTGGCCACAAATTCCTGGTCTCAAGTGATCCTCCCACCTCAGCCTCTGAAAGTGCTGGGATTACAGATGTGAGCCACCACATCTGGCCAGTTCATTTCCTATTACTGGTTCATTGTGAAGGATACATCTCAGAAACAGTCAATGAAAGAGACGTGCATGCTGGATGCAGTGGCTCATGCCTGTAATCTCAGCACTTTGGGAGGCCAAGGTGGGAGGATCGCTTAAACTCAGGAGTTTGAGACCAGCCTGGGCAACATGGTGAAAACCTGTCTCTATAAAAAATTAAAAAATAATAATAATAACTGGTGTGGTGTTGTGCACCTAGAGTTCCAACTACTAGGGAAGCTGAGATGAGAGGATACCTTGAGCTGGGGACTGGGGAGGCTTAGGTTACAGTAAGCTGAGATTGTGCCACTGCACTCCAGCTTGGACAAAAGAGCCTGATCCTGTCTCAAAAAAAAGAAAGATACCCAGGGCAAGTTAAGTTCGGAGGGGCACAGAGCTCCCATGCCCTCTGTTGAACATGCGACCCTCCCAGCATCTCCTGTGTCCAGCAACCCTGAAAGCTCTGCAAACCCCTTTCAGGGTGTTTATGGAGGCTTTATTATGCAAGCATGATTGATAAAACCTTTGGCTGTTGGTGATTAAGTCAGTCTCCAGCCCCTCTTCCCCCTGGAGTTCAGTGCATGAGGCTGAAAGTTCCAAGCCTCTTACCATGTGGTTGCATGGTAATCAGCCCTCCTCTTGAAGAAATTTAGGAGCTTGCAGTCACCCAGTCATCTCAACAACATCCCCAAATGCATTCTTACCATGCTGGAGATCCCAAAGTTCTTAGAGGCTCTTGTGTTAGAAACCTGGGACCAAGACCAAATATTAAAACAAAAGATGCTCCTGTCACATCTATCACTGAGGTCTTTGTAAGAGCTTTAGAAGCTCTGTGCCAGGAACCAGGGACAGAGATTAAATATATATTTCTTTTCTTTTTTTTGAGACAGAATCTCCCTGTGCCATCCAGGCTGGAGTGCAGTGATGTGATCATAGCTCACTATAGCTTTGGCCTTCTGAGATCAAGCAATCCTCCCATCTCAACCTCCCAAGTAGCTAGGACTACACATGCATGTCACCCATGCCCAGATCATTTTTGTAGAGTCAGAGTTTCACCGTGGTGGCCAGGTTGGCCATGTTGGCCAGATGGGGTCTTCTTTTGTTGCCCAGGCTGGCCACAAATTCCTGGGCTCAAGTTATCCTCCCACCTCGTCCTTGTAGAGATGAGATTTAGTTATGTCGTCCAGGCTGATCTCAAACTCCTGGGCTAAATCGATTGTCTCACCTCAGCCTCTCAAGTATGTTATGAAGGTTATATGTTAGGAAGGGTCCCAGGAGGTAGACCCACACAGATGGGATTTGGGCATAGGTTTGGTTTCCCAGGGGGCAGTGCTGAGCTCTTTGCCAGTGGGAAATGGGATGCTGGTGATTTCCAGTAGGTGACCTCACAGTGACTCAAGCTACCACTTACTGTTGATTGTGACGAAATGCCAGCTGAGGCACATGCCTTGGGAGCTAAGTGGTTGCTGCCCTTGACCACTGTGAAGACTGGTGTGGGAAGGGTCGTTTTGGATGCACTTGAGCAGGGGTCCCCAACCCCTGAGCCATGGAGCCGCAAGGAGCCACACAGCAGGAGGTGAGTGGTGTCGAGTGAGGGAGTGAGGGAAGCTTCGTCTGTATTTACAGCCACTCCCCTTTGCTCACATTCCCGCCTGAGCTCCACCTTCTCAGATGAGCAGCAGCATTAGATGCTCATAGGAGAACGCACCCTGTTGTGAACCGTGCATGTGAGGGATCTAGGTTGCGCTGTCCTTATGAGAGTCTAATACCTATTGATCTGTCACTTTCTCCCATCACGCTCAGGTGGGAACATCCAGTTGCAGGAAAACAAGCTTAACACGCCCACTGATTCTACATTATGGTGAGTTCTATAATTATTTTATTATATATCACAGTGTAATAATGGAAATAAAGTGCCTAATAAATGCAAATGTGCTTACATCTTTTGGCCCAGCTCCTACCTCCCGGCAGCCTCTCCAGGCCCAGAACTTTCTCCAGTCAGCCTCTACAGACCAAGCTCATGACTCACAATGGCCTATTTAGGCCCATACCCTACGTCACGGCAGCCTCCGCAGATGAGGCTACTGCCTCACAACAGCCTCCACAGGCACAGCTCCATCGTTACAATGGCCTCTTTAGACCCAGCTCCTGCCTCCCAGCCTTCTCTCCAGGCCCTGAACATTCTCAGTAAGTTCAGGTAGCTGGGACTGTAGGTATACATGATGATACTTGGCTAATTTTTAAATTGTTTTGTAGACACGGGGTCTCACTTTGTTGGCCAGGCTGGTGTCAAACTAATGGCCTCAAGTGACCCTTCCACCCCTGCCTCCCATCCTCGAGGCATGTGCCACCACAAGGAGCACTTGTTCAATTTTCTAAAAAAAAAATTTCTAAAGTAAGGCTGTGGGATGATGGCAGGAAGATAAAAGAAAAACAGAAGAATAAGTTAAAATGACTTATTCACACATATTCTTTTGACAGCAAGAAGAACTTTTAGTATGTACATTCCTTACAAACAAACAAAAGGCAGATAAACAATGTTGTATAGGAACTTCAACACACACTGTACAATATTCCCACTTTGCTGACATAAGTTATGGAAATTTCATGGTTTACTTGAGTGTCCCTACCAGTATTTTGCTTCTCTGATGATTTTTATCAACTTCCTCATCTGTTAACTTCTCTCCAAGGTATGTCATGTCACGACATACTGCCGCTGCACGAACATGGCCAGTGTCTTCCTATTCAACATGTAGAATGCTTTCCTAATTTCTCTTTTTACTCTCTGTCTTTGTGTTCTGCATTTTCCTTACTTTTATTGTCAGAAACTCCAGAAAGTCAATCGTACTAATTTATCACGATTTGCTTTATTAATTTATACTTTGCTTATATGGAATTTTGCCCAGCAGACCTCATCACAGTTTCTAACCTGTTTTATTTTTTATTTTTTATTTTTTTTTGTTCTGAGACAGGGTCTCCCTCTGTTGTCCAAGGCTGGAGTGTAGTAGTGCTATCGCAGCTGACTGCAGCCTCAACCTTCCAGGCTGAAGCGATCCTCCCACCTCAACCTCCCACGTGGCTGAGACTACAGGTGCTTGCCACTATGCCCAACTAATATTTGGAATTTTCGTATACGTGGATTCCAGAGGGGTGACAGCGAAACGTGAGTAAGCATGGATTTTGGTATATGCAGAGATGGGGGGCTGGAACTAATTCTGTATACTGAGGGACGACGACTGTATATGTTTTTACAATTACGCTGTAGGATACATACTGTTGCATAGCCTTGAAAATAATAATTTTTAATTGAGTGGAATAAGAATAATATTGATAAAAGTAGCAGCTGGCCAGGTGTGGTGGCTCACACTGGTAATCGCAACACTTTGGGAGGCTGAGGCAGGAGGATGGCTCGAGGCCAAGAGTTTGCGATAGGCCTTGGAAACAAAGGGGGAGTCACCATCCCTACAGAAAAATACATGAATTAGCCTAGTGTGGTGGCATGTTCCTGTAGTCCCAGCTACTTGGGAGGCTGAGGTGGGAGGATCACTTGAGCCCAGGGAGGCTGAGACTGCAGTGAGTCATGATCAGGCCTCTGCACTCCAGCCTGGGTGACAGAGTGAGACCCTGTCTCAAAACAACAAAAAAGTAGCAGCCAACATCAACTGACCTTTTGTACCAGGTGCCTATTGATACCATAGTTTAATTTCTTATAACTGTTTCTTATTTCACTTACCAACTCTGTCTTCAGTTACTCCCAGATTTTTACTGTGTGTGTACAGATGACCTTTTGTTTAGACTGAATTGTCTCCCCAGAAGTAAGATTACTGTGAGTCATGGTGAATGGACATTCTCCTTACCCTTGATGTAAATTGACAGGGTTTTGGGTGCCTCCCAGCTATAATCTTAGCACTTTGGGAGGCTAAGAGAGGAGGATTGCTTGAGGCCAAGAGTTGGAGGAGGCAGTATGGCAGTATGGTGAGACCCTGTCTCCATTATTTTAAAAAATTGACAGGCTTTACCCGGGAAGGCTTATACACAATTTAACCACCTCTCATAGTATAAGAAAGTGCCCATTTCACTGCACCTTTGCCAGCACAGGGTATTATAATTTAGTAAGTCATTTTTTGTTTGATTATTTTAAATAGACAAAAGACCTCATGTTACTTTACTTGTCACATTTCAACATCTTTCCTCAGCTTATTAGCTCTATTTCTTTTCTGTCTGTAAATGGTTGTTGTTGTTTTGTTCTTTGAGACAGGGTCTTGCTCTGTCACCAGGCTGGACTGTAGTGGCATAATCATGCCTCACTGCAGCCTTGACCTCCCAGGCTCAAACTTCCGCATTCCGAGTAGCTGGGACTGCAAGTGTGCACTACCACCACCAGCTAACTTTTTTCTTCTTTTGGATAGAGACAGGGTCTCACTCTGTTGTCCAGACCGGTCTCTAGCTCCTGGCCTTAAGCAATCCTCCTGCATTAGCTTCTCAAATTGCTGGAATTTCAGGCCTGAGCCACCATGCCTGGCCTGGGCTAGTCCTATATTCTCTAGAGTTCTCTTTACTTTGTGCTAGCCAATCTCTCATTATGCTGTTCACCTGTTATAATGAATAATTCTCTGTATTAAATTTTACCACTTTAAACTTTTGAGTGGTTTATGCTTCCTGATTGGACTCTGACTAATATGTTAGGAAGGGTCCCAGGAGATACACCCACACAGATGGGATTTGGGCATAGGTTTGGTTTCCCAGGGGGCAGCGCTGAGCTCTTTGCCAGTGGGAAATGGGATGCTGGTGATTTCCAGTAGGTGACCTCACAGTGACTCAAGCTACCACTTACTGTTGATTGTGACGAAATGCCAGCTGAGGCACATGCCTTGGGAGCTAAGTGGTTGCTGCCCTTGACCACTGTGAAGACTGGTGTGGGAAGGGTCGCTTTGGATGCACTTGAGCAGGGGTCCCCAACCCCTGAGCCATGGAGCCGCAAGGAGCCACACAGCAGGAGGTGAGCGGTGTCGAGTGAGGGAGTGAGGGAAGCTTCGTCTGTATTTACAGCCACTCCCCTTTGCTCACATTCCCGCCTGAGCTCCACCTTCTCAGATGAGCAGCAGCGTTAGATTCTCATAGGAGAACGCACCCTGTTGTGAACCGTGCATGTGAGGGATCAAGGTTGCGCCGTCCTTATGAGAATCTAATACCTATTGATCTGTTACTTTCTCCCATCACGCTCAGGTGGGACCATCCAGTTGCAGGAAAACAAGCTTAACACGCCCACTGATTCTACATTATGGTGAGTTCTATGATTATTTTATTATATATTACAGTGTAATAATGGAAATAAAGTGCCTAATAAATGCAAATGTGCTTACATCTTTTGGCCCAGCTCCTACCTCCCGGCAGCCTCTCCAGGCCCAGAACTTTCTCCAGTCAGCCTCTACAGACCAAGATCATGACTCACAATGGCCTATTTAGGCCCATACCCTACGTCACGGCAGCCTCCACAGATGAGGCTACTGCCTCACAACAGCCTCCACAGGCACAGCTCCATCGTTACAATGGCCTCTTTAGACCCAGCTCCTGCCTCCCAGCCTTCTCTCCAGGCCCTGAACTTTCTCAAGTCGACCTCACCAGG
This sequence comes from Homo sapiens, assembly GCF_000001405.40. Classification (NCBI taxonomy): domain Eukaryota; kingdom Metazoa; phylum Chordata; class Mammalia; order Primates; family Hominidae; genus Homo; species Homo sapiens. Next base: position 131,124 of record NC_000011.10, on the reverse strand, counting down.
CCCAGGTCATGCTTCTTTGCAGCCTCTCCAGGCCCAGCTCCTGCATCTTGGTGGCCCCTCCAGGCCCAGCCTCTGCCTCCCGTCAGCCTCTACAGTCCCAACGTCTGCCTCACAGCAGATTCTTCACGCCCAGCATCTACCTCACTGTGGACCCCCCAAGCCAAGCTCCCAACCTTTCAGCAGCTTCTACACACCCAGCTCCTGCCACCCAGTGGCCTCTTTAGGCCAAGCTCATGCTTCACAAGGGCCTTTCCAGGCCCAACTTTTGTCTCATGGCAACCTTCCCTGGCCAGATTCCTGCCTGTCTCCCAGCAGCCTAGACAGGCCCAGGTCTTGCCTCACACTGGCCTCTCTACATCCAGCTTATGCCTCACGGTGGCCTCTCCACGCCCAACTCCTGTCCCAGGACGTCATCTCCGGGCCCAAAACTTACTCAAGTCAGACTCTCTAGTCCCAACTACTGCCTCCTGGTGGCCTATGAAGGCCCAAAATCTCCTCAAGTTGACCTGTCCAGGCCCAGCTCCTGCCTCCTGTCAGCGTCTACAGGCCCAACCTCTGCCTCATGGGGGCTTCTCCAGACCCACCTCTTCCTCTTGGCTGGGTCTACAGGCACAACTGCTGCCTCACAACAGCCTTTTTTGGCCCAGTTCCTGTCCAGCTCATGGCGGCCAATGTAGGCCCAAAACTTCCTCAAGTCAAACTCTCCAGGCCCACCTTCTGCTTCCCGGTGGCATCAACAGGCCCAGCTTTGACTTGAGAACAGCCTCTGCAGGCCCTGCTCTTGCCTCCCAGGGGCTTTTTCCAGGCCCAGCTCTTGCCTCATGGCAGCTGCCCCAGGCCAAATTTCTGCCTGCCTGCCAGCAGCCTCAACAGGCACAGCTCCTCCCTCACAGTGGCCCATTTAGGCCCAACTCATGACTGTGAGGCCATTTCCAGGCCTAGTGCCTGCCTCGTGGCTGACTCTTGAAGCCCAAAACTTCCTCAAATCAGGCTTTTGCCCAACTTCTGTCTACTGTCGGACTCTACAGGTCAGCCTCTGCCTCACAGTGGACCCTCCAGACCCAGATGGTGTCTCACTGTGGCATCCTCAGGCGAAGCTCCTGCCTTTTGGCAGCCTCTCCAGGCCCAGCTCCTCCTGCCTCCCAGTGGCCTCTTTCGGCCCAGCCCAGCTCATGCCTCCCGGCGGCCTTCCCAAGCCCCGCTTTTGACTTTCGGTGGCCTCTGCAGGCCTCGACAAGGCCCAGCCTCCTGCCTCCCGAAGGCCTGCACAGGCCCAGCCTCTGCCTCACAGCGGACTCTCCACGCCCAGCTAGCTGTTGCTTCACTGCGGCCTCCCGAGTCCAAAGCTCCTGCCTCTCGGCCGCTTCGGCAGGCCCAGCTCCCGCCTGCCAGTGGCCTCTTCAGGCCCATGGGGCTCATTCCTGACAACGGCCTTTCCAGGCCCAGTTTTTCCCTTCCGGCGGCCTCTCCGGGCCCAGAACCTCCTCAAGTCGGCCTCTCCAGACCCACTTGCACCCTCCGTGCATTCTCTCCGGGCCCAGCTCTTCTTCCTGGTTGGGTCTCCAGGCCCGATTCCTGCCTCTCAACAACCTCTTTGGACTCAGTGCCTACCCATCTCCTGGCGGCCTTGGTCGGCCCACAGCTTCCTCAAGCCAAGCTCCCCAGGCCCAGGTCAGGCCTCACGGTGGCCTCTCCAGGATGAGCTCCTGCCCTCCGATGGCATCTCCAGGCCCCAAATGGTCTCCGGTCGGTGGGCTCCTCCACGCCAAGGTTGGGCCTCCCGGCGACTGCCGCAGGCCCAAGTTGTCCTGAAGTCGGGCTCTCCCGGCCCTGCCTCCCAGCAAGTAAGCAAGCTCTTTTGGCTCAACTCCTGCCCAGCTCCCAACCGCCTTTGTAGGCCCCGAACTTTCTCCAGCCAAGCTCTGAGGGCCCACCTCCTGCCTCCTGGTGGCCTGTACAGTTCTAGCACTGGTTGGAGAACAGCCTCTGCAGGCCCCGCCCTTGCCTCCCAGGGGCCTCTCCAGGCCCAGCTCTTGCCCCCACGGCGGCCTCTCGGGGCCAAGTCCCTGCCTGCCTCCCAGCAGCCCGCGTGCGGCCCAGCTCCTCCCTCACGGTGGCCTGTTGATGCCCAACTCATGCCTCTGGCACCCTGCCCAGAGGCGTGAGCCCCTGCCTCACACTGGCTCCTCCCACGCTGAGAGAGGTCAGTGTGAGCCCTTGCCTCACCCCGGCCCCTCCCACGCGGACAGAGGTCAGCGTGAGCCCCTTGCCTCACACCGGCCCCTCCCACGCTGAGAGAGGTCAGTGTGAGCCCTTGCCTCACACCGGCCCCTCCCACGCGGACAGAGGTCAGCGTGAGCCCCTTGCCTCACACCGGCCCCTCCCACGCTGAGAGAGGTCAGCCCGAGCCCCTTGTCTCACACCGGCCCCTCCCATGCTGAGAGAGGTCAGTGTGAGCCCTTGCCTCACACCGGCCCCTCCCACGCTGAGAGAGGTCAGTGTGAGCCCCTTGTCTCACACCGGCCCCTCCCACGCGGACAGAGGTCAGCGTGAGCCCCTTGCCTCACACCGGCCCCTCCCACGCTGAGAGAGGTCAGCCTGAGCCCTTGCCTCACACCAGCCCCTCCCACGCGGAGAGAGGTCAGCGTGAGCCCCTTGCCTCACCCCGGCCCCTCCCACGCTGAGAGAGGTCAGCGTGACCCCCTGCCTCAACAGGCCACCGTGAGGGAGGAACAGGATCGCACTCGGGCTGCTGGGAGGTAGGCAGGGACTTGGGCCTGGGAGGTCGCGGTGGGGCGAGAGCTGGGCCTGGAGACTCCCCTGGGAGGCAACAGCGGGGTCTGCAGACGCCCTTCTCCAGCCGGAGCTGGGACTGTTCAGTCACTGGGAGAAGGGATGTGGGTCTGAAGAGCTTGGTTGCAGAAACTTTGGGGTCTACAAACGCAGGCGGGAGCTGAGCCAAAAGAGCTTGTTTGCTGGGAGGTGGGAGATGCAGCCAGGAGGAACAGCTGGGCAATGCGGGAGGCAGAGGCCAGGCCTCCTCAAGTTGGCCTCTCAGACCCACTTGCAGCCTCCCGGCGCCCCCTCCGGGCCCAGCTCTTCCTCCCGGCTGCATCTCCAGGCCGGACTCTGGCCCGACTCCAGGTCCCAACAACGTCTTTGGACTCAGCTCCTGCCCAGCTCCCAGCGGCCCTGGTAGGCCCACAACTTCCCTAAGCCAAGCTCCCCAGGCCCAGCTCAGGCCTCGCGGTGGCCTCTCCAGGCTCAGCTCCTGGCCCTCCGATGACATCTGCAGGCCCCAAATGGCCTCCGGTCGGTGGGCTCCTCTAGGCCCAGCTTGGGCCTCCCGGCGGCCTCCGCAGGCCCAAATCGTCCCGAAGTCAGTCTCTCCAGGCTTAGCTCCAGCCTCCCGGCGGCCTCTGCAGGCCCAAGTCGTCCTCAAGTCGGCCTGGAAGTGGGCCTGGAAGAGCAGCAAGTCGGCCTCCCTGGGCCCAGCTCCGTCCTCTCGACGGCCTCTCCAGGTGCAAAACTTCCTCGAGTCAGCCTCTCCAGGCCCAGCTCCTCCTGCCTCCCAGTGGCCTCTTTCGGCCCAGCCCAGCTCATGGCTCTCGGCGGCCTTCCCAGGCCCCGCTTTTGAGTTTTGGCAGCCTCTTCAGGCGCAGAACTTGATCTCCAGTCGGCCTTTGCAGGCCCGGCCTCCTGCCTCTCGAAGGCCTGCACGGGCCCGGCCTCGGCCTCGGCCTCACAGCGGACTCTCCACGCCCAGCTAGCTCTCGCCTCACTGCGGCCTCCCCAGTCCAAAGCTCCTGCCTTTCGGCCACTTCGGCAGGTCCAGCTCCTGCCTGCCAGTGGCCTCTTTAGGCCCAGCTCATTCCTCACGTCGGCCATTCCAGGCCCCGTTTTTCCCTTCCGGCAGCCTCTTGGCCTCTAATTTGTTTATCTTTTGTGTATAAATCCCAAAATATTGAATTTTGGAATATTTCCACCATTATGTAAATGTTTTGGTAGGTAATTTATTTGGAGTGAGTTTCTGCGCCAAGCCCGAATTTTTTATTTTATTTTCCTTATTATTTGGTGTTAAACAGGTTTAATGACGGTCATGGCAACTTTTTGGCACAATGAAAAATATCGCCCACGATCAACGTGTTCTGTTCTGGGGAAGGGGGCAAAGGCAGGGTGAATCACTTTCTTAAAAAGTATAGCTCAAGTTGGGAGTGCAGAGGGAATGGGGAGAAAACCCTCCCGCTGCCTGTGTCGAAGTGCAGGAGCCCCCACCCCCATACTCACCTGAGTCCAGCCCCTCTGGGGAAAGAAGGGGTGCATGAACTCCCCCTAGTCCACAGGCGCCTCCCTGTGGCCCAAGGCCCTCTTCACACTCCATCTTGTAGCCCCAGCAGGAGCTATTTTCCGAAAAGTGAAAAGCTCTGAAGGTCCCACAATTCATGGTATGTACAGGGGCTCGGAGGAGGGAAACTGCCCAGCTTTCCCCCGGCACAGCTGCAGGGGTAGGGGGTATAGATAAGAGGAGCAGGCCTTGGCCAGGCGTGGTGGCTCACGCCTGTAATCCCAGCACTTTGGGAGGGGGAGGCAGGCAGATCACGATGTCAGGAGATCGAAATCAGCCTGGCCAAGATGATGAAGCCCCGTCTGTACTAAAAATACAAAAATTAGCCGGACGTGGTAGCGTCCACCTGTAATCCTAGCTACCCGGAAGGCTGAGGCAGGAGAATGGCGTGAACCCGGCGGGAAGAGGTTGCAGTGAGCCAAGATCGCACCACTGCACTCCAGCCTGGGCAACAGAGCAAGACTCGGTCTCAAAAAAAAAAAAAAAAAAAAAAAAAAAAAAAAAAAAAGAGGAAGGCCTTACTCCGTTCCAAACTGAAAGGATTAAATGGCTTCACCTGGGAGAAGATAACCATCCTGCCCTCCATTGCTACCCCCACATACTGTCCATGTTCTCAGGGGGTACTGTGAGTCCTGGGATCTTTGGGGTTGCCCACCTGCCTGTGGTAGTTATGGAGACCCCCAGGTGTTGAGGCAGGGCTGGGGTGTCCCCTTCCAACCAGGCTGTCAAGGCCCCAACTCTGGGGCAGAGGCAGTGGCAGGGCAGCCAGGGTTGTGCCAGAGCCTGAGCAGGTTGAGGTGGGGTCAGGCAGGGCTGGGAGTCAGGGCAGGGGCAGCAGCAGTGGACCCGCTATGCACACATCTTCTTCTCCAAGGTTTGTGTGCAGAACATCCTGCCCATGCTGCCCCAGCAGCTTCAGTTGGCACCTGCCTCAGTCCAGCCTCTGGGAACCATGCAGCAGCTCCCAGCGGCCCTGCACCCACCACCAGCATCCGTTTCACCTGCAGTTGAAGATCCGTGAGGTGCCCAGAAGATCATGCAGTCATCAGTCCCACGGAGCAGCCTGCGAGGCTGAGGCTCCTCCCACTGGACCGCCCCCCAACTGGCACCACTGCTGCCCCTGCCCCTACTCTCAGCTTCACGTGACTCTCGGGCAGAAGCAGTGGTGGGGCAGCCAGGGCAGCGTCAAGAGTCTGAGCCAGGTGAGGTGCGGTCAGGACCCCCACAGGGCTGGGAGTCAGGGCAGGGGCAGAACAAACCTTGGAGGGGAGGATGTGTGCATAGTGGGCCTGGAGGGCGGCTGTGGCCTAGTGGACAGGAAGAAGCAGTGGGCCTGGAAGAGCTGCATGATCAGGGCCGGCACTGGTCCAGGGTACGTGCAGTGAAGAGGACAGCGCCTTCTCGGTCTCCGGTTCCCTGAGCCTGTCCTCGGCTTCTCCACCTGTATAGGCAAAGGGGAAGCTGTCCCCATCACACATGGCACACTTGGGGGTGTTGGGCTTTGGACTGCAGCTGGAGCATCTTCTCATCTTGCATTTGGGCGCGGTGGGGTCCTCCAGTGTGGGATCCATGTCCGTGGGGTTCCCTCTGCCCCGACCCCGAAAGCCCAGTCAGTTTCTCTTCAGGCTCTGCCCCCCGGGTGGCTCAGCCCAGCTCCTGCCTAGGAAAGCCTTAGTGTTGGGAGGGACCCTGATGACTGAGGAGCCTGGTAGCTCCAGGTCGCCCACACTTTCAGGTCTCTTGCACCAGAAGGTGGCAGGATCCATTGGGAGGAAACAGGCCACCTTGGAAGGCGTCCCTGGGCCCCCATCCCCAGGGGTTGGGGCCGTAGGGGGCCCGCTCTGCTGCGTTGACCAGACTCCTGGGCTTTGAAGGCTCCTGGGCCCAGTAAGAAGGAGGTGGGTGCCAAGGTTGAGGAGGAAGCATCCGAGTATGTGTAGGAGGAGGACAGGGTGTGACCATAGACTGCCAAAAGCTGCAGGTGGATCGGGGGACCCTGGGGGCTCAGGATCCAGCAAGGGGCGGCAGGAGTAAAGGAGGAAGGAATGACAGGTGCAAATACCTTCCCACCAAAGCCCTTGTTGCCCTCTGGCTCCTCCCCAGAGCTGTCCCCACTCTCAGTCGGTCACCCACTCCTTGAACTTGAGATCGGTGTCGGTGGTGCTAAAGCCATCATCAGCAATGACATCATCACCCCCTCCTCCTCATGGATGACCGTGTGCTCTTCGTCACTCGCTATGACCTCGCTGGCCATGTGCTGGGAATGAGCAGCTCACGTGGGCGGCAGCAGGGCTGCCCACGGGTCACCTCCCTCACCAGGGGCTGCAAAGTGGCCTGGAGCTCCATGCTGAGTAGAAGGCTTTGGGCCAGAGTATGATGCAGTGCCAGACACCACCTGTGTCAGTTCCCGTAGTGCCTGACGGTCTATTTCCCTGCCGTCCAGGCTGTGTACCCCGCTGTGGGAGAAGGCTTGGGCCAGGCTGAGCCAGGTTCCCTGACTGTGTGCAGCCGTTCTGCCCCACAGAAGCTGCTCCTTGGCATCCGAGCTCTGGAGTGTTTGGGCTGCAACTGACAGGAGTTCAGAGGACGCCCCAGGGGCAGTGGCAGTGCCCGTCTCTGATATGCTCCGCTCCCACGAGCCCTTGTTACACTCCTGCTAGCCCCTGGCTTGTGGGCTTGGCCTCTGAGCTGGACTTCTTTCGGTCCTTGTTGCAAGTGGGCCACCTTCACCTGGAAGGCCAGGTTGTATTTCTGCATCTCATTGGGCCCCAGGGTGTACCACCGCTCGCTCAGCATCTGGCTGACGGTCCGGTTATCCTGGTTGGGGTGACCCTGGTGCGCCCCGCCAGGGCCTGGTGCCGCCTGCTGAAGATCATGAGCGCCACTCATGGGCCACCGGATGTGGTACTTGTCTGATTTGTTGGGGCTGCGTCCATCCTTCTCAGAAGATGAGTCCTGTTCCTTGCGCAGGGCACTGAGGGACTGGGCCTGACATCATCTGAGTGGTAGAGGCAACTGGGTGTCAGGAGACATGATGGAGAGGAAAGCATCATCATGGTCATTCTCTGTCTCACTGTCCAGCAGGGACTCCCCTGAGGGGCCCAGGGCTCCTCCTCCATGGTGGGAGGTGAGGTTTTACCAGGTTCCACCACCCCCAAAGTGTGTGGGGTTGCGGGCCCTGGGCTTTCAGGGCAGGTGGCTCCAGGGGGCCGCCCAGGGTCAACACTCCCTGTCCCACCTGGTGGACGCTCATGAGCAACAGCTGCCAACTTGGCAGGTTGTTTTCTCTGGTTGGAGGCCACTGAGTGACTGGCAGGTTGCTGGGCCTCGTGTGGCTGCAGGGAGGGGTCAGGAAGGCGATGGAGTACCAGGAGAACACGGCCGCAGAGTGACCTTCCACATTCCTCCACACGAACATGCTGACGCCACGGGAGGCCTCACTGAACGCAGGCCTGGGGGCCGAGCACTTGGTCCGGGCGGGGGGTTCCTGGCAGGGGCTCACACCTCCTCACCCCCTCCTCAGCCAAGGTGGCTTGGGCCCAGAGAAGGGGAGGTTGGAGAGGAGCAGAAGGCCAGGCCTCAAGTTTTGTTTTTTTTGTTTGTTTTGTTTTTTGTTTTTGAAATGTAGTTTGACTCTTGTCACCCAGGCTGGAGTGCAGTGGCACGATATCAGTGGCCTTCATACCTGGCTAATTTTTTGTATTTTTACTGGAGGTGGGGTTTTGCCATGTTGGCCAGGCTGGTCTTGACCTCCCGACCTCAGGTGATCCACCCACCTCAGCCTCCCAAAATGGGATTACAGGCATGAGCCACCGCTCCCAACTTCATTCATTTTTACTTGAAAAACTCCGTTAAGCATTTTTTTAAGGTAGACCTAGTGGTCCTGAATGCCCTCAGCTTTGTTTGTCGAGGAAACATGTTATTTCTTTTTCCTTTCTGAAGGACAGCTTTGTCAGACATAGTATTAGTTGCTGGCAGTTTTTTTCTTTCAGCACTTTGAATGTATTATTCGATTCTGTCCTGACCTGCAAAGTTTCTTTAACTTCTGATTATTTGATTATATTGTGACTTGGTGAGTATCTATTTGGTTTGAACCTCTTTAGGAATCTTTAAGCTTCATGGATTTAGATGTCTAAATCTTTCCCATGATTTAGGCAGTTGTCAGCCATTCTTTAAATAAGCTTTATTCTCCTTTCTCTACTTTCCTTCTCAAACTCCCATAACCTGACAATGGTTTGCTTAATGGTGTCTTGTTGGCTTTCTTTTCTCTGTCTCTTTTTTTTTTCTTTTTGAGACAGAGTCATGCTCTGTCACCCAGGCTGGAGTGTAATGTGTGGTCTCGGCTCACATTGCACTCCAACCTCCGCCTCCTGGGTTCAAGCGATTCTCCTGCCTCAGCCTCCCAAGTAGCTGGGACTACAGGTGTGTGCCACCACACCCGGCTAATTTTTGTATTTTTAGTAGAGATGGGGCTTTGTCATGTTGGACAGGCTGGTCTTGAACTCCTGACCTCTTAATCTGCCTGCCTCGGCCTCCCAAAGTGTTGGGATTACAGGCTTGAGCCACCACACCCAGCCTTCTTTTCTCTCTTTTATTCTTTTTTTCTCTGTCCTCTGACTGGATAATTTCGGAAGATCTATATTCAAGTTTACAGATTCTCTCTCCTGTTGAAGTTGACTATTGTGTTATATCACCCAGTCTGGTCTTGAACTCCTGGGCTCAAGCGATCCTCCCACCTTGGCCTCCCAAAGTGCTGAGTTTACAAGCATGAGCCACTGCATCCAGTCAGTCCCAGCACTTTGGGAAGCTGAGGTGGGAGGATCACTTGAGCTCAGGAGTTTGAGACCAGCCTGGGCAATGTACTGAGAACTTGTCTCTATATTAAAAAAAAAAAAAAAAGTCTTTGGGAGGCCAAAGCGGGAGGATCACCTGAGGTCAGGAGTTCGAGACCGGCCTGGCCATCATGGCAAAACCCCATCTCTACTAAAAATACAAAAATTAGCCAGGTGTGGTGGCACACGCCTGTAGTGGTGGTGCATGCCTATAGTCCCAGCTACTCAAGAGGCTGAGGCAGGAGAATCACTTGAACTGGGAGATGGAGGTTGCAGTGAGCTGAGATCGCACCAGTGCACTCCAGCCTGGGCAACAGAGTGAGACTCCATCTTATAAAAGGAAAAAAGAAAGAAAAGAAAAATTCCATATCTGAGTGTTTACTCCTGAGTTTTTGAGATTGTTATTAAGATCGTGCTCTACTGTGATGATTTGGGTTTGTTTGATAATCAGAAAAATAGCGTATTCTTTTAGGTGTTCAGCCACACTGCTTTGGTGTCACAACTGCACATTGGTTTCACAGCTGCAGGACAAGTTCGAGCATCTTAAAATGATTCAACAGGAGGAGATAAGGAAGCTCGAGGAAGAGAAAAAACAACTGGAAGGAGAAATCATAGATTTTTATAAAATGAAAGCTGCCTCTGAAGCACTGCAGACTCAGCTGAGCACCGATACAAAGAAAGACAAACATCGTAAGAAGCAATAGTTTCTCTTACTATTCTGAGAGCCTTATCATTCTACATCCCATCTTCCTGTGAGTTTGTCTTTGTAGCATTTAACTCTAATTGCAGTTCTCATTTTAAAAACTGGCTTGCTTATTGTATATTTTCCCCAACTAAAGCGTGAACTCCTAGCAGGGCGTGGTGGCTCATGCCTGTAATCTCAGCACTGTGGGAGGCCGAGGTGGGTCGACTACCTGAGGTTAGGAGTTCGAGACCAGCCTGACCAACATGATGAAACGCTGTCTCTACTAAAAATACAAAAATTAGCTAGGCGTGGTGGCTGGGACCTGTAATCCCAGCTACTTGGGAGGCTGAGGCAGGAGAATCACTTGAACCCTGGAGGTGGAGGTTGCAGTGAGCAGAGATCTCACCATTACACTCCAGCCTGGGTGACAAGAGCAAAACTGCATCTCAAAAAAAAAAAAAAAGGGGGTGAACTTGAAGGCAGGTCCTGTGTCCATCTTTTCAGATTCTGTATCCCAGCACTTAGGACATAGACAAACACGAAGATGACAATCAATATTTGCCAAAATGAAAAAACAAAAGAAACATGTAACATCATGTAAAAGAAGCTGGTTAGGTGGAGAAATTTATTTACCATAGTCTTGCTTGTGGATCCAGTAGTGACTTTTACAGTTTATATCTAAATAGAAGCTGGAGGCTTTGTTGGGGACTCATAGGCATAAAATATTATTTATTATAGAGTTAAATGCTACAAAGACAAATCTAATTAATAGGCCTATTTTCCTTTTTAAATTCTACTCATAATTTCTTCATAGTTTTTATGATAAAAGGTTGGATTTTGATTAGAACTCCCATGATTTTGTGTCAGAATTAAAACTGGTATTAGAATAAATAATTCAAAAGCTAGAGAAAGAGTACAAAGAGAAGCCATGAGTTGCATTTGAATTATAATATTATGTCTTACAGATTTGGGGTATATGCTAAAGTTACCAAAGTTGTAGAAAATAAGGCCGGGCATTGTGGCTCACATCTGTAATTCCAGCACTTTGGGAGGCCGAGGTGGGCGGATCATTTGAGGTCAGGAGTTCGAGACCAGCCTGGCCAACATGGTGAAACTCCGTCTGTACTAATAGTACAAAAATTAGCCAGGCGTGATGGTGTGCACCTGTAGTCCTTGCTACTCAGAAAGCTGAGGCAGGAGAATCGCTTGTACCCAGGAGGCAGAGGTTGCAGTGAGCAGAGATTGTGCCACTGCACTCCAGCCTGGGTGACAGAGTGCTATGAGTCACCACACCTGGTATGAGCCACCGTGCCTGGCCCACAATGACTTTTACACATGTTGTTAAACCATCTTACAGATTTTATAATTTGGGGGAAGAACAGTTTTACTAAATTGTCTTTTAATGGAAACTCTACAAGAACCAGAATCTTTGCTTTGTTCACTTATGTATCCATTCCTAGGCCTAGAAAAATGTCTGACACATAGCGGCAATTATTCATTGAATAAATGGACCCAGCGATAGTACATTAGCTATGCTATATGCATACATTAAAGATGTAGATTATCGACTTTCAAAAGATAATTAATGTAACTTCTTACTGCTTCTGAACATGTTTGTGAGTTATATTGCTGAGGGACCTTTATCTTCTCATTCTTTCATCTTAACCCAGTGTTATAAAATTGAAATCACCAATATTATTCCATATCTAAAATTAATATCTACCTTGTAAAAAATATCACTCTGCTGCATTTGAGAATAGACTTTTTAGGTAATAATGATGCAATCCATAGGGTTTTTTGGGGGCACAGAGGGATTCATGCTAACAGAACATTTTATTTTCTATTTTCCCAGAGCTGTAAAACATGAAATTACGGTAGTATAAGGCATATTTTTACTCTTTTTATAATTTTTTCTAAAAAAAATTAGTGTTTGTTCCCTATATAACTTTTAACTTTATAGGTAAATATTTGTTTCTTTCAGCTCCAGTTTTATGTGAAATAGAGTTTTCAGATTTATGTAGCATGGAAAGTTTTAATACGTCAGAGTTACTGATTTTTACCAATCATTTTCTCAATTATTTCTTTTTTATCTTTAGTTGATTTTTTTGTAGTGACACATTTTGTTTCTAGTCTCATTTCCTTTTGTTTATATTCTATATATATTTCATTTTTGGTTACTATGAGAATTACATATAACATCCTAGAGTTATAACATTTTAATTTGAATTTATTTCAACTTAAGTTCAATCACATACCAAAATTCTACTGCTATATATATAGCTCTACTCTTTTTATGTTATTGATGTGACAAATTATATCTTTATTCATTGTATACCAGCTAACAGATTTACAATTACATTTTATGCATTTGCCTTTTAAATTATGTAGAAAATAAAAAGCAGAGTTACAAACCAAAATTACAATAGGACTGTTTTTATGTTTGTTTATGTATTTACCTTTACCAGAGAGCTTTGTATATTCATACAGCTTGCTTATTTACTTACATAGTTATTGCCTAGAGTTCATTTATTTCAACCTGAAGGACTTAACACTTCCTGAATGTCAAATTCAGGGATAAATGGATTTTTTTCAGTTTTAAAAAAAAATCCGGAAATGTCTTAATTTCTCCTTCATTTTTGAAGGATAAGTTTTCCAGCTATATATTTCTCAATTGACAGGTTTCTTCATTATTTTAAATATATAATCCACTGCCTACTGGCCTTCAAGGTTTCTGCCGAGAAATCAGCTGCTAATGTTATCTGGATCCCTATCTGTGAGAGTTGCTCTTCTCTCTGAGTTTTCAACATTCTCCCATTATCTTTTTTTTGTTTGTTTTTGAGACAAATAATTGTACATATTCATGGGATACAGAGTGATATTTTGATACATGTATACAATGCCCAATGATCAAATAAGGATAATTAGCATATCCATCACCTCAAATATTTGTCATTTATTTGTATTGTGAACAGTCAACATTCTTTCTTCTAGTTTTTTAAATTTATAAACATTTAAATTTTATTACAGAAATTTAAATTTTTTGATTCTGAAAAAGTCATATATGTATGCAACATTTTTTATCATTTATTTATATATTTATGCATCTTTCCTTTTAGTTTTGACAGAGATTTTCTATTTTATCATTATTTCAAAAGAACTCTTACCTGTATTTATTTATCAAGTATATTTCCCTTGTTTTTTCCTAGTATATTAATTTATTTACTTATCTTCTAAAAATCCTCCATATAATCTGTTTATTTTGTTTCCTTTCTATAATTTCTTCAATAATTAGTTCTGTTCTATTTTCCATTAAAATATTTAAATCTTGTATGAATTTTTGTCAGATTAGAAATTTAGGGCGTTTCTTAATTTCTCTATACTCTAGCTTTTGACTTTTTTTTTCTGACCTAAGAGGTATTTAGAGCACATTTTAGATTTTTTATTTTGACTAATCATTTAAAATGTATACTAATCTTCAATTTAAATAAAAAACTGGTCTATAGTGACAAAAATTACAAATGAGCCTAACTAATAAATTATCAGCTGTGTTTATATGTATAAGCATGCACAGATTTTGTTAAATATGTACATAGTATATTGGTGAGCTTATTTTTATCATTCTTAACTCATTGTGTAGTCTAAACGTTGGGGAAAAAATAAAATACAATAATCAGATGGTGTGAATAAGAAAATTGTTCTAATGTTTGTAAACCAAGCAACTGTTTTAACTGCTCCCCTCTTCCTGATTGACTTCTAAAAGGGATTGATCCATATTGGGTCCTATCATATACGTCACGGTATAACATCTCCAGCTATAAAATGGAAATTTGAGAATAACTTTGCTGCTACTCAGATACATTTTATTTCAAAAACATACACTAAGGTGTTGCTGTTGGATCTTTCCAAAAACATATTCACACAGAACTTTCAATCACACTGAGCCATATTTGAACAATCTTTCAAGGTCAGCTCTGGCATAAGCTAACATTATACCATTTAACTCAGAAATTTCTTTAGTATTTGATTAATGGGTTTATGTTTGATATGTAATGTAATTTTCTAATGCTAAATCAAGTGGTAATTTTGTTAGTCAAGTTGATTTAGTGGCTTGGGAAGAAAGCTTTTAATGTTCCCCTAATTTTTCTTACCTTTGACATGATCCTTCACAGGTCTTATTTTGCTTAGTGATTTTTCTTTTTTTTTTTTTTTTTGAGACAGGGTCTTACTCTACCACCCAGGCTTGAGTGCAGTGGTGCAATCACAGCTCATTGCAGCCTTGACCTCCCAGACTCAAGCTATTCTTCCACCTCAGCCTCCCAAGTAGCTGGTACTACAGGCACATGCCACCAAACTTGGCTAATTTTTGTATTTTTTGTAGAGACAGAGTTTTGCCAAATTCTCAGGCTGGTCTGGAATTTCTGGGCTCAAGTAATCCTGCCTTGGCCTCCCAACATGCTGATATTATAGACATAAGCCACAGTACCTGGCCAGTTTTCTTTTTAAAAAAATCTATTGGTTATTAATTTGAAGCCTTCCTTTTCATAGCTGTGCTCCTTAATTGGGAGCAAACATGAATGGACCACAACTTAGCCAATTTTCTATATACGATCTTTGCCATCCTAATTTAAAGGAATATTAATTCTTTCTTTTCCTCTTTCATTCCACAAACCTGTATTGACTACATCTAAGTTCTAAATGGTGCACTGGATGTTGAAAAAGTTGATGATGAGCAAGAACAAAATTCCTGCTTTCAGGAGACTTACAGTTCAATATGGGAAATATAATTTGTTAAAATATAAAAGTGCAATTGTGTTACATGCTGTACGAAGTACATGTTGACATGTGAGCATATAATAAATGGGCTGGAGGCCAGAGGATTGCCAAAGAGAATGGGCCTCCTGCTGAGATGAAAAGTTGAGCAGGGATTAGTTGGCGAAAGTGGAGGGACGATCCTTTCTAGGCAGGAGGAAGAACATGTACAGAATCTCTGAGGTGTGATGCGACAAAGTCTATATAAAAAACTGAAGAAAGGTCTAATGTGGCTTAAATACAGAAGCTAGTAGGAGAGGAGTCGAAAACAGGCTGGAGAAGTAGAAAGTGTCTGCATTCTGCAGGAACTTATATTGTATAAAATATATTGTATATTGTATAAAAAGAATTTCTCTTTATTCTAAGTGCAATGTGAAGCCAATGAAGTGCTTTAAACAGGTGATGTGATTTGATTGAATTTATTACTTCACTTAACAAATATTCATTACATGCCCACTGTTTGTCAGATATTGCTGTAGCCCCTGGTGATACAGTAGGGAATAAAACAGGCAAAAATCCCTGTCCTCTTGCAGCTTATAATGGACTGCAATGTTTAATATGTCAGAGGAGGTCCACGGAGGAGTGACTTCTAAGCAAGAATCTGAAAAAAATAAGGATATCTAAGGAGGGAACAAATGGTTCAAAAGCCCTATAATTGCAAGCAGGCATGATGAAGCAATTGCAGTTGTCCTGACTCTCAACACCGTGGAACTCAAAGGAGATGGAAAGATTCCTTCTCTCCCTCATATATTTTCTCTCTTTCTGTCTATATATATAGAATATGAGACATTTCCCTAATCATTATGTGTAATTACAATTACATATGTAATTGTAATTACACATAATGATTAGGGAAATGTCTCATATTCTTCTACTCAGAAATAAGCAATATAGCAATTACTGTTTTTTACATTTTACAGTTACAGTTTCAGAGAAAGTTTGATATTTATCTAAAATTTTTCAATGTATGAACTTTTTCATTTGACAAACCATAATTGTACATATTCTTGGGATACAGAGTGATATTTTCTTTACATGTATAGAATGTGTAGTGATCAAATCAGGGTAATTTCCACTAATTTAAAATGCCACCTTTATGTTATTGTAATTTATATATATACTATATATATACACACACATATATATATACATGTCCACATACAGTGTGTGTGTGCACATGTACACACATGCATATGTGTATATAATGCCCAGTATAAGCAATGTGCACAAATAAAATTAGCTAACAGAGATAGTATAGAGTGAGAGGAGAGGCAGATTAATCTTTGAGGAAAAGCACAATTTTATAGCTGAATGGAGAAAGCTGAGGTGGTTTCTAAGATGGAGAATAAGACGAAAAATGTAAGTACGTTGTTTGACTGAATTCAAGAAAGAAGGGTAAAAGAGAAGAAAGTAGTGGTCTTATCATTAAATGCCACAGAGAGGTAAAGATAAAGACAACATATTGTTTTGGGTTTAGTAATTTAAGGGTTACCAAATTCCGTTTTGGAGGAGGAACAGATTCCATGTCCACTAGAATGGAATGAACAAGAAATGGAGGAGGAAAATAGGTAGTTTTTCAAAAGTTTTCAAAAATATGAAAAGAAGAAATGAAGTGGTACTTGGAAGAGATTGTTGAAATGGGAGAGACTATGGTGGCTTGTTTAGAAGCAGTTGAGATCCAATTGAGATAGAGATATTGACTATATAAACAAAAGAATGACAAATTAATAGTGTAATGGATAACTTGACTTTGGCAAATATTGTGAATTTTTGTGAAAGTACAACTAAAAGGCAATGTCACTCCAATAATCACCAGAGTAATCAATTTGCTTATTGCTGTCCCTTTAAATATAGTTCTCTGGTATCAACTAACATGTTTTTAACTAATGATGCTTCTTAAAGAAAAGGGAAAAGACCTTTTTCTTTCTTTCAGTCTTCAATGATTCACTGCTTCATCTCGCTCCACCAAAGATAAATGAAATCTACATCTCTTATACATTAACAATGCATGACAATTTACAAATAGCTAAATTTTTGGAGCTAACTTTAAGTACCTGAATGGAATTTAATCAACCCACTAATCTCCTTCTCACTTCTCAGTTATTTATCAAGTTTATGTCAAGGGACAAGGAAAAATTATCCAAACATTGTTTAAAACAATCATCATTAATTAGTAACACTTATCCAGGGGGGTTTTTAACCTTTCCCCCACTCAAGGATTATTCTAATGTCAGAGTAGAATAAAAAATAAGTGCAGCGATGCTGACTCTTCCAAGCTTAACATTTCTCACAAGTCAATTAGCTTTGTACTGGGAGGAGGGCGTGAAGGGCTGCTTGCGGTAGTTGTGTAGCAGCAGCACAATGGCCGCAGACAAGGAAAACAGTTTCTAGGAATTCCTCGTATATAATTTTATATTTTTGACAAGATTAATGACCCATGCTCCCTTCCTCTCCATTTCTTTTTTTGGAATTCTGTTGGTATGTAGTTACTATATTTTATTAAAGGAAATTAGCCTTATCTCTTATTATATTTTATTAAAGAAAATTATTATATTATTCCTTTATATTTTTATTAAAGGATTTTATTATTATTAAAGGAAATTAGCCTTATCTCTTATTATATTTTTTATGACCTTCAAAGTAGTGTCTCTGCTTAAAAGTGTACCCTGGCCGGGCGTGGTGGCTCACACCTGTAATTCCAGCACTTTGGGAGGCCGAGGCGGGTGGATCACGAGGTCAGGAGATCGAGACCATCCTGGCTAACACGGTGAAACCCCGTCTGTACTAAAAATACAAAAAATTAGCAGGGCATAGTGGCGGGCGCCTGTAGTCCCAGCTACTCAGGAGGCTCAGGCAGGAGAATGGCATGAACCCGGGAGACGGAGCTTGCGGTGAGCTGAGATCGCACCGCTGCACTCCAGCCTGGGCGACAGAGCAAGACTCCGTCTCAAAAAAAAAAAAAAGTATACCCTGAGGCACACATCAAGCGACATGTAGAGTTCATAAATTCTGGCCAAATGGTCATACCTCAAACCTCATCAGCAGTAAGGCTCTTTACTTGCACTGACAAATATGAACGCTGGGGAATTTGGAAATGATATATAATATATAATATTATATATATAATAGATATATAATATATAATATATATAATACATATATAATATTATATATGTAATAGATATACAATATATAATATATAATAGATATATAATATTATATATAATAGATATATAATATATAACTTTCCATGTGATTTTCCTCTTAATTTTTTTCTAGCTGATCCATATGAATTCCTCTTATTAAGAAAAATAAAGCATCCAGGATTCAATGAAGAACTGACTATCACCTTGTTAATCATTCAGAAACATGTTGCAGGCTTAAGCCATTTTTGATATAGATACTGAAACAATTACTTGCTAAGAGCAAACTTGAAGGTATGGATAAGGCCCTGAGTCATCTTCCTGAGCTGAATGATAGTTAAGCTGAATGTACGTATAAAATATGATTTTCTAACCACTTGCTCGCCAACAAGGAAAACTTTTAAGTAGAGCAGAACCTGAATAGACAAGACATTTCTTTCTTTTGGTAGAAAATGATTTACCATCACTGTGTAGTTAATTGTAGACTAGGTAATTTTAACTTTGTGATTTATTGCCGGAGACATTTTCTTCTGTACTGTAAAGTGTGTGTCAAAAAAAAAAAATAGCGATTTTGGAGGATTAGGGGACTTTGATAAATTGCCTGCAATTCTGGCAGTATGAACTGCATATTAATTTCTCTCTTTCAAGAACATTTTTATTTATTAATTCCTTACAAAAACTCCCTAAACTTTGGAACAGCTCTCAATTGCCTGTATTCTTTTTTTTCTTATTATGGTACTCTTCTAGAGATTTGGCTTGCATCTGTGAATAAGCCAGGACATCTTCAGAAATTGTCTGATTAAAAACACCACCAATGGAGTTTCATTAAATTTGTATTGCTCTGACTAGTGAAACATACACATCTATGTTGCTGAGGATATTTTACTGCAGTTCAAGTTGTAATAATAGCTCTGTTTAAGATCCGTCAGTCACTTGAATCTTCTCTAAGGCTTTGTATGTTAGAAGTTAATTTGCTTTCTTACAAGGCCACATTCTATCTTGTAACTAAACAACTGAATTTTATGTCTTAGCGTAGATGGTTTATTACTTTCTGGTTTTTCTTTAGTAAGAATCCTATAAAAACACTAGTATTTTTCTCTGAGTTTAAAATTCAATACATGCCTACTGATATGGTTAGGCTTTGTATCCCCACCTGAATCTCATCTTGAATTGTAATCCCCATAGTCCCCATAATCCCCACAGGTCAAGGGAGAGACCAGGTGGAGGTAATTGAATCATGGGGGCAGTTTCCCCTGTGCTGTTCTTGTGATAGTGAGTTCTCACGAGATTTGATGGTTTTATAAGGGATTCTTTCCCCTTTGCTCGGCACTTCTTCATGCTGCCTTGCGAAGAAGCTGGCTTGCTTCCTCTTTGTCTTCCGCCATGATTGTAGATTTCCTGAGGCCTCCCAAGCTGTGCTGAACTGTGAGCCAATTAAACTTCTTTCCTTTATAAATTACCCAGTCTTGGGCAGTTCTTTATAGCAGTATGAAAACAGAAAAATACACCTACTATGTAAAACTTAAAATACAAAAAAACAAAACATTATCTCACTAACATAGGAGCTAATATTTTGGTGTACTTTGTTTAGTATTTTATATTAAAAATATGTACATATATATTTATATATAATTAAGAACATGTATGTACAATCGTGCATACATCATGTACATACATCTACTTAAGAAAATAGCTATGTAATATACCATTACTCAACTAGATTATAATTTTTTCTCCATTTCTTTATTGTAATTTATCATTTTCTACTTTTTTGTTTTCTCATTTTTATTGCATAATATTTAATTATGCAAAAAATACATTAAATACATTGAAAATATATAGTGTAGCTATAAGAATAAAGAACGATGGTAAAACAAATGCTAATACCCACTACCTGACTTAAAGAATATGATATTATTTTTTTCCAATTGAAATTCCCTCAACTACTCAGAATTACTGCTATCCCTCTTATCCTTTCATTAATTTTCTTCTAGTTTTCTCACATGTGAATCTATTTCTAAATACATTTCTTTATTTTGCAAGTTTTTGGACTTCATATAAATGTAACCATATTGTATATATTCTTCTTCAGCTTCTTAGTTTTTCACTAAACAATATGTTTTGCTGATACTTACATTCATATGTACAGTAATAGTTGATTTATTTTAATGGCTATATATTATTCCATTGTTAGAATACACCAGGATTTATTTTTACTTATTTTTTTTGCTGGAAAATTGGGTGTCTTTTTTATTTTTTGATATAACAAACAATGTTGTAATCATTTTGTATTTACTTCCTAGGCCACTCCTGTAAGTTTCTCTTGAGTACATACTAGCAATGAATATGCTGAGTCACTGCATATACATACTCACAACTTTATTCTATAATGTAATATTCTGTAAAGTAGCTGTATCAGTTTATACTTTAACCAGTAATGGACAAGATTTTCTGTTACTTCCCATCTTTGTTAATTATTACTTTTAGACTCTAACTTTTATCAGGCTCATGGATGTAAAAAGCATCTCAGGGTGGTTTTAATTTGCATTTATCTGCTCATCTATGAAGATGAGCTTCTTTTCATATAATTATGAGTCATTATTTTTGTTTTGCCTTCTTTTGTTTATGCATTTTGCTTGTTCTATGTCTTATTTTTCCTGTTGATTTTTGGGAGTTCATATATATTCTAAATGTATATTTATTCACTTATATATATGTTGTAAATATTACAGTTTATGATTTGTCACCTTATGATATCATCCAAATAGAGAAGCTTTATATTTTGATGTAGTCATATGTTCATTTTTCCTCCTTAATGTTTGTTTTTCTTGGTTCTATGACCTACAAAAAGTAACAAAAATTCTCATTTATTTTTAATCTAAATGTTTTAAGTATTTTCCTGGAATTCACCTTGAATTGATTTCTATTGGAGATAGGTATCCAATCTAATTTGCCTCATATGGATAACCACTTGTTCTATTACTGCTGTAACAAATTTCTACAAACTAAGTGACCTAAAATAACACAAACTTGTCATCTTACAGTGTACACAAGTCAGAAATCAGGCATGAATTTTAGTGAACTAAAATCAAGTTGTCGACAGTCATGTTTCTTTATGGCGGCTAGGGTAGAATCCATATCCTGGCCTTTTCTATCTTCTAGAGAACATCAGCATTCCTTTTCTCATTGCCTCTCCTCTCTCTTTTTAAAGCTGGCAATGTCACATTTCTCTGACCATTCTTTCATTGTCACATCTCTCTCTGGACTCAGCTAAGAAAGGTTCTCCATTTTTAAGAACTCATGTGATTAGACTGGGCCCATCTGGGTAACCCAGGAAGATCTCTCCATCTCAGTTTGCATCCTTAATCACATCTGATAAGCCTTTATTGCATTCAGTGTAACATATTCACAGGTTCCAGGGTTAGGCATGGGCATCTTTGAGGGCCATTATTCTCCCTACCACATTATTTGCCTAGCATCTTTCATTACATTGTCCATCTATTTACTTACTGATTTCTAATGACATCCAAATCAGTTACAACATTTTATGTAAGCATTGTTTTTATTTTTATGTTATTCCACTAGTCTATTTTTCTACTCATCAATTATGGTACATGAGTTTATTTTTGCAACTTTAAGCTCAATAACATGTTTTAAGATTTCCTCAACTTTCTTTTTGCGCTTCTTCAGAAGTTGACTCTTTTGGCCCTTTGGTCTTCTATACACATTTTAGAAATGCTTTGTTGAGGACTAAGAGGAATGCTAAGATTTTGATAGGAATTTCATTGAATTTTGAGTATATTGGCATGCTACAATGGTTAGTGCTTTATACATGAAAATAATATATCCCTTCCTCTTTTCCTAGTATCATGAGATGTTTGTTAGGCAGACATGAATATTGAGTTGTATCAAATGTGGTTTTCTGCATTATTGTGGTGGTGATGTGATTTAGCTCCTTTAATTAGTTAATGTAATGAATTACATTTGTAGATTGCTCTAACTATTGAAACAAGCTTGAATTTCTGGAATAAGCCCAATGTGATATTTATTCAACAAATATTCATTGAGTATACCTAGTATGTAACATGCTTTAAGAATACACCAGTGAACCAAACAGAAATATCTGACATTACAGAACTTAACATTCCAGTATTTGGAGACAGACGATAAAAAAGTGAACATGTATATTTACAGTTTGTCAAGGAATGATAAAGGAAGACTCTTAAAGTAGATGGGGAATTGGGAGTGAAGTCTGTAATTTAAATAGGGTGGGCAGGAAAGCTTCACAGAGAATGGGACATTTAAGAATAGACTTGAAGGACAGGCAAGAGCAATCTCTATGTTTATATGGGAGAAAAGGTTCCAGGCAGATGCAGTAACAATGGCAAATATCCTGAAGTAGGATCATGCTGGAGTTTTTGTGGAGCAGCAAGGAGGCTAGTGTGACTGCCACAGAATCACCCAAGGGAAGATGAGAAGATCAGACCAGACCAGCACTTGGGCATCTAATGGGAAAAGTTTCTCAAGCCATCATAAAAATTTCACTTTTACTATAAATACTACGAGAAACCATGGGATGTTTTACAGTAAGAAAGGTGGCATAATATGTTACATGTTTTAAACAAACTCTATAGCTTCTGAGTTGAAATAGATTGTAGGGGCTCATGGCAGAAGCAGAGGGAACATTTAGGAGACTACTGTAAAGAATATCATGAAAAGAACAAACAACGCTATGTAACATGCTTAAATGGACTGAAGAAGATGTATAAAATCAAAATGATGTTACCTTCACACCTTGAATCAGTACGATAAACCCCCCTCCCCAATCACAAAAGAAAAACTAAACACAAAAACCAGGCTTTGGTTGCTCAGACAATTTTACAGGTGAGTTCTAGCAAACATGCAAAGAACGTTTAATTGCACTGTTACAGAAATTCTTCTGGAGACAAGAAAATAAGACACATCACCCAACCAATTTCATAATAACAATGTCAATGTATAATAACAGAAAAAGTGGATCTCCAAAGAAATAAATTTATTTGGAAATAAACAAGGATTATAATCTGAGATATTTGTGCTATGATCAATCATAGGTGCATCCCAAGAGGTTGAGGTAAGGAAAATATGTAAAGACAAAAAGAAGTCCATGCAAGCTGTTTTGAAACAAACATCATTGGTCACAGGATCTGATGCAGGAGCTGGTGTTAACTTACTGGCAGAAACAGCCATTGCTAGGCAAGTGTTCTTGTGAGGGTGGCTTATCTGAAATGCTGCAGTCTTGAGGAATTTTTTATGATAGGTCCTATTATAGAGACACCTACAGTATGAGCTGGACAAACAGAGTGTGCTGGGTGGGCAGAAATTTCTTGTGAGTTTATAGAAAGTCCTTGTGATAGTGCTTATCGTGGACAGACACACAAGATCCCCTTTTTCATGACCCGGCTCCACTTTGCTTTGGGTCTGATGTAAGTGACTTTGCCTTGTCATTGGCAACTTTCACTGTAGTATAATCTGCACATCAAAGTTACCTAACAATAGTACAAAGAAAGAAAATTAAAGGTATATCTCTTTCAAAAATATAAACCCCAAAATTGTTAGGAAATTGTAGTGAGTATAAAAGATAATTCATTATAATAAACATCTCAAGCTTCACAGAATTCTGACCTTTGCTACACTCTCATCCACAATCTTTTCTCCTAGTAAATGGCAGCTCCTTCTGTTAAGTTGCTGAGGCTTCTTATTGCTTTTTTCTTCAAATAACAGTCAGAACTGAACAACTGTAATCATCCTAGTCCATACAATTGTTATATTTTCATTTAAAGAAGATCAATGTGTGATTCTTTTTTTATATATTTCTGGACAATTCTTTATATTTTAATAGTAGTCAGAATTTGATCAGGAAAACAGAAGACATCCTATGTATTATAATGATAAAAGTTTAATATTAATTAGGGCCTTATGCTATTATTGGAAGAGCTTGGTGAATAGATATTAGAAAAGCAGCTAGACAAAATCAGAAGAGGTCTGTTTTATATCAGAGATCTTAGCCTGACAGTCTAGAGTGTGGGCACAGAACCCAAGCTTATAGGAATTTCTGAAAGGTCTGTAAATCTTATCCAGATGGACAGTGGGAGCTCATAAAGGATTCTGCAAGCCATCACATCTGTCAAACCTGCTATGTCTAATCCTTAAGCCTGCTTTATTTGAAGACCTCCTCTTCACTCCTCATTTCCAGCTCTCATGAGTTTCTTTCATAGGCAAACCCAGACCTGGAACAATGTGCCTGAAGACTTCGGGTGACACAGTACCCAGACTTAAATAGGAGGGGAGCCATGGTGGAAGTGGCCATCCAGCACAATTTTCTTGGTCTTTACTCATAGTTTTGATTCCTTAAAAAAATTAACCACATTAAAATATGTGTTTCATAATCTACATCTAATAATACAAATATTTAAAGTCTTTTCAAGTTTGAATATGCTACCCATGTTGCTGCTACCCCCATTTTGTGTGTGTGATTTTTGTGTGTGTGTTAGAATCTCATGACCTTTGAAACCTGCTCTTATGAGCTTGCTTTGATGATTTATTTGTCCAGAGAGGATTTTTTTTCCTACCTAGCATTTTGGACTGCTATCAACCTGAGACCACTTTGAATTAAATTCTCAGCTTGCAAATTTGGAAGCCACACAGATTGTGTGAGTTCAGGCTGAAACCTGTTTGAGAGCTGGATTCTGGCTATAAACTCCACAGGGAACATTTTCTCTCTCCACTCAGAGCTGAGACCATAGGGAAATTTATTTGCTAGCTCACTTTGAAGGTTTATTTTATTTATTTTTTAAATTTCTAGTACACGTGCTCACTGAAGGTGTAATACTTATGTGAGAATCTCAAAATCAGTTGTGTTCTTTGTATGACCCTGGTTTTGTTTCCTCCTGCTCTCTTACTTTCAGTGTGTCTCAGTATGTCTGCTCAATATGTCATCTTAAATTTCAACTGAGGGTGGATCTTCTTCCCAGCTCACTCACATGGTTCTTAGCTAGATTCAGTTTCTCTCCATTTGTAGGACTGAGGACCTCAGTTCTTCACTTAGGGTTGGCTACAGGTAATCATCAATTTCTTGTAACAGGACTTACACTGGGCCACTGACAGCATGCCAGTTGGCTTCATTCAAATGAGAGGGCAAGAGAAAGAGAGAGAGGGAGAGGGCACAAGATGAAATTCACAGTATCTTATAATCTAATCTCAGAAGTGGCATCTCATTTCTTTTGTTCTATTCTATTCAATAGAAACAAGTACCTGGGACCAGCTTACACTATAGGAAAGAGATTATATAAGGGTATAAATACCAAGAGGTAGAGATCATCAAGAGCCATTCTGGTAGCAGCCACAATATCTTATCCAGAATATTTCTTATTCAGGCCTTCAAATGTGCTGTCTTTTCTGGTCTAATGGAAATGAACCTTCCTTCCATACAATTTCTTCTCCTAAATTGTACTCTGGCTCTCTTATCATATACAAACGTCTATGTTAGGTATTTGTGTCTGTCTTGATTCTTGGTAGGCTTTTAAACTCTGTGAATGTTGGACTGTGATGTAGACATCATTTCACCGCACACTCTGTAACCACCAAACCTTAGCAGCTTATTCAGTAAGCACATACTTGGCTCTTAATGAGTATTGCTTAAATTGATGAATTGAATTAGTATTTTACCTTCTCTGTTGCTTAGCTAAGCAGAAGAATTTGTCATTTTTTTAATTTAGTGACTGGTTCTATTAAAAGTTACCTTTGTCTATATCATTTTGTTATACTAAAGCACAAATGTATAAGGTCAAAAAACATTCTCAAGATTTTGTTTAAACCACAGCCCTCAGTTGTGTATATTTATCTCTTGTTTTCATATGCAAGATTTCTCCTGAAATGGGCAACAATTACAAGAGTTTTTTTCCTCTTCTGAACTAAGAAAATAAATATTTAATTCACAAGTTTAGAAAAGTGAACCTGAAAAATCACAGGGCTAGGTGGGTTATGAGGCCCACTGGTACATGATAGTGTTGAATGTGGATTAGAATGAACTCCGTGGATTAGAATCTCAGACCATAGGCAAACATTTACTTGTTTTAGAATAAGCACATTTGAGTCTGCAATAAGTATTACTATTTTTAAGTTGAAAATGTAATTGGTTTCTAATAATAACCATATTGGCTAGCATTATTTCAATCGTGTTTAATGTTTTCCAATGTCATTTCATGTCAGATATCTCTCTTGATTCTTAGTAACAATTTGGACAAGACAGCAAATGCTATTGTCCAAGTTTTCTAAAGAAGAATCTGAAGTGAAATGACATCAAGAGACCTATCAAGACCTGTATCCAGGAAAAGGTAAATCTGAGCTGAAATTGTAGCCCTTGTAAATTACCTACGTGACATACCAGATAGTGTTCATGATCCATTCAGTACTCTGTTCTAAAAATGAGACAATATCCATTTATTCACTTGTTCATTTATTTAGTGATTGTTCAGCCCTTACTGCATATTCCAGGCACTATTCTGACTGTGGCAGGAGTGAACAAACAGGCATGGTTCTTACTTGCATGTAATTACAGTCTTATAGTGAAAACAAGTGTTAAACAACAAAATCTCCCAATTATTTTAAAATTATAAACTTGATTCGATACTATGTGGCCATATAATTGTTCCTAATTTGGTTGGAGAAGGGAGGCAGTTAGGGAAGCCTTCCCTGAGTTAGTGCCATTTAACCTGAATTATGATAGATGATAAGTAATTTGTCAGGGGAAAAATACTCCAGGAATAAAGAACAGGTACAAAGGTCAGGTTCTGGGAAGAGCTTGTCTTGGTCCAGGAGCTAAAAAATGTTAGAGTGGCTGGATCTGGGAAAGAGACAAAGAGTTATTAAATGAGGCAGCAGGCTTCAGCAGGTGCCACATTGCTCAGGGCCTTGTAGGCCATGCTAAGGATTTGGGATGTTAATGTCAGTACAAACAATTGAGTCGTAAGCAGAAAGTAAAAGCATGATTCCATCAAATGTTATTCTCTAAACAGTAATTTTATAAATACAGGTTAAATGTGTGTGGTCCCAGCTACTCAGGAGGTCCCAGCTACTCAGTATTCCTTTTCAACAAATATTAGGTGCCTACTATTAGCCAGGTACAGCCCTTAGCTACTTTGAATGAAGCATATATTACAAACTGGCAGAATTTCTTAAACAAAGAATCTAAAGTTGTTTATACACCATAATCTCGGTATTTTATAAATTTCTTGAAATTATTTTTATGTACACTGCTTTGCAGAATTTTAACTGGCTTTGAAATAAACAATGACAATAGTCCTCCATGTTACTAGTTTCAAATTTTCCCAATACCTACTAAGACATTACTTAATCCACAGATTTACTGTCAATAGTTTGTATCAAATTGTGATAACATATTTGAAGTTAATATTTCAAATTAAAGCAAAATCACAAATTTATACTTTATATTATGAATGAGATTCACAAAAGGAGCATGATAATATATTCTGTTGTCATCGCATACAAAATAATAACATATAGAGTATGAATCAATAATTTTTCAAATACAAAGCTATTACAATTAGGAATACAAAGAAATCATAATTAGGAATACTTCTACAATATTAACACACAATAGTGGTAACACTTGCAAAATGATGGTGGTGGTTTTTTTTTTTTTTTTTCCCCGACAGAGTCTTGCTCTTGTTGCCCAGGCTGGAGTGCAATGGCATGATTTTGGCTCACTATAAACTCCACCTCCTGGGTTCAAGCGATTCTCCTGCCTCAGCCTCCCCAGTAGCTGGTATTACAGGTGCCTGCCACCACACCCAGCTAATTTTTGTATTTTTAGTAGAGATGGGGGTTTCACCATGTTGGCCAGCCTGGTCCCGAACTCCTGACCTTAGGTGATCCACCAGCATCGGCCTCCCAAAGTGCTGGGATTACAGGTGTGAGCCACTGCGTCCAGCCAGTGGTGGGTCTCATATCTCAATGTGGACTTTTACTAACTCCCAATGCCTCAGTTTCCTCATCAATTGAAAGGAATGAATGAAAGATTTGTGTTTTTCATATTACCAGGTAGATGATAAGGAGATTTTAATTTTCTTTTTTTTTAACTTTTATTTTAAGTTTAGGGGCATTTGTTACATAGGTAGACTGGTGTCACAGGGGGTTATTGTACAGATTATTTCATCATCCAGGTATTAAACCTAGTACCCAATAGTTATCTTTTCTGCTTCTCTTCCTTTTCTCACCCTCCACCCTCAAGTAGACCCCAGTGTCTGTTTTATTCTTTGTGTTCATTAGTTCTCATCATTTAGCTCCCACTTATAACTGAGAGTATGCTGTATTTGGTTTTCTGTTCCTGCATTAGTTTGCTAAGGATAATAGAAGGTCCATCCATATTCCAGCAAAAGACATGATATCATTTTTTAATGGCGGCATAGTATTCCATGGTGTATATGTACAGCCTGCATATAAACTGTGGGCTAAAGACCTTCACCAGAGCAGTCTGACAGAACCTCTCTGAAAGACTTCTCCTAGGCTGTAATCCTCAGTCTCTTGTTCTCAGACCCCTAAATAAATCTAACTTTAATTTCTTAAAAGCTTAATTTTTTTCTTTAGTTGACACCAAAAATCTCCCCAGCCAGATCCACAAACTTTTTCGGTATTTTTCCTATTTTTTATATCATTCCAGGCAAGCGTTTTCTAACTCTCCCATCAGAATATGACTTTGGTGCCTTTTCCTCAGCCTCCACTGATGATTTTTTCTCATTATCCTTAAAGCCCTTTCCAGTAGACTTCTTAAGCTCTTTCAAGTTTTCAGTCTCCTTAAGGACCATTCAGTGTTTACTGTCAGTTCCCAGAATGCTTTTACAGGTTTTGCTATCATTTTCCTTGAAGTCTGTTCACTTTTCACTAACAGTCTTTGTGAAATCCTTCTGGCTTCTATCCATTGTCTGATTCCAAAGCCAATGCCACATAGTTTAAGTTTATATTATATTAGAGTGACATCTTATTCCACGTACCACAAACCACCTCAAAACTTAGCAGCTTAAAACAACAAACTTAAAAAAAATTGTGGACTTGTATTAGTGCAAGCAGGGCTTAGCTACATGATTCTGCTCCGTGTGGTATTAACTGTAGCCATCTGTGGTATTCAGCTGGCAGCTGGGTAGTCTGGAGAGTTGAAGGTGGCTTCAGTGATGTGCCTGTTTTATTAGTGGATTGGATGAAATGTTGTGGTAAGGTGGGCCTCTCTTGCTCTCCGTGTAGTTTGAGAGCCTGTCTACATGATCTATTCAGCAGCAATATGGTTTGGCTGTGTCCCCACCCAAATCTCATCTTGAATTGTAGCTCCCATAATTTCCGTGTCTTGTGGGAGGGATCCAACGGGAGATAACTGAATCACAGGAGTATTTCCCCCATACTGTTCTCGTGGTCTTGAATAAGTCTCACAAGAGCTGATGATTTTATAAGGGGGTTCCCCTTTCACTCAGCTCTCATTCTGTCTTGTCTGCCATCATGTAGAGATGTGCCTTTTGCCTTCCACCATGATTGTGAGGCCTCCCCATCCACCTGGAAATGTGAGTCCATTAAGTGTCTTTTTCTTCATAAATCACTCAGTCTCAGGTATGTCTTTATCAGCAGCATGAAAACAGACTAATACAGTACATTGGTACTGGTAGAGTGGGGTGCTGTTGTAAAGATAACCCAAAAATGTGGAAGCGACTTTGGAACTGGGTAACAGGCACGGGTTGAAACAGTTTGGAGGGCTCAGAAAACGACAGGAAAATGTGGGAAAGTTTGGAACTTCCTAGAGACTTGTTGAATGGCTTTGACTAAAATGTCAAATAATGATATAGACAATGAAATCCAGGCTGAGATGGTCTCAGATGGAGATGAGGAACTCACTGGGAACTGCAGTAAAGGTGTCTCTTGCTATCGAGAGAGACTGGCAGCATTTTGTCCCTGCCCTAGAGATTTGTGGAACTTTGAACTTGAGGGAGATGAGTTAGGGTATCTGGCAGAAGAAATTTCTAAGCAGCAAAGCATTCAAGAGTGACTTGGGTGTGTTAAAAGCACTCAGTTTTAACAGGAAAACAGAGCATAAACGTTCAGAAAATTTGTAGCATGACACTGTGATAGAAAAGAAAAATCCATTTTCTGAGGAGAAATTCAAGCTGGCTGCAGAAATTTGCATAAGTAACAAGGAGCCAAATGTTAATCGCTAAGTCTTCAGGCCATGTCAGAGATCTTTGTGGCAGCCCCTTCCATCACACACCCAGAGGCCTAGGAGGAAAAAATGGTTTCATAGGCTGGGCCCAGGGCCCCTCTGCTGTTTGCCTGTGTACAGCCTAGGGACTTGGTGCTCTGTGTCCCAGCTGCTCCAGCCACAGCTAAAAGGGGTCAAGGTACAGCTCAGGCCATGGCTTCAGAGGGTGCAAGCCTCAAGCTTTGGCAGCTTCCATGTGGTGTTGAGCCTGTGGATTCACGGAAGTCCAGAATCGAGGTATGGGAACCTCCACCTAGATTTCAGAGAATGTATGGAAATGCCTGGATCTCCAGACAGAAGTTTGCTGCAGGGGTGAGGTCTTCATGGAGAACCTCTGCTAAGGCAGTGGGGAATGGAAATGTGGGGTTGAAGCCCCCAACACAGAGTCCCCACTAGGGTACTGCCTAGTGGAGCTATGAGAAGAGGGCTGCTGTCCTCCAGACCCCGGAATGGTAGATCCACTGACAGCTTGCACTGTGTGCCTGGAAAAGCTGCATACAATGCCAGCCTGTGAAAGCAACCGGGAGGAAGGCTCTCCCCTGCAAAACCACAGGGGTGGAGCTGCCTGAGACCATGGGAACCCACCACTTGCATGAGTATGACCTGGATGTGAGACATAGAGTCAAAGGAGATCATTTTGGAGCTTTAAGATTTGACTGTCCCACTGGATTTCGGACTTGCTTGGAGCCTTTAGTCCCTTTGTTTTGGGTAAATTTTACCATTTGGAACGGCTGCATTTACCCAATGCCTGTACTCCTATCTTATCTAGAAAATAACTAAATTGCTTTTGATTTTACAGGTTTATATGTGGAAGAGACTTGCCCTGTCTCAGGTGAGACTTTGGACTGCCAACTTTTGAGTTAATGCTGAAGTGAGTTAAGACTTTTGGGGACTATTGGGAAGGCATGATTGGTTTTGAAATGTGAGGACATGAGATTTGGGAGGTGCCAGAGGCAGAATGAGGTGGTTTGGCTGTGTCCTTTCCCAAATCTCATCTTGAATTGTAGCTCCCATAATTCCCATGTGTTGTGGAGGGACCTGGTGAGAGATAATTGAATGATGGGGTGGCTCCCCCATACTGTTCTTATGGTCGTGAATAAGTCTCATGAGAGCTGATGACTTTACAAGGGGCTTCCCCTTTCACTCAGCTCTCATTGTCTCTTGTCTGCTCCCATGTAATGCATACTTTTCACCTTCTGCCATGATTGTGAGGCCTCCCCATCCACATGGAACTGTGATTCCATGAAACTCTTTTTATTCATAAATTACCCGGTCTTGGATATGTCTTTATCAGCAGCATGAAAATGGACTAATGCAAGCAGAATAAGCAGAATTCTTCGATACCGACTCAGCACCCCACACACGTTGGTTCCAAGATGTAGAAATGGAAGCTTCAAGGCTTTTAACATCTGGACATCAAAACTGGAAGTTTTACTTTCACTGTATTTTATTGGTCAAAGCAGTCAAAGAGCCCACCCAGGTTCAAGGAGAAAGAATATGTCCCCACGTTTTCAACAGGATGGTGCCACAAAATTTCTAGTCATCTTAATTCACCACAGATAGAAATATGAAGAGCTCATTTGTTATGTTATTTGTGAATGCAGACTAAAGATATTTGTTGGTTTATATAGTAGTGGGAAAATGAGAACTTTTAAAATATTCAACTTTTAGCCCTTGACATGCAAAATGAGTTCATTACATGGTAAGGATGAGGGAGAAAGAAAAGATCTGAAAAAGTAGAAGAGTGATGGATTCAGAAAGCATAGGATGATTGTCAGTGTGATTGTTTTATCTAGCCACATATAGCTGTGTGGTATCAAGATGTAGAAGGCAGAGAGTAGGATTTATCAGGATTGTTGTTTGGAAGAGTGAGTACAATCATTACGAGGGAGCAAGGTATTGATCATGGAATATAAAGTGGGAAAAGAGGTAAGGTAAGAAGGATATCAGTAAAGTGAATGACAGCATAAATATGGTAGAACCATTGGATTGGTGGCTCTGGAGGAATTGAATAATTATTAGACTTGAAGCATTAGATGGTGCACTAGTGAGGGCATCTCCAACTAAGTCTACCATCAAGTCATGGTGATTTATTATCTCAAATATATGACAAATTTATCTACTTATTTCCAAAACTCCCATATCTAGTTTAAGTAATCAAATTTCTTGCCTTGGCAAGCATGTTGCTTTGTAATTGACTCACCTGTATCCAATTTGAATTCCTTAAAATCCATTCTATACATTGTAACCATAGTGATATTTACAAATGTGAAATCTGGTCAAATCATTCTTCTGCTTAGTAGTCTTGGATTTCTCATTCTCTTAGGAAGCATCTTCCACTACTTATTTCAGCATTATCTGCACAATGCTTCCCCTCACTTCCTCACAATGTGGTTTCAGGCACAACTCCCAAGGCCCCACTCTGGCCTCGGGGAGCAGATTGTTCCCCCTGCAGGAAAACCTTTGTTCTCCACTCAGTTAACTGCTGTTTACCCTTTAGATCTCAGCTTCAGTGTTGCTTTCTTAGGGGAAACTTCTCTGACTCACATCAAATCCCTCTCTTATAGTAATTTTCATTGTATTTCAGAGTAATTTTTATGGTTGCAATTTTACATTTGTGTGATTGTTTGATTAATCTCTGTCTCCTCCACGAAAACTCCAAGATGCAGGAACTATATCTTACTGGCATTCAGCACAATACCTGGCACATAGGTGTTCAAAAAATACTAATAGGGTAAATAAATGAATTAATTTTATGCTTTTATTTTAATATTTTCATGGTATTAATATCTCTCTATGTGATATTTTGTATGTACCTATTTTCTTTTAATTTGAAGATTTATAGTTTAGTTATGTGCTGTATAAATTATATTTAGTTCTTTAATTTTTGTGTTATTTCCAAGGGTGCTCTCCATTGACTCTTTTAATATAGTTCCACTTTACCCCTTAAACCCACTTTCCTCTCCCACCTTCGTCATTCAACTTTATTTGATTTTGTTATTTTTAATTTTTCTAATAATGACCTTTATCTTTTAAAATAATATTTAATCACCCATAACATAATTTGTTGATTCTCTCCCACTGTGAAAGTTGAATGGACCAGAATATATTTCTACTATCTTTCTCTTCTTATTTTTGTTATGAATATAATTAGTCTTTATACAGTTATGGTTTGTAACATTTGCATTCTGTTCTTTAACCGCAAACCCCAGAACATTTTGATATTAGGCTTCAGAATGCTCACTTGTATCATGTTATCTCTATTCATTTTTAGTGGATAGTTTTCTTTTTTAAGTTTTTCTGATAGAGATGGGGTCTTGCTATGTTGCCCAGGCTGGTCTTATCTTGAACTCCTGGGCTCAAGTGATTCTCCTGCCTTGGCCTTTCAAAGTGTTGGGACTGTAGGTGTTAGCCCCTGCGCCTGGCCTCTAATAGTTGTCTTCATTAAAGCCTCATGGGGACTCTATTTTTTTTTTTTTTTTTTGTGGGTTGTTTATTTTGTGTTTGTGAAGTCCGGTAAATTCAGTTGCATCTGCCTTGATGTGGTCATACTATAACACATTTTTTCTGGATAAAGATAAGCCCTTTAACCATTAGATTCAATGTTTTCTTCATTTCAGAAAAGTTTTCTTTTATCTTTGAATTTTTTAACCAGATATTGTGAGCTCTTTCACACTAATTTCTCATTTGTTGGACCTGACTTTAATGTTACATTTCACCTTCTTGTGTTTTCTATTTCGTTTTGCTCAGGATATATTTAAGCCTGTCATTTATATTCTTATCTGTGTTTTTAGCAGCATTATTCTCTCCACTTCCCACTTTTTTTCCTGCTTTTATTGATCTTCATTTCTTTCATGGTTGTCTTTACTCATTACATCCTGAATTTTGCCAGATTATTTTTTATCACTTTATTTTGTATTTATTTTCAATTATGTCTTCTAAATATCATTTCAGAGAGAAAACATTTTAGAGAAGGCATATTTTTAAAAAACATAGAAAATTTGATCCTGTTTTTTACTGCTTCATGGTATAATTTGTATGTTCTGTACCTTATGTAATTTTCCCTTTTTCTTCTAGTATTTTTATAAAGGTCATCAAGTTTTATTTTTGTAATACAATTATTATAAATAATTATATAATATTATTAGTCTTTGAATATTCTAGATACTTGTGAAAGGATATTGTGGAGGAGGAGCTGGGGGTAGTAAGTATGATGGAAGGCAGACGAGTTTTGGAATCTTGTCTCCAAAACACTCTCATCTGTTAGAATGACTCCTAGGCTATAGGATTGACTATGGCTTAGAGTGGATTCATAGTTGTTAATTTCGTCATGTGACTTGTGACTTATCCTTTTCTTTTCATAATAGAATGAAAATTGCCATCTGTCTGGCTTCTTCCCCATCTTTTTGCCTTCTTTCATTACACCACACACGTGTCCTAATTATTCCAAAGGTGATACATTTGCATGTTTCCCTTTAAACTCCTTTCCCTCTGTCACTCTGTGGAGGGTTCACATGCTGCAATATTTCTGTTCCAAGTAAAGATCACAGGTTTTGATCCTCAGTCCTCAGTATACACACCTCTTTTAGGGATTTCTGGGCTTCTTGACTAGCTCAAGCTCTTCAGAGGCATGCACTTTATCTTGGTGTTCAGTCTTGACTGGTTTAAACTTTTGATGTCCAGAAGGTTTTCTTCATGTGTTGTTGTGTGGAATTGTAAATATTTTCTAGCTTTTGTAAGGTTGTGGCTCATATTTATATTTCTCCTGGTTTGAAAGAAGAGAGAGAAAGAAGTATGTCAAATTGAGACTCTTAGATTGGAAATCTGAATTTATTTACACGATTGAGATTGATCTAGAGTTTTATTTTTTCTGCTGTAACTGAAATTTGGATTCAAGATTATATGTGTTTTGTGAATATGTTTGGTAACATTGTGACTTTTCTATAATTTAGGGAAGTTTGATGTAGGAGAAAGAGAAAAAATTTTTGAGAGAATCCTAAATTCATATATGGCCTAACCTTTTAATATCTATGTAATTTTAGATAATAAATAATTTGTTTGAGATTATGTGGCTCTAACAACACCTGCTTCACAGTGTAATTATGAGGATTTCATAGAATTTGTATAGTGAGCGTTAGTTTTGATGTTACTTTAAACCTCTTTGCCTTATACATTCTATTTTTTCCATGGAACATTATATGATTTCATGTCCACATATTAATCTCATACTTTCAATTACATTTTATGTTTAAATTGAATATTATGGTAATCGTTATGCAAATGATTAAAAATTTAAAGGGACAACATTTAATGTTGCTCTGGAATTCACCTTTAGTCATAAAATAAAGATTTAAAGTATCATCTGTAGACAATGGCAAAAGCCCTTTTTTGTCATAAGAAAATCAAATATGCTTTATTTCACCCAATTAACATGGCTATCCCGGGAAAACCAAAATGACCATAGGCGGTAATTCCCCAGGCCGTGTGATCTCAGTCTGGCATTCTCGGATCTCCAAGGCATCACTTTGGCCACTACCCTCTGGGGCTGTGATTAGCAGCTCTCTTCCTGTTTTATGCAGCTCTGTGTGTATGTCTGCAGTGATGCCGTACTGGATCTGGTTCATCTTGTGAGAACTATACCTATCTGAATTTTTGATGATGCTCTTTTCTTAGTTCCCTTGGCAAAACAGGTAGGTGAGGGATAGAAATAAAATCTATACTTAGTAAATCGGTGAGCCAAGGTCTGTGACTGGCAATGAGTGAATTACATTCTCCTCAGTTGGGTGCAATGTCTGCCTTCTGTGTGGCCATTTGCTGTTGCCACTAGAGAAGGAGGATGCAGCAGGGATCAGGCACCGTGGAGAAAAGTCGCCGTGTGTAGGCAGCTAAGAATGTAGGAAAATGAACATCTCGGCTCCCAAAGGACGAGAATAAAGCTGTAGAAGAATGTCAGGGAGGAATCTGAGTTGATCGTATGACTATTCATCCTTCTTCCCACATTTTCCCGACTGTTTAGCCCTACTTTTCTTCGCGTTGGGTCTCATTTTCCTTCCTGTGTGGCCTGTGCCTTATGGTCAGCGCGGACGTCCATCAGTCTATCAAATGCCTAGAAACCTTTCGCCCTTTGTCACCTTCTGTGTCACCCAGCATTCCCCTTCTCAGCCCTTTTCATTCTCATGGTGGAATCCTTTTGGTTTGATTTCAAGGGTCCAGCACTGTTGATGTCACAACAGAGTGGCATGGAAAGTTTCTGAAAATTTTGTCATCTAACCTCTCGTGGGGACTTTTAATTAATTCAGCTTTTGACAACTCCATCACATTCATTATATTATCCATTCATTCATTCATTAATACATTTGACATTTATAATGTGTGCCAACAATGTGCCAGGTCAAAACTGCCCACTTACAATGTAGAACATTTCTGTAAATTTTATTTCAATTTTCTTGTATTTCTTCTCCTTTATTCTACCATCCCACTTGATCTTCTGCCACAGAAGTTCTCTTCTCTCTCTCTTTGTTCTCTCTTCTCCTCCTTTATTCTTGATACCTGCTTCTGTGTTGGCTCCTTGAGGCCAGCACTTGTCCTCCTACCTCTGTGATGTTCTGTCTAGTTTATTGATTCCTTTTCCTACTTTACATAATCAATGTGGATAGTTTCTATAGTTGGGTCTTTGCTTTTTAATCTTTTTTTCCTGTGTATTATTTCCTTCAGGGACCTTATGCACTCTTACACATCCGTCTATTATTTTTATATGGATTACTATACAATTACATGTTGAATTTGTACTTTTCCCCCATATATCCTGTCATATGTTTTCACCTGAGCATCTCAATATCTAATACTCTTATTTGCTTAAAATACACGTGATTATTTTCTCCACCCTGACATATTTTATGTTCAACTTTCTAATTTCTAAAAATGGACCTACCATTGTCCTATTTATTCTTGCTTAAATCTTGATATTTTCTTTGAGTTCATGCTCCTTCGTATTCACTCCAGCTGTGATAAGTCACCAATCCTTTGGGTTTTTACTTACCAGTATTTCTATTTCTGTTTCTATAGCCTTAAAGCTGGAACTGTGGGCCGGGCGCGGTGGCTCACGCCTGTAATCCCAGCACTTTGGGAGGCCGAGGCAGGTGGATCATGAGGTCAGGAGATCGAGACCATCCTGGCTAACAAGGTGAAACCCCGTCTCTACTAAAAATACAAAAAATTAGCCGGGCGCAGTGGCGGGCGCCTGTAGTCCCAGCTACTCGGGAGGCTGAGGCAGGAGAATGGCGTGAACCCGGGAGGCAGAGCTTGCAGTGAGCTGAGATTGCGCCACTGCACTCCAGCCTGGGCGACAGAGCGAGACTCCGTCTCAAAAAAAAAAAAAAAAAAAAAAAAAAAAGCTGGAACTGTGTAGTCCCAGTTCCTCTGTGTAGCCCCCCAAGTCTGCTCTATTTCAATCTTCTCTTAAGGGAACTCCTTCCCTCCGTTTTTCTTTTCCTCCATTTGATACATCACACTTATAGATAGGGCATCTTCCCTAATTACTGGCTTCATCCTCAATTCCCGGGACCCATACCTTCACTGGCTTCCTAAATTTATTTAATAATTCTCATATACCTTTGAGAAGTTTCTAATGATAGGCAACAAATGAATATTGACTACCTTTCTTATTTTCCTTTATTCACCAAAATGATTTTTAGGATGTAGACAATCTGTATGCTTCAACATACACCAAACTTACCATTTTTGAAATATTTTACAATCTACTTGAAAAGACTTCTTTAGACCCTATATTCATGTATTGTAATATTTATCCTCTTTTATGGCTATACTCAAATGCCACATCACTATAGTGCCTTCCCTCATCACTGTAGCTATCTCTTTTCACTCTACTTATATTGTAGAGGATTTGTTACACTTCTTGAACTGCTGATCTCAAGCGATTTGCTTGCTTTGGCCTCCCAAAGTGCTGGGCTGACAGGCGTGAGCCACTGCACCTGGCCTGATTTGTTCCACTTCTACTATATGCATCACACATGCCTGATGCATATTTTAATGCACGTTGGATAAGGATCGGCTTTGTACGACTTCAGTCTTTCTTGATGTGTGACACCCACTTCTATTTTGGCTCCACTTTAACAAAATGAATAAGTGAGAAGGTAATACTGGAAACAGAACATAACTGTGACTAGGAATTTGGTCTTGACTCGCCATTTAATTTTCTGATGTGCATGACTGTTTTCTTCACATGTGAAATTTAACATGAGGTTGAAACTGGAGAATTTTATATTTTTCATGAAAAAGGCAATTTGGGAGAAAAGTCCATTTTCCTGAGGATAAGGTATTGTATGGTTTGACTGCTTTGCCTTGGCTGGTCAACACATTTGTACACCTGGATAGGCACAGTTTTCAGAAATCCTTTCAAGCATCTACCAATTCTCCTGTCTACAAGTTTACCTTCCTCCCATTTCTCATTCCTAATGACAAGGGAAATATCCAGTGTTATCTGAAGTGGTCATAAAAGACATTTTTTTTCTTTTTATGTGAGGAATTGAAACTTATGGCTTTAGATTATGGGGCTTACCATCAAGGAAAGGGTGTAGCGTGGTCAGAGGACAAAACTTCTTCCTGCATTTCTCAGGAAGTCTTTGATTAGTGTGTCCACCTAGGAGCAATTTTTTTTGGGGGGGGCACTGGGAAATATACTTAAGTGATTAAATCCAAGTGTAGACATGAGAGCTTTACCTAAAGCCAGGTCTAATTACCATACCTGAGAATCAGGGAGTATTTAAAATTTGAGAAATAATTTTCTATACTTGAAAGTCACTTATGTAGGTAGGCCTCAGATTATAATAAATAACGTTTATTGTGCTATACTGTGTGGTAGGTATGAGGTTAAGTATTTTTACCTATATTATATCACTTATTTCTTACAAATGGAGCAAGGGAGCAAGCAAGCAAGGGAGGTATTATTATCCCTATTTTATGTATTTATGTATTTATTTTTGATTTCTATTCTTTTGGTTTTTTTGTTGTTTTTTATTGATGTATCATAGTTGTACATGTTTTGGGGTACATGTGATATTTTTGATACATGTATACAATGTGTAATGATCAAATCAGAGTAATTTGGATATTCATCACCTCGAATATTTATCTTTTCTTTGTGTTGGGAACATTATAATTTTTCTCTGCTAGCTATTTTAGAATATATAATAAATTATTGTTCCCTATGATTTCTCCATTGTATAATTGAATACTAAAATTTATTATGTCTATCTACATATCCCCAGTTCAATAACTATAATTTCTCTGCTGTGCAATCAAATACTAGAACTTCTTCCTTTGAACGCTATATCCCTAATTCAATAACAAGTAAACTGAAGCTCAGCATGGTCTAGGAACTTTGTTACGTTAACACAGCAAGTGAGTGTTGCAGCCTGGATCCAAAAATCAGGCCTGGTCGACCTCAAAGTCCAGATTATTGACCTTTCTACCATAATGTATGGAGGTAAGTTTGTGAATTTATTCAAAAATCAGGCCTGGTCAAACTCAAAGTCCAAATTATTAACCTTTCTACCATAATGTATGGAGCTAAGTTTGTGAATTTTCATAGTTTTAGGATTTGAAGATAAAAGAGGTGAAAATTTGGAAACGGTTTCTGGACTTTTGAATTTTGGCAAACAGCTATGTGATAAGTCCACCCTGCAGACCCACAACTTTTGGAAATAACTCTACTGTGATCTTCAGTAGCAGAAGCTGCTCCTGGGGTGGTAGAACACAAGGAAAACACACACTAGTAAAAATTTCATGTGGCTTCTTTGTTCTGTACATGTGTTTCTCTTGATTAGTATATGGTAGTATCCTCAAATCATAGTAACAAGTATACTTTTTCCAGTGAATTGCATGTGTATATTATTGTATAGTATAAAAGGCAATATTTCCATTTATTATCATCTGTGCTTTTCAAAGAAACTCTGTGAGTCCAACAGGGCGATAATAGAAGCAACTGCCCTTTCTCTCCCCCTTTAAATGCAACCCAATGTCAAAGTCCGTAGCATCCCCAAATGAGTGTATTAAAGGTGAGAAATTCCCAAAGTCAAACTCAGTAGCATCCTTGAATGAGTGTATTAAAGGTGATAAATTTATTTTATTTATGTTCTTTTTAACCTGTGTTCTCAGAAACAGAGACTACTGTATTTCATCCTACCTTAGTCTTGCTTAGCAGTTTCTCTTCTCCTTTGAGGCTCTTTTATTTTTAAATCATTGTTCATATCTTCTAATCTCCCCTTTCTCCCATTCTTCCCATATTTTTAATCTTTTTTTAACTTTATCTCTGTTCTACTTTTTCTGTATTTCAAATTGATCCATAGACTTTAGAAAAATGAGTTGAATGCTGGCTGTAGGCTGTCTTATCCCCAGCAAGAAACATGTTGTAAAGTCTTAGTACCTTCCCACTGGAAGATCATTAGTCATGGCTACTATGTTTTTAAATGAGAATTGTTTTAATTATGCATTTTAAAATTATTGGAAAACATGAGGGAGAGGAATGAACCATAAGTAATAAAGATTATTGACTTGAAGTTAAGACCTTACTATGATCTGGGATTATTAGTCTTACTTGTCAATCAAGAACTATCCACTTTCTATTCGTTTGTGGGTATCTAATATGGTTATATACACAGAAGTAATGATAATTGATATGAAAAGGTCTCCTCCTGTTATATCAATTTAGGTATTTTTCACACATTGTATACCTCATTCTTCTCCTATTCAATTTTCACTAATTCCTAAAGGGTCAGGTCAATGTCCTTGGCATAACCTCCTCCACCTGTTCTTAATGGCAATCGTCTCTTCTGCCCTCC
The DNA here is from genome assembly GCF_000001405.40 of Homo sapiens. Lineage (NCBI taxonomy): Eukaryota > Metazoa > Chordata > Mammalia > Primates > Hominidae > Homo > Homo sapiens. The sequence goes on along the minus strand of NC_000011.10, from coordinate 90,153 downwards.
AATATCTATAACACTTTTTTCTTTAAAACTCTTTGAATGTTTATCTTAATACTCATTTGATATATATTGTATACCACATATGATTGTTTGTTATATGTACAATACATGTTTTTTCAACTTTTTTTGGTTCTTTCTATTTACAGGAATTAGAGAAAGAACAAATCAGTGTGAAGGAGAATTGTCAGTAAAATTACAAGAAAAGATTGAGATCATAATTGACCTTTGAGGATAATAAAATTTAAAGACCAAAAGGATGGACTTCACAGAAACATGACCTTAGGTTGTTTTTGCAGTTGTAGTAACTGGTTATATGACCAACAAAATATGAAGAATGGGTACAAATTCTGATAGTAATGATCAGTCACTTTGCAAATATAAAGTTACTATTTACTACTGTATTGTACAGGTTCAATAATCTTTGTGTACACATTTTATGTATTTATTGTCAGGCTGCTATATAATTCAGTATTTATAATAGATACTATGTATAGCAATCTATGGTTAGTTTTGGTCTTAACCAGGAAAAATCACTCTTTTGAGTTTTGCTGTTTTTACTAGATTATTTTTACTGGATGATTGCTCATATTATTTGATTATTATTGCAATTTGTCTTTCTGGAATAGGAAGCAAGAGGCCTGAATTCTGGTTCCTATTCTATCAATTGTGTGAATTCTGGAAACTCAGTTTACTTTTCTGGGCCTCATGGTTTTCATCTGAATGATGACCAACTTGGATAAAATGGTCTTTATATAATTTCGTAGGCATTTCCCTTCCCAAGGGCTTGAGTCTTTTTCAACAATTATAGAGTTTTCCGGTCCCTCTTCCCAGTGCCTCAGCACCTTGCTATTCATGTTCATCTGATCAGTTGTTTGCATGCTGACTTACATTACCCTGATGGGCAGTACCTGTGGCTGTTTCTGCTCCCTCACCCAGTCCATAGGCTTCTGGTTGTAAAAAGTGTGCATCTTGAGACTGTGGACAGTTAGCTCCAGAGGTGACAGTATAATCACTTCACGTAGAAGAGGATAGAGAGAGACTCATGCCAGTGGTGGTGAGCAAGTATTAGAGATATGATGTGTGCCTCTGTGAGTTTTGGGGTCTAAGATAAATTATGGCACTAGGAAGATGGTCCTTTGTGTCAGAAGAACTGGAGTTGTTGGTGCAAAAAAGTATGATGTCAGCATAGCAGTTTTATTTGTACCTCAGCAACTTCTAAAATAATCTCTATTAAGTGTTTTCAGGAACTACTTTCTACTATAGGAAAATCATTGAGGTGAGTATCCATCTGGACACAGAGAAATATAACACTGTTTTCTGCTCACCCTCCACTTCACATATAAATACAACATGTGTTAAAGGACTAAATTTCTAGTGTCACAGTTTGTACTTTATAGTTTGAAGTCAATAAGAAAGCTCATATACCTTCCTAAAAGTCACTTGTTAATGTTTGATATTAATCTAATTTTATCATAAATTAAAAGTATAAAACTACAAATTTCTTAAAGATAAAATATCCAAATGGATTCAGTCAAATTAAGCATGATAATATCAAATATCAGAATAGGTTACCATGCAGGAGGTACTGAGTACTTAAAAGGATGGGGAATGCAATGAACATAAAAGCTGGTACCAAGGGGAGGAGGAGACAGTGATGAATTAAAACATTATCTTAACTAATCCAAGTGCTGGTCTTCAATACTTTCATGTGTATAGACAAAGAGAAACTGCAGAGATTTCTCACAACCTCTGTGGCCATTTTATGCATCTTAGCAAAAACTCTGGTGAAATCCCTCCAAAACATATTTATTAGGCATGGAAAAAGCCTTACATGACAGGTGGCATAGGCTCCTTATGAAATCACTGCAGGATGGGAAGCCATTTAGGGCTTCGTAATTGTGAAAGATTGTATAGAAACTGAGGCACTTAAATAGCAGTGAGCATGAGAAAATGTGGTAGATAATGGTGGTGATTCTATTTCTTGTGAAAGTCCACTTACTCTGTTCTGCTACAGTTGTGGGCTTTCCGATTTCACATACCCCAGTCTCTATATTCTGTCTCAATCCACAGCCTACCTCAACTAAGTCCGTCCCAGGCACCTCTTACTGCAGGTGATAATCCATCTGTTAATCATGTTTTCCTCTTATGTCTACTTTCTGTCAGAGAATTGTGGCTGCAAACTGGGAAGGGAAGGAAATTATAAGAATATGTATAAGTACAAATGGAATATGTTGGAAATGAGGAATAGTTAATATCGCAGGTCATTTAAACACCTGATGAATTTCATGGATAGTCAGGAATCTTGTTCTTACCTAATCTGTTAATTTTAGATCAGACATTACACTGAAAGTATTGATGATGGGTTTAAATCAGGTTGCAGCTCACATGTTGTGATAATATTATGTTGATTTTTTGTTTTTAATATGTGAGGAACAGAATAACTGTATACTATTTATTCATAGTGACATTGCAATATTGATTTTAGTACATATTATTATCTTCATAATCACAATTTCCTCCCCATTTTCTTAGTTCTCATAATTTTAGCCACAGCCCAGTTGGCTGGACCAATGGATGGAGAGAATCACTCAGTGGTATCTGAGTTTTTGTTTCTGGGACTCACTCATTCATGGGAGATCCAGCTCCTCCTCCTAGTGTTTTCCTCTGTGCTCTATGTGGCAAGCATTACTGGAAACATCCTCATTGTGTTTTCTGTGACCACTGACCCTCACTTACACTCCCCCATGTACTTTCTACTGGCCAGTCTCTCCTTCATTGACTTAGGAGCCTGCTCTGTCACTTCTCCCAAGATGATTTATGACCTGTTCAGAAAGTGCAAAGTCATCTCCTTTGGAGGCTGCATCGCTCAAATCTTCTTCATCCACGTCATTGGTGGTGTGGAGATGGTGCTGCTCATAGCCATGGCCTTTGACAGTTATGTGGCCCTATTAAGCCCCGCCACTATCTGACCATTATGAGCCCAAGAATGTGCCTTTCATTTCTGGCTGTTGCCTGGACCCTTGGTGTCAGTCACTCCCTGTTCCAACTGGCATTTCTTGTTAATTTACCCTTCTGTGGCCCTAATGTGTTGGACAGCTTCTACTGTGACCTTCCTCGGCTTCTCAGACTAGCCTGTACCGACACCTACAGATTGCAGTTCATGGTCACTGTTAACAGTGGGTTTATCTGTGTGGGTACTTTCTTCATACTTCTAATCTCCTACATCTTCATCCTGTTTACTGTTTGGAAACATTCCTCAGGTGGTTCATCCAAGGCCCTTTCCACTCTTTCAGCTCACAGCACAGCGGTCCTTTTGTTCTTTGGTCCACCCATGTTTGTGTATACATGGCCACACCCTAATTCACAGATGGACAAGTTTCTGGCTATTTTTGATGCAGTTCTCACTCCTTTTCTGAATCCAGTTGTCTATACATTCAGGAATAAGGAGATGAAGGCAGCAATAAAGAGAGTATGCAAACAGCTAGTGATTTACAAGAAGATCTCATAAATGATACAATAAGCCCTTCTCGTTAAACATGATATGGCTTTATGTTTCTTTCTTTGATATTTTAGATTCAGGAACTATGAGACATTATGTATTGATTTGAATGTTATTAGACCTGTAACATAATTCTTATCTGATGAATATATGATGAATATATTCCTTGTTCAAAATGAGTCATAAATTCAACACATCTCTACATCTATATTATGCCCATTTAATTTCTTTCAGCAATGTTTTGTAGTTTTTGGTGAACAGGTACTTTATGCATATGTACTTTATATTTATCTCTAAGTTTTATATTTCTGATGCCCTTTTAAGTGACATTTTTATTTCAATTTACAATTGTTTATTCTTAGCTTATGGGCACATAATAGATCTTTGTTTGACATTATATCCTGTAAACTTGCAAAACTTATTAGTTCCATCAGTTTTTTATAGGTTATGTAGGATTTTCTTTATAGATGATTATGTTGTCAGTGAATAAAGACATTTGCTTTTAAAATTCTAGTATGAATTCACTATATTCATTTTGTTGAATGCTGAGTAGAATTAGTTAGAGCAGACATCTTTGACTTGTTCCTGTTATGAAATATATTAAATATTTCATCATTAAGTATAATGTTAGCTATAATTTTTTTCATAGGTACTCTTTAACAGGCTGAGAAAGTTTTCTGTATTCACAGTTTGCTGAAAATTTCTTTTATCTTTAGTCAGGAATGGATCTTGGATTTTGTAAAGCTTTTTCATTTCAGAATCAGGGTAATGCTGGCCCTTTAGAATGAGTTGGGAAGCATCTGCTCTTCTTAAATTTTCTGCCATAATTTTGTAGAATTCATATAATTTTTTTCTTTAAAAAGGGAAGTACTTAAGTATTTTTTCCCATAAGTTACCCATAAGTAAATCTAAAGGAAAGTGGGAAACTTTGATACGCATTGGTTGCCCCCTGGTGGAGATTTCTGGGTTCTTGATTATTTTAACACTGGAGATAGAATCTGGTGGAATGATGTCAATGCTACCGTGATTAAGAGGTGTGTAGGAAATGCTTCATGTAAGAGAGAAAATAGTCTTTATGAGAATCTGCCTGGTGGAAAGGAGTTGGTGCAACAATAACAATATAAATTAGTGAAAAATTTTAAATTGACAAATAATAATTGTATCTATGGGGTACAATGTAATGTTTTGATACATGTTTAAATTGTGGAAAGATTAGGTCTATCTTATTGACATACATATCTTTTTTGTGGTGAAAACATTTAAAATCTACTCTGTTAGTCATTTTGAAACATACAATACCTTGTTATTTATTACAGTCACCATTCTGTGCAATAGTTCACTGAAACTTTGTCTAACTGAAACTTTGAACCCTTTTATCAACATCTACCTTTTCCATGTCTACCCCCAACTCCTAGCCTCTGATAATCACCATTCCATTCTCTACTTCTATGAATTCAACTTTTTCAGATTCCACATATCAGTGAGATCATGTGATATTTGTCTTTTCGTGCCTGGCTTATTTCACTTAGCGTGATATCTTCTGGGTTAATTCATGTTGTCACATATATCAGGTTTTCCTTCCTATTAAGGCTGAGTAGTATTCCATTGTATATATACACTACATTTTCTTCATCCATTTGTCAGTTGATAGACACCTGTGTTGATTTCATATTTGGGTATTGTGAATAATGCTGCAATGAACATGAGCCTGGAGATATCTCTTCAGCATATTGACTTAAATTCCTTTGGATATATACAAGGAAGTGGGATTGCTGGATCATATAGTAATTCTAGTTTTAGTTTTTTGAGTAACTTTTATCTATTTTTCATAATAGTATTAATTTACATTTCCACCAACAGTGTACGAGGGTTCCCTTTTCTCTGTATCCTCTTCAACACTTGTTATCTTTTATCATTTTGATAGTAGCCATTCTAACAGGTATGAAGTGGCATCTCACTGTCATTTTAATTTGCATTTCCCTGATAATTAGGATGACAAACTTTTTTTATGTTAGTCATTTGTATTTTTTTTGAGAAATGTCTATTTAGGACCTTGCCCATTTTTTGACTTGGTTATTTGTTTTCTTGATATTGAGTTGAGTCCCTTATATATTTGGAGATTAGCCTTTCATCAGATGTATGCTCTGCAAATATTTTCTCACAACTTGTAGGTTGTCTCTTCACCATATTGTTTCCTTTGCTGTGCAGAAGCTTTTTAGTTTGATGCAATCCCATATATTTTTGCTTTTGTTGCCTGTGCTTTGGGGGTTATATCCAAGAAATCTTTGACCAAACCAACATTGTGGAACTTTTCCCCTATGTTTTCATCTAGTAGTTTTACAGTTTTATGTTTAAACCTTTAATCCATTTTGAATTGATTTTTGTGTATGGTGTGAGATAAGGATACACACCATACACATTCGTGTTCTTCTGCATGTGGATATCTAGTTTTCTTAACACCATTTATTGAAACAAATGTCTATTCTTCATTACGTTTTCTGGGCACCTTTGTCAAAAATTTATTGGTCATAAATGCATGAGTTTATTTCTGGGCTCCTTATTCTGTTCCCCTGGTCAATGTGTCTGTTTTTGTGCAAGTGTCATGTTGTTTTGATTACTATGGTTTTGTGATACGTATTTGTTTTGGGGGGGGATCGATTTTTATTTGGGTTTCTCACAGTGGTTAGAGAACAACCACAGCACAGGAAATGCATCGCCAAGATTGCCCAGAAAACTGACCAGCTGCATCTTATTGCTTAAAAATACACATATTCACAATAACTGACAAATGTTGATGTGCCTCACACAGGAATGTGTTCACATTTGCAATGCTGTGTACAGACTTCACTTCGTTCAACATAGATTTTGGTTTAATGGAATTCAAATGCGGATGCTTGTTCACAGCCTTGGATTTGTCTGTTTTTGGAGAGATACAACCTCCATGAGTATATCTGCATGAAAACCACAGACAATGAAGGTATTTCTTCATTGATTTATTTATTCTTTTGACTGTAGCAACAAACCCTGGATGACACCCTTCCTTTTAATTCACCTGGAAACCAGACTCAATCAAATCTCCCTGGTCCCCTCACTATTCCTTCAAATTCCCTATTTCTATCTCTTCCTGAGGAGGGTAACCTCCTGTAGCAGGGGTCAGACTGTGACTTGGGAATCAAGCCTAGGTCTGCAGGTTGCCTTTTCATCTTCTTGTAAAATATTGTAGGACACTGCAGTGAATCCAACAGTTAACACTCAGAGCAGTTCCCTGCTCTAACTCAGGAAAGAGACTTCAGAGGGTCAGGATTCATCCATTTGATCAGTTAACTGAGAAGGATTCATTTTGGTAAAACTTGTTCAGCTTTGAGACACTTCAGTGAGTTGTTTGAGATTTTTTTTTAAATTATATTTTAAGTTCTGGGGTACATGTGCAGAACATGCAGGATTGTTACATAGGTATACACGTGCCATGGTGGTTTGCTGCACCCATCAACCCATCATCTACATTAGGTATTTAACCCAATGCTAACCTTCCCCTAGCCCCTACCCCCAGACAGGCCCCGGTGTGTTGTGTTCCCCTCCCTCTGTCCATGTGTTCTCATTGTTCAACTCCCATTTATGAGTGAGAACATCGGGTGTTTGGTTTTCTGTTCTTGGATTAGTTTGCTGAGAATGATGGTTTCCAGCTTCATCCATGTCCCTGAAAAGGATATGAACTCATCCTTCTTTATGGCTGCATAGTATTCCATGGTGTATATGTGCCACATTTTCTTTATGCAGTCTATCATTGAATGGGCATTTTGGTTGGTTCCAAGTCTTTGCTATTGTGAACAGTGCCACAATAAACATATGTATGCATGTGTCTTTATGGTAGAATGATTTATAATCCTTTGGATATATACCCAGTAATGCGATTGCTGGGTCAAATCATATTTCTAGTTCTAGAACCTTGAGGAATCACCACACTGTCTTCCACAATGGTTGAACTAATTTACACTCCCACCAACAGTGTAAAAGCATTCTTATTTCTCCACATCCTTTCCAGCATCTGTTGTTTCCTGACTTTTTAATGATCGCCATTCTATCTGGCGTGAGATGGTATCTCATTGTGGTATTGATATGCATTTCTCTGATGACCAGTGATGATGAGCTTTTTTTCATATGTTTGTTGGCTGCATAAATGTCTTCTTTAGAGAAATGTCAGTTCATATCCTTCACCCACTGATGGGTTTGTTTGTTATTTTCTTGTAAATTGTTTAAGTTCTTTGTAGATTCTGGATATTAGCCCTTTGTCAGATGGATAGATTGCAAAAATTTTCACCCATTCTGTAGGTTGCCTGTTCACTCTGATGACAGTTTCTTTTGCTGTGCAGAAGCTCTTTAGTTTAATTAGATCCCATTTGTCTATTTTGGTTTTTGTTGCAATTGCTTTTGGTGTTTTAGTCATGAAGTTTTTGTCCATGCCTATGTACTGAATGGTATTGCCTAGGTTTTCTTCTAGGGTTTTTTATGGTTTTAGATCTTATGTTTAAGTCTTTAATACATCGTGAGCTAATTTTTGTGTAAGGTGTAAGGAAGGGATCCAGTTTCAGTTTTCTGCATATGGCTAGCCAGTTTTCCCAACACCATTTATTAAAAAGGGAATCGTTTCCCCATTGCTTGTTTTTGTCAGGTTTGTCAAAGATCAGATAGTTGTAGATGTGTGGCGTTATTTCTGAGGCCTCTGTTCTGTTCCATTGGTCTACATATCTGTTTTGGTACCAGTACCATGCTGTTTTGGTTACTGAAGGCTTGTAGTATAGTTTGAAGTCAGACAGCGTGATGCCTCCAGATTTGTTCTACTTGCTTAGGACTGTCCTAGCTCTGCGGGCTCATTTTTGGTTCCATATGAAATTTAAAGTAGTTTTTTCCAATTCTGTGAACAAAGTCAGTGGTAGCTTGATGGGGATAGCATTGAGTCTATAAAAACTTTGGGCAGTATGTCCATTTTCATGATATTGATTCTTCCTATCCATGAGCATGGAATGTTTTTCCATTTGTTTGTGTCCTCTCTTATTTCCTTGAGCAGTGGTTTGTAGTTCTCCTTGAAGAGGTCCTTCACATCCCTTGTAAGTTGGATTCCTAGGTATTTTATTCTCATAGTAGCAATTGTGAATGGGAGAGTTCACTCATGATTTGGCTCTCTGTTTGTCTGTTTTTTGCATATAGGAATGCTTGATTTTTGCACATTGATTTTGTATCCTGAGACTTTTCTGAAGTTGCTTATTAGCTTAAGAAGATTTTGGGCTGAGACCATGGGGTTTTCTAAATACACAATCATGTCATCTGCAAACAGAGACAATTTCTTTCTCTTGCCTGATTGCCCTGGCCAGAACTTCCAATACTACGTTGAATAGGAGTGGTGAGATAGGGCATCCTTGTCTTGTGCTGGTTTTCAAAGGGAATGCTTCCAGTTTTTCACCATTCAGTATTGGCTGTGGGTTTTTCATAAATAGGTATTATTATTTTGAGATATGTTCCATCAGTACCTAGTTTATTGAGAGTTTTTAGCATGAAGGGCTGCTGAATTTTGTCGAAGGCCTTTTCTGCATCTATTGAGAGAAGCATGTGGTTTTTGCCATTGGTTCTATTTATATGATGAATTATGTTTATTGATTTGCGTATGTTGAACTAGCCTTGTATCCCAGGGATGAAGCCGACTTGATTGTGGTGGACAAGCTTTTGATGTGCTGCTGGATTTGGTTTGCCAGTATTTTATTGAGGATTTTTGCATCGATGTTCATCAGGGATATTGGCTTGAAATTTTCTTTTTTTTGTGTGTGTCTCTGCCAAATTTTGGTACCAGAATTATTCTGGCCTCATAAAATGAGTTAGGGAGGATTCTCTCTTTTTCTGTTGTTTGGAATAGTTTCAGAAGGAATGGTACCAACTCCTCTTTGTACCTCTGGTAGAATTCGGCTGTGAATCCATCTGGTCCTGGACTGTTTTTTGGTTGGTAGGCTATTAATTACTGCCACAATTTCAGACCTTGTTATTGGTCTATTCAGGGATTCAACTTCTTCCTGGTTTAGTCTTGGGAGGGCGTATGTGTCCAGGAATTTGTCCATTTCTTCTAGATTTTCTAGTTTGTGTAGAGGTGTTTATAGTATTCTCTGATAGTAGTTTGTATTTCTGTGGGATCAGTGGTGGTATCTCCTTTATCATTTTTTATTGCATCTGTTTGATTCTTCTCTGTTTTCTTCTTTATGAGTCTGGCTAGTGGTCTATCTATTTTATTGATATTTTCAAAAAACCAGCTCCTGGATTCATTGATTTTTTTTTGAAGGTTTTTTTGTGTCTCTATCTCCTTCAGTTCTGCTCTGATCTTAGTTATTTATTGTCCTCTGCTAGCTTTTTGTATGCTCCTGCCTCTTGAGTTCTTTTAATTGAGATGTTAGGGTGTCAATTTTAGATCTTTCCTGCTTTCTCTTGTGGGCATTTAGTGCTATAAATTTCCCTCTACACACTGCTATAATTGTGTACCAGAGATTCTGGTATGTTATGTCTTTGTTCTCATTGGTTTCAAATAACTTATTTATTTCTGCCTTAATATCTTTATTTACCCAGTAGTTGTTCAGGAGCAGGTTGTTCAGTTTACATGTAGTTGTGTGGGTTTGAGTCAGTTTCTTAATCCTGAGTTCTAATTTAATTGCACTGCGATCTGAGAGACTGTTATGATTCCCATTTTTTTTTGCATTTGCTGAGGAGTGTTTTACTTCCAAATATGTGGTCAATTTTAGAATAAGTGCAATGTGGTGCTGAGAAGAATGTATATTCCGTTGATTTGGGGTGGAGAGTTCTGTAGCTGCCTATTGGATCCACTTGGTCCAGAGCTGAGTTCAAGTCCTGGATATCCTTGTTAACTTTCTGTTTCGTTGATCTGTCTAGTATTGACAGTGGGGTGTTAAAGTCTCCCACTATTATTGTGTGAGGGTCTAAGTCTCTTTTTAAGTCTCTAAGAGCTTACTTTATGCATCTGGGTGCTCCTGTGTTGGGTGCATATATATTTAGGATAATTAGCTCTTCTTGTTGCATTGATCCTTTTACCATTATGCAATGCCCTTATTTGTCTCTTTTGATCTTTGTTGGTTTAAAGTCTGTTTTATCAGAGACTAGGATTGCAACCCCTGCTTTTTTTTGCCTTCCATTTGCTTGGTAAGTATTCCTCCATCCCTTTATTTTGAGCCTATTTGTGTCTTTGCACGTGAGATGGGTCTCCTGAATACAGAACACTGATGGGTCTTGACTCTTTAGCCAATTTGCCAGTCTGTGTTTTTTAATTGGAGCATTTAGCCCATTTACATTTAAGGTTGATATTGTTATGTGTGAATTTGATCCTGTCATTACGATGCTAGCTGGTTATTTTGCTGTTAGTTAATGCAGTTTCTTCATAGTGTCAACGGTCTTTACAATTTGGTATGTTTTTGCAGTGGCTGATACCAGTTGTTCCTTTCCATGTTTAGTGCTTCCTTCAGGAGCTCCTTTAAGGCAGGCCTGGTGGTGACAAAATCTCTCAGCATTTGCTTGTCTGTAAAGGATTTTATTTCTCCTTCACTTATGAAGCTTAGTTTGGCTGGATATGAAATCCTGGGTGGAAAATTCTTTTCTTTAAGAATGTTGAATATTGGCCCCCATTCTCTTCTGGCTTGTAGAGTTTCTGCTGATAGATCTGCTGTTAGTCTGATGGGCTTCCCTTTGTGGGTAACCTGACCTTTCTCTCTGGCTGCCCTTAACATTTTTTCCTTCATTTCAACCTTGCTCAATCTGATGACTATGTGTCTTGGGGTTGCTTTTCTTGAGGAGTGTCTTTGTGATGTTCTCCATATTTCTGAATTTGAATATTGGCCTGCCTTGCTAGGTTAGGGAAGTTCTCCTGGATAATATCCCGAAGAGTGTTTTCTAACTTGGTTCCATTCTCCCCATCACTTTCAGGTACAGCAATCAAACGTAGATTTGGTCGTTTCACATAGTCCCATATTTCTTGGAGGCTTTGTTCATTTCTTTTCATTCTTTTTTCTCTAATCTTGTCTTCTTGATTTATTTCATTAAGTTGATATTCAGTCTCTGATATCTTTCTTCCGCTTGACCGAATCAGTGCTTGATCCTTGTGCATGCTGCATGAAGTTCTCATGGCGTGTTTTTCAGCTCCATCAGGTCATTTATGTTCTTCTCTAAACTGGTTATTCTAGTTAGCAAGTGGTCTAGCCTTTTTTCCAGGTCCTTAGCTTCCTTACATTGGGTTAGGACATGCTCCTTTAGCTTGGAGGAGTTTGTTATTACCTACCTTCTGAAACCTACTTCTCTCAATTCGTCAAACTCATTCTCTGTCCAGTTTTCTTTTGTTCCCTTGCTGGTGAGGAGTTGTGATCCTTTGGAGGAGAAGAGGCGTTCTGGTTTTTGGAATTTTCAGCCTTTTTGCTCTGGTTTCTCTCCATCTTCATGGATTTATCTACCTGTGGTTTCTGATGTTGGTGACCTTCTGATGGGGTCACTGAGTGGCTGTCCTTTTTGTTGATGTTGATGCTATTCCTTTTTGTTTGTTAGTTTTCCTTCTAACAGTCAGGCCCCTCTGCTGCAGGTCTGTTGGGGTTTGCCCTAGGTCTACTCTAGACCCTGTTTGCCTGGGTATCACCAGCAGAGGCTGGAGAACAGCCAAGATTGCTGCCTGTTTCTTCCTCTGGAAGTTTTGTCCCAGAGGGGCACCCACCAGATGCCAGCCAGAGCTCTCCTGTATGAGGTGCCTGTTGGCACCTACTGGGAGGTGTCTCCCAGTCAGGATACACGGGGGTCAGGGACCCACTTGAGGAGGCAGTCTGACCCTTATCAGAGCTCGAATACTGTGCAGGGAGATCTGCTGCTCTCTTCAGAGCCATCAGGCTTTTCAAAGATGCTTTAAGTCTGCTGAAGCTGTGCCCACAGCCGCCCTTTCCCCTAGGTGCTCTGTTCCAGGGAGATGGGGGTTTTATCTATAGGTCTCTGACTGGGGCTGCTGCCCTTTTTTCAGAGATGCCTTGCCCAGAGAGGAGAAATCTAGAGAGGCAGTCTGGCTGCTGTGGCCTTGCTGAGTTGTGGTGGGCTCCACCCAGTTCAAACTTTCTGGTGGCTTTGTTTACACAGTGGGGGTAAAACTGCCTACTCAAGCCTTGGCAATGTGGAAGCCCCTCCCCCCACCAAGCTCTAGTGTCCTAGGTCAACCTCAGACTGCTGTGCAAGAATTTCAAGCCAGTGGATCTTAGCTTGCTGGGCTCTGTAGGGGTGGGACCCGCCGAGCCAGACCACTTGGCTCCCTGGCTTCAGCCCCCTTTCCAGGAGAGAGAATGGTTCTGTCTTGTTGGCATTCCAGTTGCCACTGTGGCATGAAAAAAAAAAAACCTCCTGCAGCTAGCTCGGTGTCTGCCCAAACAGCTGCCTAGTTTTGTGCTTGAAACCTAGGGCCTTGGTGGCAGAGGCACTGGAGGGAATCTCCTGGTCTGTGGATTGTGAAGACCATGAGAAAAGCATAGTTTCTGGGTGGAGTGCACCGTTCCTCATGGTACAGTCCCTCGGGGCTTCCCTTGGCTAGGGGAGGGAATTCCCCCAACCCCTTGCACTTCCTGGGTGAGGCAACACCCCATTCTGCTTTGGCTCACCCTCCGTGGGCTGCACCCACTGTCCAACCAGTCCCAGTGAGATGAACCAGGTACCTCAGTTGGAAATGCAGAAATCACCTGCATTCTGCATTGATCTCACTGGGAGCTGCAGACTGGAGCTGTTCCTATTTGGCCATGTTGCCAGCAAATTCTGAGATTTTTTTCAAAAGTGCAAAGAAAGACATCTGAGGGGTGCTGACATATTCGGGTCACCTCAAGCCACATGCCAGCTTGCTTGCCCCTGTTGGATTCAGCAGAGGGAGATAGGCCTTGCCATACCTGTGGTGTCTGCCAAAGCTTCCTCCTGGCAATTCTTGGGAGTGCTGATACCTGGGCCACAGTTAGTCCAAGTTTATCACTGAAGATCCTATCAAAGTTTTGTCTGAAATTCCACTTTTGCCTTTTGTCCTAAGTGGTTGTGGACATCTCCAGGGGCTGATACCAAGGACTAGGAACAGCTGAGGGAGGCAGAAAGGTTCAGAGTACATCTCTATTTACAGGGAACAGAACACCGGCCTCCGAGAGTCCATGGAGCAATGGGAAAATTGCAGTGATTACTCATCACTGTGAAACTTCTACTTTGAATACAGTATCTTCTGGCAAGCATAGGGGACTGCAGTCGACAATGCTGCTGAATATACCTGAGTACATAGTAAGACATTTGTTTGGTAAACAGTCAATGCATACAATAAATTACCTTGAGAGGGCCATCTGTGCTCCAGATGTGAGAGTTCATGTGAATAGAATGGCTGCAATTCAAAGAATCTTCACAGGAAAACAGGGCTCAGAGCTCATCCACAATGGACAGACAGGGAGGGAAACAGGTGGAGGTTAGTTCACCACTTCCTCATAAGAAGGTAATAAATAGTTTGGTGAAATAAAATGGTAGCACTGAGTAATTGCGGGCTTCTGGATAGGCAGTCAGGTTGATTTCATGTTGCTACTGCTGGACTTGAGGGCTGGCTTGGCTGTGGTGGCAGACACAGCAGCAGCTCAGGATGATGGTGATGGTCCACGCCAGCCAGAACCACCAATGTTCATAGTAGTAGTTACAACACTGAGACTGCCCATAGCAGTGTCCTGTTGTGTCACAGATGTAGCTTTGATTGTTGGTACACACACAGGCTTCCTTATCCTGTGGGGGTTCAGCCCTGGCTGACACAGGGCTGGGCAGTGCCTAGAGGTGCAAGAGCTCCATGCCACCCAGGAGTCTTCCCTCCATACTCCTCCTGCTCCTCCGACCCAGCGTGGGCACCTCCCTCCACCCTTGCTGCACTTCTCCTCTACCCTCTTCTTCCTTCTTTTGTTCTTTTCCTGTAATATGTTTTGAAGTCAGATTGTGAGGCCTTCAGCTTTGTTCTTATTGCTCAAGAGTCCTTTAGTTATTCAGGATCCTTTGTGGTTCCATATAAATTTTCAAATTGTTTTTTCTATTTCTGTGAAGAATGACATTGAAATTTTGATAAATATTGCATTAAACCTATAAATCGCTTTGGGCAGTAAGGACATTTTAAGAATATTAATTCTTCCTACCCATGAACATAAAATATCTTTCCATGTATTTGTGTCATCTACAATTTTTCATCAATGTTTTATAGTGTTCAGAATACAGATCTTTCACCTCCTTGGTTAAATGTACTCCTAAGTACAATCCTAAATGTGCTCCTAAACAAAAAAAATACGTTTTTTTTGATGCTACTGTGAATGAGATTGATTTCTTTATTTTTGTCATATAGTTTGTTGTGAGTGTAAAGAAACTACTGAGTTTTGTACATTGATTTTGAATTCTGAAATTTTATTGAATTCATTTATCATTTCTAATAGCTTTTTGGTGGAGTTTTTAGGGTTTCCTATATATAATATGTCATCAAACAGAGACAATTTTACTTCTTCCTTTTCAATTTGAATCTTTTATTTCTTTATTTGGCTTAATTGCTCTGGCTAGGACTTCCAGAAATAAGTTGAATAGAAGTAGTGAGAATAAATATCCTTGTCTTGTTTTTGATCTTAGCAGAAAAGATTTCACTTTTTCATTGTTGGGTATGATGTGAGCTGTGAGCTTGTTATATATGTCCTGTTTTGTGTTAAGGTACATGCCTTCTATGCCCAATTTGTTGAGAGGTTTAGTCATGAGAGGATTTTGAATTTAGTCAAATGCTTTTTCTGCATATATAGAGATAGCTATTTTTTTATCCTTCATTCTGTTAATGTGGTTTATCACATTTGATTTGTGTTTGCTGAAACATCTGGAGGATAAATCCACTTTATCATGGTAAATGTTCTCCTAATATGTTGTTAAATTCTGCTTGCTAGTACTTTTTTTTGAGGACTTTTGTATCTGTGTTCATCAGGGATATTGGTTGGCCCATACTTTTCTTATAGTGTCCTTGTTTGCCTTTTTATTTTTATTTTTATTTATTTATTTTTTAAATTATACTTTAAGTTTTAGGATACATGTGCACAACGTACAGGTTAGTTACATATGTATACATGTGCCATACTGGTGTGCTGCACCCATTAACTCATCATTTAACATTAGGTATATCTCCTAATGCTATCCCTCCCCCCTCCCCCCACCCCACAACAGGCCCCAGTGCTAATATCCGGAATCTACAATGAACCCAAACAAATTTACAAGAAAAAAACAAACAACCCCATCAAAAAGTGGGCAAAGGATATGAACAGACACTTCTCAAAAGAAGACATTTATGCAGCCAAAAAACACATGAAAAAATGCTCACTATCACTGGCCATCAGAGAAATGCAAATCAAAACCACAATGAGATACCATCTTACACCAGTTAGAATGGCCATCATTAAAAAGTCAGGAAACAACAGGTGCTGGAGAGGATGTGGAGAAATAGGAACATTTTTACACTGTTGGTGGGACTGTAAACTAGTTCAACCATTGTGGAAGACAGTGTGGCGATTCCGCAGGGATCTAGAACTAGAAATACCATTTGACCCAGCCATCCCATTACTGGGTATATACCCAAAGGACTATAAATCATGCTGCTATAAAGACACATGCACACGTATGTTTACTGTGGCACTATTCACAATAGCAAAGACTTGGAACCAATCCAAATGTCCAACAATGATAGACTGGATTAAGAAAATGTGGCACATATACACCATGGAATACTATGCAGCCATAAAAAATGATGAGTTCATGTCCTTTGTAGGGACATGGGTGAAGCTGGAAACCATCATTCTCAGCAAACAATCACAAGGACAAAAAACCAAACACCGCATGTTCTCACTCATAGGTGGGAATTGGACAATGAGAACACATGGACACAGGAAGGGGAACATCACTTTAAAAAAAAACAATAATGCTGATCTTTTAAAATGAGTTTGGAAATACTCTTTCTCCTTCAAGTTTTTGGAAGAATTTCAGAAGGATTGTATTATTATTTTTTAAAATGTTAGAATTCAGCAATGAAGTTTTCTGGTCCTGGGATGTTCTTTGATGGGAGATGTTTTATTATTGATATACTCTCCATACTCAGTATTGTTCTGTTCAGATTTTATCTTTCTTCTTGACTTTCTCTAGGTAAGTTGCATTTTTCTAGAAATTTATCTGCTTTTTCTAGGTTATCCAATTTGTTGGCTTGTAATTGTTTATAGTGGCCTCTTATGATCCTCTGTATTTCTGTGGTATTAGTTGCAATATTTCCTCTTTCATTTCTGATTTTATTGCTTTGAGTATTCTCTCATTTTTCTAGTCTAGCTAATGGTTTGTCAGTTTTATCTTTTCAAAGAACAAATTCTTAGTCTCATTGATCTGTTCTATTTTCTTTCACAGTCTTTTTTGTATTTGAAGGACTTGTATTTGTTAACTGGCTCAAGCCTGGACATTTGTTGAGGTGCTATGAGTCTCTATTGCTCTCATTTCTCTTCACTAGACATAGAAATTTTCTGATTACACGAATCAAATAAGACTAATAAGCTTCCCAGGGATGAATCCCACTTAAGCATGGTGAATTTTTTTGCTGTTTTTTTTTTAAAATAATATTTGCTAATATTTGGCTGAAGGTTTTTCCATCCAAGTTCATCAGGAGTATTGGTCTGCAATTTATTTTTATTATAGTGTCCTTCTCTGGTTTTGGTATCAGGGTAATGCTGGTTTTGAAAAATGAATTTGAAAGTATTCCTCTTCTTCATTTTTTTTGGAAGAGTTTGGGAAGGATTGGTGTTAGTCATCTAAGTGTTTGTTGGAATTCAGCCACCAAGCCATTCAATCCTTGGTCTTTCTTTTATGAGAGACCTTTCATTGGTGATTTAATTTCCTTATTCATGATTTCTTCTAAATTTTGAATTCTTCATGATTCAGTTTTGGTACGAGTTTATCAATTTCTTCTAGGTTATCTAATTTGCTGGTGAATAATTGTTTATAGTAGTATGTTATGATTTTTTAACTTCTGTGGTATCAGTTGTAATGTCTCTTCTTTCACTTCTGAGTTTGTTTTCTTTTTTCTTAGTCTATGTAAGAATTTGTTAATTTTGTTTATCTTTTCAAAAAACAATTCTTATTTTTATTGAAATTTTCAGTTTCTATTATATTATTTCTGCTCTGATCTTTGTTATTTGTTTCCTTCTGCTATCTTTGGGCTTGTATTGTTCTCTAATTTTCTCGCTCCTTTAGGCATAATATTAGGTTGCTTATTTGAGATCTTTTTTTTCTTTTTTGATGTAGGCATTTATTGCTATAAATGTCCCTCTTATAACTGCTTTTGTTGCATCCCATATGTTTTAGTATGTTATGTTTCCATTTTCATGCTACCTGATTTTAGAATATATTTCAAAGCATGGTGTATAGTGCTTTTAAAAAGAGGCTATATATAGGTATATATAAAAACAATACACACATTATATATAAACTATGACATGCTTGTAAAGAAAAGAGAACATAAAGTTTCTGAGGAAATAATTAGAAGAACAAGAGGATGCAAAGGGGTCTGTCAAAGATTCAGTGAAATGAGGGTTTTTGGATATTCACAGCTAATAGATTAATGCATTAGGAATGAGCAAAAAAATTGATGGTAGTCAAACAGAGGGAGGGAGGTAGATTTTGAATGATTCAAAGCAGGAGTGTTTTGAAGATAAACAGAATAACTAAAAAGAAAGACTCAGATGAAAAGCCTAGATTTAAAGCATTTGAATCAAGAGGTGGTAATCTAGGAATTAGGTTGATTTCTTTTTTTTTAAATTTGTGTAGCTTTTTATTTTATTTTTTATTATACTTTAAGTTTTAGGGTACATGTGCACAAAGTGCAGGTTTGTTACATATGTATACATGTGCCATGTTGGTGTGCTGCACCCAGAAGACTGGTTAATTTCAATAACCTAAAAATCCACAAGGTGGGAGTGTTTCACTGAAGCCAGTTGTTAGAGAAACGTTAGAACCAACTTCCTTTTTTTCTCTGTCCCTTCTTCTCTGCTTTCTTCTTTTCTCCTCCTCCGCCTCCTCCCTTTACTCTCCTTCTTCTCTCTCTGTTTTTCTAATCATGAAAACAAATGAAAAAAACTATGAGCAAGAGCACAGAAAAAAGACTAGCAAAGACTGCAGTTATTGAAAGTATCAGATACAGAAAATAAAATAAAATAACTATATTTAGTATGTTTAAAGTAAAACAAAAAATTAAAAATATCATAATGGAACAGGAAACTCTAGAGAATGGCCAAGAAGATTAAAAGAAAACAAATAGAATGTCCATAGAGAATAACATAATTGAAATTTAAACCCAAATGAATGGTTTTAACAGAATATTAGTATGTTAGAAGCAGTTGAAGAGTGAACTAGTAAACTGTAATATAGGTCAGAAGGGGCTATCCAAAATGAACACAGGAATAAAGACATGGAAAATAAGAAACATGTAGTTAGGAGACATGGAAGACAGAGGGGGAAATGCTAAAAAGTTTTAAAGAGTGTTTCAGAAGGAGAGAAAGGAGATCATGAATCAGTGTATATATTTTTTAAATTTTATTTTATGTTCTGGGATACACGTGCAGAAAGTATAGGTTTGATACATAGGTAAATGTGTGCCATGGTGGTTTGCTGCACCCATCAACCCATCACCTAGGTATGAGGCCCTGCATGCATTAGCTATTTGTCCTGATGGTCTTCTACCCCCCGTCCCCCTGAGAGGCCCTGGTGTGTGTTGTTCCCCTCCATGTATCCACGTGTTTGTCTTGATGGTCTCCTACCCCCTGTCCCCCTGAGAGGCCCTGGTGTGTGTTATTCCCCTCCATGTATCCACGTGTTTGTCCTGATGGTCTCCTACCCCCTGTCCCCCTGAGAGGCCCTGGTGTGTGTTGTTCCCCTCCATGTATCCACGTGTTTGTCTTGATGGTCTCCTACCCCCTGTCCCCCTGAGAGGCCCTGGTGTGTGTTGTTCCCCTCCATGTATCCACGTGTTTGTCCTGATGGTCTCCTACCCCTGTCCCGCTGAGAGGCCCTGGTGTGTGTTGTTCCCCTCCATGTATCCATGTGTTTGCTCTCATTGTTCAACTCCCTCTTACGACTGAGAACATGTGGTGTTTGGTTTTCTTTTCCTGTGTTAGTTTGCTGAGGGTGATGGCTTCCAGCTTCATCCATGTCCCTGCAAAGAACATGATCTCATTTATTTTAACGGCTGCATAGTATTCCATGGTGAATATATATCACATTTTCTTTATCCAATATATCATTGATGGGCATTTGGGAGGATTCCATGTATTTTCTATCGTAAATAGTGCTGCAATAAACATATGTGTGCATGTATATGTATGTGTGTGTGTATATATATGTAGTTATAATATGTATATATATGTGTATATATATACACATATATATACATTTACATATATAATATCTGTATATATGTATATATATGTGTATATATATGTATGTATATGTATATATATATATTTTTTTAAGATGGAGTTTTGCTCTTGTTGCCCAGGCTGGAGTGCAATGGTATGATCTTGGCTCACTTTGACCTCTGCCTCCTGGGTTCCAGCGATTCTCCTGCCTCAGCCTCCAAAGTAGCTGGTATTACAGGTGTGCACCACTATACCTGGCTAATTTTTGTATTTTTAGTAGAGATGGAGTTTCCCCATGTTGGCTAGGCTGGTCTCAAACTCCTGTCCTCAGGTGATCCACCCGCCTTGGCCTCCCAAAGTGCTGGGATTACAGGTGTGAGCCACTGCACCCAGCCCTGTGCATGTATCTTTATAATAGAATGATTTATATTCCTTTGGGCATATATCCAGTAAAGGGATTGCTGGGGCAAATGGCATTTCTGGTTCTAGATCTTTGAGGAATTTTCACACTGCCTTCCACAGTGAATGAACTAATTTACATTCCCACAAACAGTGTAAAAACATTCCTATTTCTCCACAGCCTTACCAGCAACTGTTGTTTCTGGAGTTTTTGATAATCACCATTAAGACTGGTTTGAGATAGTATCTCATTGTGGTTTTGAGTTGCATTTCTCTAATGATCAGTGATTTGAGCTTTTTTTCATATGTTTGTTGGCCACATCCATGTCTTCTTTTGAGAATTGTCTGTTCATGTCCTTTGGCCAATTTTTGATGGTTTTTTTTTTTTCTTGTAAATTTAAGTTCTCCATAGGAGCAGGTGCTCTAATTGCTTGGAGGTCTGCCTATGTGTGGAGATGAGAGGGCCTCACTGCACTATAATCTCAGCACAGGAAGGTTGGGGAAGCTCAGGCTGCTGATCCAGTCAAGTGGGTACTCCACATACCTGGAAATCTGCCTGGCCATAGACTGGAGAGGGCCCCACTGCACCACAACCTATGTTTATAAACGGTGGGGTAGCTCAGGATGCTGGTCCAGGTAGACAGGTGCTCCAATGCCTGAATTTCTGCCTGGGGGTGAAGCAGAGAAAGCCCTGCTGTATCACATTCTCAGGGGAACAGGCTGGGGCACCCAGCAATGACACCTGCAGACTGGTTGTAGGTCTCCAAGCTGGCCCTGGCTGCAAGTTTCATCACCTGGGAGAAATTACAGCTGTAGCAGCTTTTCTGTTGCCCCGAGGCTGCGATGGGGGAAAGCACAATTCCAGCACATACTGCTGAGGTGTTTTCCACAATATGGCTGTGAAGGTCCCTACCAAGCCCCAAAGCAGTTGTTCCAATCTTTGGCCTGAGACTAAAATGCCTGTGCAGGCATTCTGCTGGGTCACAAAAAGAAAAAAAAAAGCTGACTTTGCATGCATCCAGATTGAAAATGGCATCTTGCTCTTACTTCCTGGTCTGGGAAAATGTCTGCAGCTGTTCCCAGTGTCTTTGCTTCACAGCATCTCCAAGCCTCTCCCCATGTTGACTCCAGGCCTTGGGAGAAACAAAATGCAACAACTTGGCTGGGGTTGCTCAGATTCACAGTGAAAATGTCAGTTACAGAGGGAGGCTCTCTGCCTCTCTCACATACTAGGACTTCGCTCACTTTTATAAGCTGGTTGCTGTCATGTTGACTGTTTGCTCACATTCTCCTTCTTGGGATCTATGATGTCCTTCATGATTCTGGTGGATTCCCATTTTCCTTCTTGACTTAGAGCTCACAGAGTTGACCTTTGTGCACTCTCTTGCTATTTCTAAGTGGCCGAGGCACACTAAAAGCCTCTAATTTATCATCTTGGGAAAAAAACAAAACAGGGAAGTTTGCTTTTGCAAATTGTTGTTTGTGGGGGTCTGTCCTGCAGACCCCAGCTGCACGAGGGATGAATAATGTACTCAGACACCAATTATTCAGTGAAAGAGCCGCTAGGGGGCTGGGCCATGCACAGAAAGAGTTCTGGCAGCCACGAGCCCTGACTAGCTAGCCCTGCCAGCATTTATTGAAAAAACATTAAATGACAGGGGCTTTTAGTCAACACAAATAGAGGGTAATTAACCTGGTCACCCTCCCCCGAGAGAGAGCCATCCTGCCTGTGAATGATCAAAGGTTGGCTTCAGGACCACATGAGTAAACAAGTTATTTAGATAAACTCCCTTACATTCCTTTGCACCTACTTTAAGCTATTTACTCAAGGAAGGATTAGGCCGCCTTCATTCAGATCTATTACTGAAGCTATACAACACCCCCAGCCTTCCATGAAGGTTTGTGTCGATTTCTTATAACTATCTTTAAAATTTTTCCCACCAGCCTGACTGAACTCCCACAGTTGTTGCTACTTTTTGAAATTGAAATACTTCTAGGAAGACTGATTAAGAACAATATAGAGAAAAGACATATTTTTCAAACTCCTGATGAAGAAGAAACATCCGTATTAATATATAGCTAATAAAAAGATAAGAGATGTTGTGGAAAACTTCATACAAGGGTGCCCACTCTCAGAACTTCTATTCAACATAGTACTGGATGTCCTAGCCAGAGCAATTAGGCAAAAGAAAGAAATAAAAGGCATGAAAATTGGAAAGGAAGAAGTTAAATTGTTTCTGTTTGCAGTTGACATGATCTTATATATAGAAAACACCAATAACTCTGCCAAAAAATTTAGAATTCATAAATGAATTTAGTAAAGTTGCAGGATACAATGTGAACATACAAAATTCGGTAGCATTTCTACACATCAACAACAAACTATACAAAAAAAGAAATCAAGAAAACAATCCTATTTATAATAGCAACAAAAAATACTTAGATGTAAATTTAAACAAAGAGGTGAATGATCTTTACACTGAAAACTACAAAACATTGATGAAAACAATTGAAGAAGCCACAAATAAATGGAAAGATATCTCATGTTCATGGATTGGAAAAAGTAATATGTTTGAAATGTCCATACTATCCAAAGTGATGTACATATTGAATGCAATCTCTATCAAAATTCCTATGACATTTTCCCACAGAAATAGAAAAACAACTCTCAAATCTGTATGGAATCACAAAAAACTCTGAAAAGCCAAAATAATCTTGATCGAAAAAAGCAAGGCAGGAGATATCACATTACCTGACTTCAAATTATACTACATAGCTATAGCAATCGAAACACCATGGTACTGGCATAAACGCAGACACATAGACCAATTACACAGAATAAAGAGCCCATAAATAAATCTACATATTATAGTCAACTGACTTTCAACAAAGGTGCCAGGAACACACATGGGGAAAGAACAGTCTCTTCAAAAAATGGTGTTGAGAAAACTGAATGTCCACAAGATTGATCTTAGGCCCTTATTTCATACCATATAAAAATATAAATTCAAAATAAGTTAGACTTAAATGTAAGACCTAGCACTATAGAACTCCTAGAAGAAAACAGGGGAATAACTCCAAGACATTGGTCTGGGCAATAATATTTTATGATATGACTCTAAAGCACAGGCAAGAAAAGCAACAAAACACAAATGGAATAGCATCAACCTAAAAAGCTTCTGCACAGCAAAAGAAAGTCAACAGAGTGAAGTGATAACCTACAAAATGGGAGAAATTATCTGCAAACTATACATTTGATAAGAGGCTAATGTCCAAAATATCTTAGGAACTCAAACAACACAATAATAAGAAAACAAGGATCCCTAATGAAAAATTGACAAAGGATCTAAATAGACATTTCTCAAAAGAAGACATACAAATGGCCAACAGATATATAAAAATGCTAATTATCACTGATCATCAGAGAAATGCATATTAAAACTACAATAAAATGCCATTTCACATCCGTTAGAATGGCTGTTACAGAAAAGGCAGAAGATACCAAGTGTTGGAGAGGATGTGGAGAAAAGGAAAACCTTGTAATTGTTGAGAATGTAAACTATTTCAGCCATTGTAAAAGACAGTATAAATGATTCTGTAAAAATAGAATTACCATATGATTCAGTAATGCTATTTCTGGGCATATATTAAAAAGATATCAAATCAGTGTGTCAATGAGTTATCTGTACTCCCATATTTATTGTAGCATTATTCACAACAGCCAAGATGTGGAATTAACTTAAGTATCCATCGACACATGAGTGGATGAAGAAAATGTGGCACACATACACAATAGAATAGTATACAACCTTAAAAAATAAAAAAAGTATCATTTGTGACAACATGAATGAACCGGGAGGACATTATACTGAGTAAAATAATCCAGGCACAGAAAGCCAGATACTGCATAATCTCACTTGTATGTGGAGGTCTAAGAAGGCTGAACACATAGAAGTACAGAGTAGAATGATGGTTACCAGGAGGATTGGGTAGATGTTGGTCAAAGGGTACAAAATTGCATTGTACAGGAGGAATGAATTCAACAGATCTATTGTGCAATATGGTGACTATAGTGGATAACAATGTATTGTTTTTAAATTTAATTTTTGTGGGTACATAGCAGGTGTACACATTTATGGGGTACATGAAATATTTTGGTACAGGCATGCAATGTACAATAAGTACATAATGGAAAATTGGATATTCATCCCCTCAAGCATTTATTATTTGTGTTATAAACAATCCAATTATACTCTTTCAGTTATTTTTAAATGTATAATTGAATTTTAGACTGCAATCCCCCTGTTGTGCTATCAAATACTAGGTCTTATTAAATCTTTCTTTTTTTGTACCCATTAACCATCCCCCACCTCTCCCAACCCCCACTACCCTTCACAGCCTCTGGTATACTTCCTTCTACTCTCTATCTCCATGAGTTCAGTTGTTTGCTTTTTGGATTCCACATATAAGTGATAACACATAGTATTTGTCTTTTTGTGCCTGGCTTATTTCACTTAACATAATGACCTCCAGTTTCATCTATGTTGTTGCAAATGACAGGGTCTCATTCCTTTTTATGGCTGAATAATACTTCATTGTATATAAGTACCACATTTTCTTTATTCATTCATCTGTTGATGGACACTTAGGTTGACTCCATAACTTCGCTATTGAAAATAGTGCTGCAACAAATACGGGAGTGCAGATATCTCTTCGATATACTGATTTCTTTTTTGGGGGGTATATATGCAGCAGTGGGATTGCTGGACCACATGGTAGCTCTATTTTTACTTTTTTGAGGAGCCTTCAAACTGTTCTCCATAGGGGATGTACTTGTATTCTTCAAAATTGCTAAGAGTAGATTTTTAAGTGTTCTCATAAAAAAAGATAAGCATGTAAGGTAATGCATATGTTAGCTTAACATGGCTATTTTACAATGAATATATATTTCAAAACATATAATTTTATTTATCTGATAAAATAAATATAAAATATGAAACTTTATATTAATAAATTTGACAATCATAAGGAATGGTCAAGTTCCTATGAAAAATACCTACTTTTATGAAATGATCAGAAAAAAACTAGAAAAACTGAGTAGTTTTTTTTTCATTGTAGAAATTTTATTTAGAAAATTTTTTTTTCCTGTAGAAAGAACTCCAGGGCTAGGTGGATGCAATATTTAATAAAGAAATATTACCAAATATTTAATAAAGAAATAATGCCAATGTTACATGAATATTTTTAGAGAATTGGGAAGACATAACACTTTCCAACTTGTTTTATATGGTGGTACCTCCATGATAGTAAAACCATACAAGGATATTAAAAGAAATGAAATTACAGACTAATATACTACATAATAATTCTAAACAAAAATGTTTGCAAATATAATCCAACAATATACTCCAAAGAAAAATACATCGTGACTAAGTGCAGTAATTTCAAGAATGTATGGTTTAAAATTAGAAAACCAAACAATGAAATTAACCACATTAACTGAATAAAAGAAAAAAATATGGTTATTTCAATAGCTGTGGGAAAAGCACTTGTTCACATTTGAAACTATTTGTAATAATAACAAACTAGGAATAGAAGAGAACTGATGTAAATATCTTAATATATACACAAAAACTACTCTCAACATTATAAATAATCATGACATATTAAACAGTTTCATTCTAACACGAGGAACAAGGTACACATGTCCAGCTCAACACTTTATTCATCATTAAAATAATACTGTGCAGTAAAATTAACAAGGAAAATTTTAAAAAGAACACAAAAGAAAACTACAAATCCTTATCCCTGATCAACACAGATGTAAAAATACTCAACAAAATTCTAGCAAACTGAAGCTAACAACACATCAAAAAGATAATTCATCATGATCAAGTGGGCTTTATTCCAGGGGTGCTTGAATGGTTCAAAATAGACAAATCAATAAACATGATTCACCACATAAATGGAACTGAGAACAAAAACCCTATGATCATCTCATTAGATGCAGAATAAGCATTTGATAAAATCCAACATCTGTTTATGATAAAAACCCTCAACAATATAGGTATAGATGGAGTATACCTCAAAAAATGAGTCATCTATGACAAAGCCACAGCCAACATCATCCTGGATGGGCAAAAGTTAGAAGTGTTGCTTCTAGAAACTGGAAAAAAGCAAGGATGTTCACCTTCTTCATTCCTATTCAATACAGTACTGGAAGTGCTAGCCAGAACTATCAGAAAGGAGAAAGAAATAAAAGGTATACAAATTAGAAAAGAAGTCAAATGATCTCTGCTCACTGATGACATGACTGTAGGCCTAGAAAACCCTAAAGTCTTCAGAAGACTCCTAGACTTGATACACGACTTCAGTAAAGTCTTGGGATAAACAAGCCACAAAAATCAGTTGTATTTCTATACACCAAATACATTCAAGCTGTTTGAATGTTTGTTGAGATTAATTTGTTGAGAACCAAATTAAGAACTCAACTGAATTTACAATAGCCATGAAAAATACCTAGGAATGCATAACTATATAAATGAAAGATCTCTACAAAGAGAACTACAAAATACTAATGAAAGAAATTATAGATGACATAAACAAATGGAAAAACATCCCATGCTCATGGATTAGAAAAATCAATAGCTAAAGTGACCATATCACCCATACAATCTATAGAGTTAATGCAATTCCCATCAAATTACCAACGTTATTTCTCACAAAATTAAAAAAAAATCCTAAAGTTCACATGGAGCCAAAAAAAGATCCCTAATAGCCAAAGCACTTCTAAGCAAAAAACAAAGCAAAACAAAACAAAGCCCCCAGAGCAAAAGACAAATATGGTTCCTACAAATGAAGACCAACGGTAATGCTTATCTGTTCGTGGTAGAAGTGTAAATTGGTAGGATTGTTAAAAAAAATAGTGTAGCATCTCATGGTAATGTTGAATAACTCAATAATTTTACTTTTAAATATATACCCCAGAGGATATCTTGCACATATGAACCAGGTGATTTACAAAAGAATGTTCATAGCAGCATTGTTTGTAATGGTTAAAAACTGGAAAAATTTCAAGTGTTCATCAACAATAGATCTGAGGAATGAAGTCCGACATATTCATGTAGTGGAATATCATATAGCAATACGAATGGATGAATTACACCAACATTCAACAAGGTTGTAATATGCAAACTTATTATTGAATCAAGGTGAAAGTACCTTCTGATAAAGGTGAAAGAACTTCTACAAAATAATTTCATTTATATAAGTTTCAAAGAACCAAACTAAATAATGCATCACTTGAGAACCATTAAAGTCTATTAAAAAACACATACAATGCAATGGAAGGACAGTGGTCATATCCAGCAGGAAATAAAGGAGAACACAATTGGCAAGGAGCACCCAATGGGCGTCTAAGGCACTAGTAAAGTTCTATTTTGTTTCCAATCCTCCAAGACATCTAGTTTTTTTTATTTTTCTGAGACATGGTGGCCCAGGCTGGAGTACGATAGTGTGATCTTGGCTCACTGCAACCTGTGTCCTGGGCTTAAGTGATCCTCCCACCTCGGCCTCCCAAAGTACTGGGATTACAGGTGTGAGCCACCATGGCCGGCAAATGTTCTATTTCATATCCTGTATGGTGGACACATAGATGTTCTCTTTTTTATTATTCCTTGAACACTAAGTATATGTTTATTTATATTCTCTGTGGAATACCTCCTTATTTCTCAGTCAATTCAGGATACCTCCTTACCCCCATCCCCTTTTTACTTTTCGTCATGTCATATAGTTTCTGAAATATAGAAAAGCTTACATATTATCCTGTCATCAAAGCGGCATGGAGGCATTTGGTAGAATAAATATTATTTGTTGATTATTCATCCTTTCCTTTCACTTTACAGAGTCAATCAAACACCAGGTCATGTTAATTTTACTGTCACGCACATATCTTGAATTTGCCTCCTTATCTCTATTTCCACTATTCAGTTCAGACCTTGATAATCACTCATCTGCATTGTAGTTGCATTTTTCTAATTATTCTGTTTCTAGTCTTGTTTTAAAATCTTTTTTTCCTCCCACAATGCAGCTAGAGTGGTCAATTTAAAGCATCATCTATCTCAAGAACAAAAAACCAAACACCGCATGTTTTCACTCATAGGTGGGACTTGAACAATGAGAACACTTGGACACAGGAAGGGGAATATCACACACCGCGGCCTGTTGTGGGGTTGGGGGAGGGGGGAGGGATAGCATTAGGAGACATACCTAATGTAAATGATGAGTTAATGGGTGCAGCACACCAACACGGCACATGTATACATATGTAACCTGCACGTTGTGCACATGTACCCTAGAACTTAAAGTATAATAAAAATAAATATTAAAAAAGAAGCATCATCTTTATTAAAACATTTAATGGTCCTACTATTCCTTATGCTATAAATTTCTTATAATTTAATAAATATTTTTCCATAATTGTGACTCTCTTCTATAGCTCTTGTTACTCCCGATATTCTTCTAATTATCAGGCAGTAGCACAAAGCTGCTTACACCTCTTTACACATCTCTTTATTTTAGGCCTCCTTGCATTTGCTCATGCTGTTCCTTTTTGTTTGAAAAACTTACACATTTCTTCATTTGGTTAATCCTTGCACACTTTCAAGATTCATTTGAGGCCTCATTGACTTTGGAAACCTTCCCTGTAATCTTGTATTATTAATTTATCTTAGTTTTCACTTATTAGCTCTTATTAGATTACTGTCCTTACGTGTGTAACTCTCCCACTAGACAGTAAGCTTTTGGACGGCAGAGATGATGTCTCATTCATCTTTGCATCTTTAGCGCCCAGCCTGGTTTCTGGTTTCCTATAGTCACTCAGTGTTGAGCTAAACCATATTTTTGGAGCAATGACTTGACAATGCAGTATCATGATGGAACTATCACAGATGGACAGAATGAGTCTCTTGATTCCTACATTTATTTTTCTATTGATATAGCTGATTTAAAAAGAAACCTGTTAATTATATAATCATGTAATTACCCTGACATAACATCAAACTCCATAAATTACTTTCCATCTCTGCCTCTCTCTCTTTCTATATATATAACATATACATGTTACAAAAATGCACAGGGAATAAATATGAGCAAAATGGTAAGAAGTGCAGGTCCTAGGTCAGATTTCTTGCATTTAGTTGCAGGCTACACCAACTTTAGAGAAAAGATTTAGTGAAAAATAAAAATGAATCATTAATACACCACTTGGCACAGATAAGTTATTCAGTAAACATTAACATATTTGCATTTATGTTTAACCATGGGCTTAAGTGATTATCCAGAAATCTCCCTCTCTTTGACTATGTTTGAATATTAGATACTTCTTAATTTATCTTTGCTCTGAATTTGTTTTTTTTCACTCGTTGTATACTCATGGACCATTTTATGTGTTTCAGGAATTGATATTTTATTTAAAAACTGTTACTATAGAAAATTAACTTTTGGATAGTCCTGTTCAGACTAAAACTATCATTTGTAAGATCTGTATTACTGCAATCATTGGTGTTAATACTTTGCATTAATTAAAATTTTTTATGGACATATAATAAGTATTTCTCCCACCTTGATTTTTGTGGCTATCATTTTATTCATTCCATTGCTTTTTTCTCCCAGTTTGCTATGAGGAAGTTGATAAGTACGTAGGCAAAACGATAGATTGTTTTGGCAGCTTCAGTGTATTTAAGTGCCTGTGATGAGGCTATGGTTTATTTTTCTAATGTAGAATTC